>NC_000011.10:72873877-73176908 GCF_000001405.40 Homo sapiens
AACCAATCAAAAACTGCCAACTACCTTCTAACTAGAAACCTTCCACTGGAATGATCCAAAAAAGGATACTACCGTGCCACTTTAACCAATCAAATATTTGCTTTGTTTTGCTTCTGAGTTCACCCTATAAAAGCATTCCTCTGGTGTTCCATTGGTGGAACCCTGAACTGCATATGATCTGGTGCTGCCCAAGTAATTATCACTATTTTCTCAAATAAAAAAAAATTTAATGTGCCTAAGTTTATCTTTTAACAGGGTCAAACTTCATTCTTTTGCATATGGATATCCACTTGCCCTAGCACCATTGTAGTATGCTTTTGCTTTTTTAAGAGACAGGGTCTCACTGTTGCCCAAGCTGGAATGCGGTGGTATGACAATAGCTCACTGCAGCCTCGAACTGCTGGGCTCAAGTGATCCTCCTACTGTAGCCTTCCCAGTAGCTAGGACTACAGGTGCATGCCACCATGCCTGGCTAATTTTTTAAAATTTTTTGTAGAGACAGCTGTCTCACTATGTTGCCTAGGCTGGTCTTGAACTTCTGGCTTCAAGTGATCCTCCTGCCTCAGCCTCCCAAAATGCTGGGATTACAGGTGCGAGCCACTGTGCCTGACCTCTAGTATTCATTTTAAAACAATGAAATGTTTTTATTTTTGTTTTTTAAAAGAGTGAACCAACAAGCTCTTTCTTAGAAATCACATATGCAAGTCATTTAATTGCTGAAGCAGAAAAGAGAGAAGTATTCACTACATTCTATTTTCTCAAAGCAGTTATTCAAGTAATCCAGTTTTTATAAGATTTTGTCAGTATTTTATCAAACAACAGATAAACATGGTATTTGCCAACTCAGATTTAGACTGCAGTCCCAGAATTAAACACTGCTATCTTCCCTTTAGGATTTCAGTTGCTTATAAGTTAAAAATTGTCTAAAAGCAGAACTTTCTAGTGTTTTCAAATGAATTTTCATGATTTGCCAACTTATTAAAAATTTTCAGAGTATAGCTCTCTGTAAACTTGATGGCATTCCAGATACTACTTGACCAAATCATTTTTGGAAGCTTTAAAGAGACAGAGCTTTTAAAAATAGTATTTTAAAAATCCAGATCTTTTAGGATACATAATCTTGGTTTATAAACACAGTCAATTACCTAGATTTTAACACAACATTTAACATAAACACATATAAGTGTAAAGCTATAGTTGAATTTCAAGTCTGTAAATCTAATTTGGACTAATTCATTTGCCTTTAACATATCTCTTCTCTAAGGACAAGGACTGTGTGTAATGTATTACTATTTAGGACAGTGGTTTACTTGTAGAATAGAATCAATAATGGTAGATAATAGTATTTGCTACTCCATCTTTGGTACCTTAAAAAAAAGCTCCAAACAGCTTTTATCATAGGTACTAGGAACTATATCATCATATATTTCATTTAATTCACAAAACAATTCTAGGGGTCAATATTATAAACTCTATCTATCTATCTAGCTAGCTATTATTTATTTGACAGAGTCTCGCTCTGCTGCCCAGGCTAGAGTGCAGTGGTGCAATAATAGCTCACTGTAACCTTGGATTTCTCCTGAGCAGTTGGGACCAGAAGCATATGCCACCACATCTAATGTTAAAGTTTTTTGTAGAGATGGGGTCTTGCTATGCTGCCTGGTTGGTATCAAACTCCTGGCCTCAAACGATCCTTCCGCCCTCCTGCCCTGGCCTCCCAAAATGCTGGAATTAGAGGTGTCAGCCACCATCCCTAGCCCCAAAACTCCATTTTATAGATGAGAAAAATGATTTAATCAAGGTCACACCAACTGTGGTAAACCATTATATTAAAGGTTCCCAAATAATCATGCTTCCTGGTATCCATGTAGTCCACTCCCACCATGATTCTGGGCTTGTCCATGTGATTTGCTTTGGCTAGTGGGGCATTTGCCAATTTAATGGAAACAGAGGACCCTCAGTAAGTGCTATTTGGATCTGACTTCTTGAAATATGCTGCCACCATGCTGGGGAAGTCCAGTTTAACCTATATGCTGATGAAAGACCACATGGGGAAAAGACCCAGCCATCACAGCTGAGCCCAGCCCTCTGGCCAGTCCTCTAGCTGAAAGTAATTGCTTGAGTAACCTCAGGCAAAACCAGCAAAAGAAATGACTAGTTGGCTTGGCACAGTGGCTGACACCTGTGATCCCCACATTTTGGAAGGCTGATGTGGGAGGATTGCTGAGCCCAGGAATTCGAGGTTTGAGGCAGCCTGGGCAAAATAGCAAGACCCTATCTCTATAAAAAAGGAAAATAAAATATTAGCTGGGTTTGGTGGTACATGCCTGTAGTCCCAGCTATTCGGGAGGCTGAGGTGGGAGGATTGCTTGAGGCCACGAGGTTGAGGCTGCAGTGAGTTGTGCCACTGCAGTCCAGCCTGCGAGACAGAGTGAGATGGTCTCAAAAGAAAATAAAAGAATAAAAGGAAATGCATAGTCAGCACCCAGAATGGCAACAGATAATAAACCACTGTTATTTTTGCCATAAAGTTTGGGATGGTTTTCAAAGGCAGCAACAGATTACTGTGTTTGAACAACATAATCTCCAATTATTTGGGTATTTTCTAGCCATCTTTCTATTATGGATTTTTAATATAAGCCTAATTAATCAAGAACTTACTATGTATAATATCAATCCTTTTAAACTTATTGAAACAGGTTTATGGTCCAGTGTATGGTCTTGTTGAATGTTCTATGTGTACTTTAAAAGAACATATATTCTACTCATATGCAGTGGAGTTCGATGAATGCCAATTAGGTAAAGTTGGTTAATGATGTTGTTCATCTTCTATATCCTTACTGATTTTCTATATTCTTGTTCTATCAATTACTGAAAGAGGGATCCTAAAGACTCCTACTACAATTGTAGATTTGTCTAGTTCTTCTTTCAGTTCTGCCAGTTTTTGCTTTATGTATGTTGTAGCATTATTATTATATATACGTCCAGGATTTTAATATATTCATGATGAAATGTCTTTAAAAAATCATTATGCATTATCCTTTTTAATATTCCTTGTCCTAAAATGTATTTTGTCTAACAGTAATATGATCACTTCATTTTTTTTTTTTTTAGACAGGGTCTGGACTTTGTTGTCTACGCTGCAGTGCAGTGGTACGATCACGGCTCAGTGCAGCCTCAACCTCCAGGCTGCCTCCAGTGCAGCCTCATCCTCCTACCTCACCTCAGCCTCCTGAGTAGCTGGGACTACAGGCGTGCACCACCATGCCCGGCTAATTTTTGTATTTTTTGTAGAGATGGGGTTTTGCCACTTCAGTTTTTTTAATGATTAGTGTTTGTTCTCCTGTGATAAGCAACAGCTAAAATTTCTCCTGGATTTTTTTGCCTTTCAGTTATTGTTTCCTGCCAAGCTCCTTAGAGTCTCTGTTCCAAAGGACATCCACCTTCAGGCCAGTAAGATGGAGGTTCTGCTTAAATTCTGGTTGTGCTGCTCCTTACAGATGCAGGGCTATATAATGGAAATATCACTAAGTATAGTCTTGTTCTTTCAAGGAGAAATTCCTCTCCAGGTTTTACATGCTTTGGGTCATTTTCCAGCTCTATTAAATAATTTTTGTTTTAATATTTTTACCCCAGATTAATATTGTCATCTAAAATAGTCTTATATAAGCTAGTAACCTATTACAAGAAGCAGAAAGTCTCTTAGAGATATATTTATTCTACATTCAAAGAGAATTATAAAGAAATCTAAAACTTTCAATAGTTTACTATTAATAGCAATATTTATGTTGTAGTTCTGAAAGTGCTTAATATATACTGCAGTTATTATTCTATAATATACAAAGCAGGCTGGGCATAGTGGCTCATGTCTATAATCTCAACACTTTGGAGGCTGAGGCATGCAGACTGCCTGAGCCCAGGAGCTCAAGACCAGCCTGAGAAACATGGGGAAACCCTGTCTCTACAAAAAATGCAAAAATTAGCTGGGTATGGTGGCACATGTCTGTAGCCCCAGCTATTCGGGAAATGGAGGTGGGAGGATTGCTTAAACCTGGGAGGTGGAGGCTGCAATGAGTGCCACTGCACTCCAGCCTGGGTGACAGAGACACTGTCTCAAAAAAAATTTTTTTAAATATATAAAGCAAATAAAATATTAGATAATATGATTAGGAATAAAACTTTTTGGTGTAAGGCAAAAAGAACATAAATAAATGTAAAATCAAAGAAATCAAATAAGTTCAATAAAATCCCTCTGGCTGGGCATAGTGGCATGCAGTTGTAGTCACAACTATTTTGGAGGCTGAGGCAGGAGGATCATTTGAGTCCAGGAGTTCAAGGCTATAGTACACTATGATTGTGCCTGTGAATAGTCACTGCATTCTAGCCTGGGAAATATATTGAGACCCTGTCTCTAAAAATAAGTAAAATCCCTCTAATTGTCCATGTTAATTGGAAATATCAACATGAACTCATGACTTAAAAAAAGTTATCCCTAGCTCTAACAACAAAGAAAAGATAAAAAAGAAAATGACACTTAGAACAATAAGCACCTTCACAGCCCAGGCCTTAGTGTCTAAATACCATTTTCTATTAAGAGAATCAGAGCTTCTTGGAGAAACAGCTAATTCTAAGTCTGGGCAGGAAAAATATAAGGTGAACACTGTGATAGCTTGTTTTACTAGGAAGAAAGTATTCAAGGACTAACGGGGGTAATGTCAAAAGTACACAGAAGTCAGTTGAATGGACTCCCAGTTTTAGATAATATGGAACTTAAAATGACAACTGGAATTGATAATATACTAAATAGATAAAAATCTATAATAAGTTGAAATGATGTCAGGTGGAACTCCAGGAGGAGAGGCAAACAATAACTACTAAGAAAAGAATATCTACAGTAGAGCTATGAACTGAAAAATTCCTAGAGCTTGTACAGGGTTGAAAGACATTAAAACTCTGTGGTGGCTCATGCTTGTAATCCCAGCACTTTGGGAGGCCGAGGCGGGCAGATCACTTGAGGTCAGGAGTTCGAGACCAGCCTGGCCAACATGGTGAAACCCCGTCTCTACTAAAAATACAAAAAAAATTAGCTGGTTTTGGTGGCGGGCACCTGTAATCCCAGCTACTTGGGAAGCTGAGGCAGGGGAACTGCTTGAACCCAGGAGGCAGAGGTTGCACTGAGCAGAGATCATTACCACTGCACTCAAGCCTGTGCGACAGAGTGAGACTTTGTCTCAAAAACAAAACAAAACAAAAAAACAAAAAAAAAGATATTACAACTCTATCCAGCCAGAGTTGAGAGAACTTGGTGTATACCCACGGCATTAGTATAGGGCTAATTTCTAATTTATCTCTACATTAACCCAAACAAAGCTTAAAAGCAAGCTTCGAAATGATCAAACTGATCTGCAAGTAACTGACCTGGCAGCCAAAACAAAACTCAATAGTCTTTATAAGAAGAAAATAGAATCTAGAAACTTAATAACCAAACAGTCACTATGTCTAGATTCAGTAAAAACTTAGTAGGTATTTGAAAAGCAGAAAAACATGAGCCAAGACAAAAATCAGTCAATAAAAAGAATGAAATGACAGAGATGATGGAATGAGTAGACAAGAACTTTAAAATTGCTGTTATAAATATACTTAGAGGTTTAAAGAAAAACATGAAGATAAATAGGAATGAACTAGAAGATAAAAGAAGAACCACATAGAACTTATAGAGCTAAAAATATAACATTTGAAATAAAAATTCACAAGATGGCCTTAACAGTAGTTTATACACTATAGAGGAAATATCCATAGGTTTTAATAGACACTAATAATAACTCATCAAACTGAGACTGAGATAAAAAATAAGGCCAGATAAAAATGTGTGGAATGAGCTTTGCATATGACATGTAGGATAATATCAAGTGATTTAATATTCATGTAATTGAAATCATAGAAGAGGACAGAAAACATATATCAAGGCATAATGGGCCAGGCTCAGTGGCTCATGCCTGTAATCCCAGCTACTTGAGAGACTGAGGCCGAACAATCGGTTGAACCCAGGAGGCGGAGCTTGACGTGAGCCGAGATCGCGCCATCGCATTCCAGCCTGGGCAACAAGAGTGAAATTCTGTCTCAAAAAAAAAAAAAAAAAAAAAAGTAATCCTATTTAAAATAGCTACCCAAACCAAACCAAAACAAGACAAAAACAAACAAACAAACAAAAACCACCCAAAAAACAAAAAAACAAAAAACCCCAACCCCAGGAATAAATTTAACCAAGGAAGTGAAAGATCTCTACAAGGAAAACTACAAAACACTGATGAAAGAAATTGAAGAGGACAAAAACGAATCCATGTGCAATTGCTATCAAAATCAATGACATTCTTCACAGAAATAGAAAAAAAAATCCTAAAATTTGTATGGAACCACAAAAGTCCCTGAATAGCCAAAGCAATTCTGAGCAAAAATAATAAAGCTGGAGGTAATACACTACCTGACTTTAGTAACCAAAACAGCATGGTATTGTCACAAATACAGACACACAGACCAATGGAACAGAACAGACATCCCAGAAATAATGTACTTATAGCCAACCAATTTACAAAGGTGCTAAGAATTTACATTGGGGAAAGGACACCCTCTTCAATAAATGCTGCTGGGAAAACTGAATATCCACCTGCCAAAGAATGAAACTAGATCCCTATCTCTCACCATATATAAAAGTCGGCTCAAAATGATTAAAGACTTTAAAAATAAACCCAATATTATGGCTGGGCACAGTGGCTCACACCTGTAATCTTAGCACTTTGGGAGGCTGAGGCGGGTGGATCCCTTGAGCCCAGGAGTTCGAGACCAGTCTGGGCAACATAGCGAAACCCCATCTTACTAAAAATACAAAAACTCAGGTGGGAGGATCACCTGAGCCTGGGGAGGCCAAGGCTGCAGTGAGCTGTGACTGTGCCACTGCACTCCAGCCTGGGTGACAGAGTGATACCCTGTCTCGAAAAAAAAAAAAAGAAAACAACAACAACAACAACAAACAAACACCCACACTATAGAACTAGTACAAGAAAACATAGGGGAAATGCTTCTGGACATTGGTCAAGGGAGATTTTTATGGCTGAGGCTTTAAGGCCACAGGCAACAAAACAAAAAACAGACAAATAGGACTACATTAAATTAAAAACTCTATGCAGCAAAGGAAACAAAAGAGTTAACAGATGACCTACAGAATGGAAGAAAATACTTGCAAATTATTCATGCAACAAGGGACTAATATACGGAATATACACGGAACTCAAACAACTCAATAGCAAAATACCATGTAATCTTATTAAAAATTGGGCAATGGATGTGTAACCACTTTTCTCAAAAGAAGACATAATGGCCAACAGGTATATGAAAAAATACTCAACATCACTTATCATCAGTAAAATGCAAATCAAAACCAGATATCAAAACCAAAATCAGATATCATCTTACCCCAGTTAGAATCACTATTTATCAAAAAGACAAAAAATAACAAGTGCTAGTGAAGATGCAGAAAAAAGGGAACTGTTATACACTGTTGGTGGGAATGTAAATTAGTACAGCTATTATGGAAAACAGCATGGAGGTTTCTCAAAAGACTAAAAATAGAACTACTATATGATCCAGCAATCCCTCTTTTGGATATTTATCCAAAGGAAAGGAAATCAGTGTATCAAAGTCATACCTTCATCCCCTGTTTATTACAGCACTATTCACAGTGGCCAAGATGTGGAATCAACCTAAGTGTCCATCAGTGGATTAAGAAAATGTGATATATACACACAATGGAATACTATTCAGTCATAAAAAAGAATGAAATCCTGTCATTTGCAGCAATATAAATGGAACTGGAGGTCATTATGTTAAGTGAAATAAGCTAGGCACAGAAAGACAAATATCACATGTTCTCACTCATGTGTGGGAGCTAAAAAATGTTAATTATAGAAGTAGAGAGTAGAGGCTGGGGCCGGGTGCGGTGGCTCACGCCTGTAATCCCAGCACTTTGGGAGGCCGAGGGGGGCGAATCATGAGGTCAGGAGATTGAGACCATCCTGACTAACACGGTGAAACCCCATCTCTACTAAAAATACAAAAACAAAATTAGCTGGGTGTGGTGGCGGGCGCCTGTAGTCCCGGCTAGTTGGGAGGCTGAGGCGGGAGAATGGCATGAAGCCGGGAGGAGGAGCTTGCAGTGAGCCGAAATCGCGCCACTGCACTCCAGCCTGGGTGACAGCAAGACTCCGTCTCAAAAAAAAAGAGAGCAGAGGCTGGGCATGGTGGCTCATGCCTGTAATCCCAGCACTTTGGGAGGCCAAGGCGGGTGGATCATGAGGTCAGGAGTTCGAGACCAGCTTGGCCAACATGGTAAAACCCTGTCTTTTATTACAAGTAAAAAAATTAGCCGGGCGTGGTGGCGTGTGCCACTGCACTCCAGCCTGGGTGACAGAGCAAGACTTCGTCTCAAAAAAAAAAAAGTACAGAGTAGAATGATGGTTATCAGAAGCTGGGAAGGATTATGGGGAAGGAGAAGAAGAGAGATTGGGGAATAGAAGCAAACAGTTAGATAGATGGGATAAGTTCTGGTGTTTGATAGCTTAGCAGGGTGACTAGTTAATAATTAATTCAAAATAACTAGAAGATTTGAAATGTTCTAAATATAAAGAAATTATAAATGTCTGAGGTGATAGATATCTTAATTACTCTAATTTGATCATTATACACTGTATGCATGTATCAAAATATCACATGCATCTCATAAATATGTACAATTATTTTGTATCAATAAAAAATTAAGAAGCCAAAAAAGGAAACAGAGTGCCTAAATAAATAGAGAGACACATCATGTTCATGAATTAGAAGACTCAATATTGTTGAGAAGTCAATTCTCCTCAAATTATTTGTGGATTCAATGCAATCCCAATCAAAATGCCCGCAGTCTTTTTTTGTAGAAGCTGATGGCAATGAGAATAGTCCAAATAATTCTAAAACAAGAATAGTGTTGGAGGAATTATACTATCTGATTTCAAGACTTACAATGTCATTAAGACTGTGATACTGGCATAAGTACAGACATATAGACCAATGGAACTGAATAAAATTGAAAATATTCATACACATATGATTAGTTGTTTTCAATACGGGTGCAAAGGTAATGGGAAAAGCATACTCTTTAAAATATGATGGTGGAACAACTGGCTATCTGTATAGGAAAAAACAAAACAAAACAACAACAAAAAAACCAAACATGACCCTTAACTCATACCAGACCTCAACAATTTAACTAGAAATGTTTAGGACCACAGTCCACAAAGAAAAGCTTGAACTATAACACTTCTAGAAGAAAACATGAGAGGACATATCACAACCTTGATCAGGCAAAAATTTCTTAGAACACAACACTAATCATAAAGGACAAAATTCATAAATTAATCTCATCAAAATTAAAAGTTTCCAATCTAGAAAATGAAAAGGTAAGCCAAAGACTGGAGAAAATATTTGCAGTACATGTACCTAAAAAATGACTAGTATCCAGAAAACATAAATTGTTATAACTCAGTAATAAGACCAATCTAAATTTGGGCAAAAGATATTAACAAATACTTTACTAAGGGGGATATATGAAGGGCTAAAAACTTATAAAAAGATGCTCAGCATAGTTAGTTAATGTCACTAGTCTGTAGCCAAATGCAATTCAAAACCACAGTGAGATACCATTACACACATACTCAAATGGCTAAGTTTAAAAAGACTGACAAGTCGGAGGCAGTGGCTCACGCCTGTAATCCCAGCACTCTGGGCGGCCAAGGCAGGCAGATTGCTTGACCCACGAGTTTGAGACCAGCCTGGGCAACATGGTGAAACCCCATCTCTACAAAAAAATAGAAAAATTAGCCAGGCATGGTGGAGTGCGCCTGTATTCCCAGCTACTCGGGAGGCTGACATGGGAGAATCGCTTGAGCCCAGGAGGTTCGGGCGGCAGTGAGTTGAGATCGTGCCACTGCACTCCAGCCTGGGTGACAGAGTGAGACCGTGTCTCAAAAAAAAAAAAAAAAAATTTTTTTTAATGAGGTCATAATAATACCCAAGAAAAAAAAATACCCATTCACCACCACTGGAGGTGACTAGCACTTGGTAATTGCAAAGAGGAAAGAATCTTTATCATGGAAAGATCTGGTAGCACACCACCTTATTAAGAGACCACTCTTAGTATCATTAATAGCAGGACAACTTGATATTATGATTCTTTATGTGATGAAAAACATCACATCATCTACGAACTATTTCTGCCTAAAACACTAACCTGCCTCTAATCAGGCCTTAAGACCTAACTTCCATTTTATACAACACAGTTAATGGGTCAATCTAACAAACACATAAAGCCAGTATTGCAAAATATAATAGTTGAATCTAGATGTTAGGAAATACATGTTTATTCTTCATATTTTCTGTATGTTTGAAAATTTTCAGTAAAAAAATAAAAGTGATTAGTCAAGAGGTCTGCTAACATAGCATGAATACAGTGAAACCTCACAGTAACAGGCCCAGAGGTAATATAAATTTGGAAATAATGTGATTAGAAATATATATATATCTGTGTGTATGTTATATATATCATATATATAATCATACATAGTTTATATATAAGATCATATATATAGTTTATATATATGATGATATATATAAAAGATCATATATATATATATAAAAGATCATATATATACACACACATACATATAGTCTTGCTCTGTTGCCCAAGCTGGAGTACAGTGGTCCAACCATGGCTCACTGCAGACCAACCTTCCAGGATCAAGCCTCTGCCTCCCAAGTAGCTGAGACTACAGGCACATGTTAGCATACCCAGCTAATTTATTTTCATTTGTAACAGAGACGATGTCTCATCTGTTGCCCAGGCTGCTCTCAAACTCCTGAGCTCAAGTGATCTTCCCACCTCAGTCTTCCAAAGTGATAGAATTAGAGGCATGAACCACTGCACCTGGCCTAAAAATTTTGTTTTAATAGCAGGGTCACTCTTGTCATTAACTTTGCAATAATGAGGACTCACATTTTATATAACCAGTGTTCTCTCTTTTGTATAGGTATTTATAATAAATAAAGTATCGATAAAAACGAAAAACCACTGCAAATGATATACAGGCAGAAGAAAGGAAAAGGGTATGTGCAGAAACCATTATTGTTAATTCCTTTGAAGACTCTCATGGTCTAGTCCATCCAAAAATTTTATTATGATAATCCTGTAAGTACTACCCCAATAAATATGCCCTCATATTTGCTGGCTAATTTTACTTAGGCTATTTTTTGTATCTGTTAAGTGGAAACCAAGTGAGATTATTTTATGCTAACAGTAAAATTAATTAAATGCTACAGATATTCAAAACTGAGAAAACGGATCTGCTACAATGGTTTTAGCATACTATATTCAACATTTTTGATAAGAAAACTATTTTTGAGAATGTAGACTTAAATACTTGCATTAGAAGAGGTGAGACATCGTGGTATGAGAATTTCACTTCATATTTTTAGTTTGAAACTAACAAACACAGTCTAGTTTGGCATACTATGGAAATAATAGGTCATCTGGCCTAAATGAAGACTCTGTGTGCCTGATACCTACTACTGCTACTACTGGGGATGGCGGGAGGTTTCGTGGAGTTAGGGTACCAGTCGGTGATACCATGCATGGGGTCTGGAAATGGAAAATACATGAAATACCCCTCAGAAAACCTCTGAGACTTGTCTTAAAATAATTACTCCTGTTCCACCAAGGCTCTGAAAAACTGGCTTCATCTAGAGTGCGGAGAAACAAACAACAGGAATAACTCTTCTACCACAGGCCAGTGTTTCTTAGAGTAGATGAGGGCTTGCCAACACTACTTGGCCAGCACCCTAAGATAGTGGTTTAGACATGACCCTGAATTCAAAGAGAAAAATGACTATTCATTGTACACCCTGCCCTCCTCACTATGGTGGCTGTCAATTAGACTGTGAACAGGAATGAAGTGGAGGTGGGGTTACTGGGGTTTCTCCAGCCCAGGCAGATGGCAAGCCTGTTCTGATTCAGATCACTTCCATGGGGCTGTACCAAAAACATGCTCATATTCTCTATGCTTGCCTACGCTGCCTCTCCCTTCACCCCACAACCAGTGAAGCACTTCCTCAAAACCTCTGGAGTTCTAAGGGGGTGTTAGAAAACCATTAGTTTAGTTTAAACCTAAACCAGTGCAGGGATTCCTTGTATTGGGTCCCTGAAAGATGCTTGCCCAGAATCTTCTTACATACTTATAGGGCTGCACTATGTCTCAGGAGTGCTTATTCTGTCTTTGGGAAGATCTGACTATTAGAAAGTATTTCCCAATACTAAACTCACATCTCCTTCTTTCCTACCTTCATCTTTTGGTTCAAATTCTACCTCCTGAAGTTGCATGGCATAAGTCTGTGCTATCCCCTTTTCTCTGACTAATCAAATACTATTCATCTGCCAGCATTCATCTTAAGTCTTCTTCTGTGTTACACCCGCAACAATCCCTCCCAGAGTGATTTCTGTGGCCTCTGGGTTCTTCAACTATACTTAATGCACCACTCCTCGGCAGTTATGCTTTACCATCTTAGTGATTTTTGGCATTCTTTATGCCTTTCTAACAAGAACCTAATCTTTTAATGGCTGGATGGTGTCAGTCTTTTATAAATGTCTACCTCCATACCCCTTCACCACATTGCTGCTGAGTAGATAAAAGTGTGTGCACAGGTCCTCCATAAACTGGCCCTAACCACAACAAGTTTACTTACTTTCTACCACATTTCCTCACAAAAATCCTCCACTCTAATCATATCCAGCTACCAAATTATACTCTGTGTCTTCCTCCTTTGCTAATACTTTCTTGTTTCCTATCCCAACCTCTCCCTATCTAGAGCAGGGAGTATTAGCCTCAGGCATAAGAACTCTAAACACTACACAAAATGTACATTTTTGTGTGTGGGAGAGAATGTTTCACAGCTTTCATACAACCCTCAAAGGTCCCATGACTCCACAAAAAATTAAAATCCACTATTATAAATTTTTTCCCATCTCTGCTTAGCCAAATCTTCCCTATTCTTAAAAGCCCAGCTCATGCCCCTGGATCCAGGGAACCTTCCATATGGGGGAGATTTCCTAAGCTCTGAAAATATATATATATATATGAATATATGTCTCCATAGATATTGATATATAAGGAGATATATATATATATCTAAATTGATATATATACATCATTTTTTCTACCATTAATCTCTGTGGTTTATTATGTACCTTTTAGAAACTTTAAAATTAGTATCTTCATTGTGACTTAAATCTTTTGTATTTAATGTTTCATGACTGTAAACTTTACAGCATCTTTTTGTTATATGTACTGCCTTCCACAGAGCAGGTACTCAACAAATACTACTGTGGACACGAATGAAGACGGTGAATCACCTTCATCTCAGTGTGTGTAGAAACTCAGTTTTAAAGATGTATATCACAGCTGTGACAGTGTCATTAGACCTGGGCAAAATGCCACAATTAGCTGCCACCTTACCTCTGCTTTACGAATATTTTCTCTAGCTTCATCTATTTTCTGTTCTAGCTCTGCTCGGCTTTGTTCTGATACAGCAGCTCCATGACACTCCAGATCATTTAGAACCTATTAAAGAAAATGGGACAATAATGATGACTGTTTTTTACTTTTCATCTTCCTTAAGTGATTAAAGTATTTACATAATTCAAAGGGCTTTAGTGACTAGTAGCCATAATTTTTTTTCATTTATTTATTTTTTGAACATTTTGAAATAATTATAGACTTACTAGTAACAAACTTACTACAGACAGTCCCTTCAGTGGGGAAGCCAGGACCAGCCACTATCTGATTGCCGCCACATGAGAGACCCCAAGGGAAACTGCTAAGCTGAGACCATCCAATACTCAGATTAGTGAGAGATAATGTAAAAACCCTCTTGTTCTATGGCATTAAGTTTGAGGTGGTTTGTTAAGCAACATTACATAAGTGGAACACTGAATTTGAGACACCTGTGAGATAGTGAAAAGAAGATGTCAAAACAGGCAAGAGATTATATGGATACACAGTAGTAGCAAGGCCCAATGTTGAAGATGTTAATTTATGATTTGGTGGTAAAGTAAAACCATGGAAGTGACTGAGAATGCCTATATGAGGGTAAAGAATAAGAAAACAAGATAGCCAAGTATAGGAATCTGAGAAACTGAATATTTCATTGTGGGATGGAGAAAGAGGAACCCATGAAAAAATCTAGGTATGGCCAGAAAGGCAGAAGGAAAGCCAGGACAATGTTGAATCGTGGATGACTAGAGAAGATAACATTTTAAGACATGGAATTGTTAATTGTGATGAAATTGTTGACAGATTAAGAAAAATGAGAAATCAAAGTGTCCACTTGGAAGCTAGCAACACAGACATCATTGGCGATTTTGGTAAGCTTAGACAGGGGAAGGAAAGGACAGGAAAGCTCAAATGTAATGGGCTAAAAAGTAAGTGGGAGGTGAGATTCTATAGATAATAAGCATAGGCAATTCTTTTAAGAAGCAGGATGTGAAGGCAAAGAATGAGACGGATATAGGTATCAATAAATGAAACAGAAAAAAAGTACTATACTCCAAATAATTTCTTTGTGCTTAGAGTTTAGTCTTCGAGATATATTTTCTTTCTTTCTTTCTTTCTTTTTTTTTTTTGGAGACAGGGTCTTTCTCTGTCACCCAGTCTGGAGTTCAGAGGCATGATCTTACCTCAATGTAACCTCCACCTCCCGGGCTCAAGCAATTCTCCCCAACCTTAGCCTCCCGAATAGGTGGGAAGATAGGTGTGCGCCCCCATGCCCGACTAATTTTTGAATTTTTTGTAGACACCGGGTTTTTTGCCATGTTGCTCAGGCTGGTCTCAAACTCCTGGTTCAAGCAATCCACTTGCCTCAGCCTCCCAAAGTTCTGGGATTACAGGCGTGAGCCACTGCGCCCAGCCAAACATATATTTTCATGAAATCTATAATTGTGTCTTTCTTTTTTCTTTTTATTGAGACAGAGTCTCGCTGTCGCCCAGGTTGGAGTGCAGTGGCGTGATCTCAGCTCACTGCAAGCTCCGCCTCCCAGGTTCATGCCATTCTCCTGCCTCAACCTCCCGAGTAGCTGGGACTACAGGTGCCCGCCACCACACTCGGCTAATTTTTTGTATTTTTAGTAGAGATGGGGTTTCACCGTAACACATGTTAGCCAGGATGGTCTCGATCTCCTGACCTTGTGATCCACCCACCTCGGCCTCCCAAAGTGCTGGGATTACAGGCGTGAGCCACCGCGCCCGGCTATAATTATGTCTTTTAAAAAATATGTCTTGAGGGATGAAAACTTATATTAATTCAACATATGTCTCTTCCCCTGCCCATAATACACTATCACAATTTTCTTTGTTAATTTTATGGTAAACAGGTAAATTAATGTATTGCTGATGGAGGGCTTAAGGAAATTCCAACATGAGTAGATAGCTGACAGCACACTGCTGAGTGTTGAGAAAGTACAGAAAAAACACATATAATGCTTGAGCAAAGGAGTTTGAGACCAGCCTGGGAAACATGGCAAGACCCTATCTCTACAAAAAATCTAAAAAAATTTAGCCAGGCATAGTGGCATGTGCCTGTGGTCCCAGCTACTTGGGAGGCTGAAGTGGGAGAACTGCTTCAGCCCAGGAGGTTGAAGCTGCAGTAAGCCATGTTCACACCACTGCCCTTCAACCTGGGTGACAGAGCAAGCCTCTTGTCTCAAATAAAACAAAACAACACATATAGGATATTTTTCACATTAATAAAACTCAGTTCCTTAAACTGTTTGACATTTGGCTTAAGGTGAATGTAACTAGGACTTTCTCTTACACTTACCCGTTGTTGGTGAACAATGTTTTTATGCTCACGTGCCACACGTGTGGCCCATTTTCGAGCTTCCTTATTTAGACTGTGCTCCTCTGTGGTCCCAGTTTCTGATTCTAACTGTCGGCTCTACAATACAAGAGAGAACAGAGATAAAAATATTGCTATCCTTATTGTAACCACTACTGCTTTGTAGATGGATCAGAAGGCCTTCACTTAATCAGCACTCAAAACATGAGGCACGCTCCACTACTGCTGGAAGCAATGTCTTAACGTCACAGAAAGTTACCAGAAGAGTAAGATCAGCATAAAACCATTAAAGACCATAAGCTTTTTGTCTTACACTGCTGAACACAAAAGCATCATCTATAATACTGCAGACTTATCTTTTTGGGTGTGATGGACTTATCTTTCCGAGTGGGAAGGAAGCTAGCTAAGGTAAGCAAAGAAGAAAATGTATTCATGCCAACCTACTATGGTGATAAAATCATTGCATAAATAAAAATGGAAACAACTTAATAGTTTAAATGTGAGTAAAGAATCATTAAAGAGAAGTAAGAACAAAACAATATAATAACAGCAACACAATCTTGCACCCCTCCCCCTGCCCCAAGGCAGACGGAACTCTTTAGAGGTCCACCATCAACTTGCCACCAAACCTCAAAAGCCAGCTTTTGCTCTTTCTCCAGGCTTCATATGAAAGATAAGGGTGCTAGATCAAATGATCACCAAGGGTTTCTTCTAGCTCTAAAATGCTATGATTCTGATTTACAAAGAACAAACCACAAAATCTAAATAAAAATAGTAATAGCTAACTTCTATTGTGCAAGGTACTATGGAAAGTGCTTCATATAACTTTTTTTTTTTTTAACAACCTGATGATGTGGGTCCCACATCATTTTATAGAAAAGAAAACAGAGGCTCAGAGAGGTTAATTTTTCCTGGATGTCCTAGATGTTAAATGTTACAACCTTAATTGACCGATTCCAGAATCAGAGCTATTAAACACAAAACTATTTTAATTCTCTCTAAATTCTTAAAGACCCAAGAAAAACAAACTTTATTGAGATAATTAGGAATTTTTTTTAAAATATAAATTACCCAAAGAGGCTTTTAATATAGAAAGCAGCAAAATTGTAGAATGAAAAGAATTTTAGAAATTCTGATCACGGCTCACTGCAGCCTCAACCTCCGGGCTCAAGTGACTCTCCCACTTCAGCCTCCTGAGTAGCTGGAACTACAGGTGTGTGTCACCATACTCAGCTCATTTTTTTTTTTCCTTCTAGAGATAAGGTCTCACTATGTTGCCCAGGCAACATAGGAGTTCAACATCTTGAACTCCTTGGCTCAAGTAATCCTCCCACCCTGGTCTTCCAAAGTGTTCAAATTAGAGGGATGAGCCAGTACACCTGGCCTAGTAATTCTTTTGCAAGGTCTCATAGCTCAAAATTGATAGAGTAAGTAGAAATTGATAAACTGGATTTTAAAAATTAATATTTTTGTTGGGGGAATTGTGATGAGGCAGGGTTTAAAAATTTTTGTTCTATACAGACATTTCAGCTAGATTATAACAATGACAAATAAATTGAAATAGAGCAAAATAATCAATATTCAAACTTAACCATCTTTACATTCATATTTTACATTCTAATTCATTTTTGGGGTTATCAGAAGTTTGGGAATGAACTTTACTATTATATTTTGCTTTGCAAATGAATCTGGGCATTCAAACTTACATCTGTTCTCAAAGTCAGGAATATTAAAGTGTTAAACTCTGGACACAGATACAAATGAAATATACAAAAGTCAGAGGAATGTGATCTGTAAAAGTAGAAAGATAAATTCTGAAGAGTCCAAGAATAGGTTTTTGAGTCAGATAGACTTAGTTTGAATCCATTGTATGCCATTTTATGGCACTACTAGCTTTATGATCTTGGGCATGTTAATTATCTGAGTCGTAGCTACATCTGAAAACTAGTGAAAATGTCACCTATCTCCATAGGGTTGGTAGGTTATAATGAGGTCATATTTTAAACATTCTGGTATAGGATCTACATAATATCTTAGGCATCCAGTAATGGTAACTGTTAATGTTAAAGACCCAATTGAAAATTACTTGAAACAAAAATTTTCTTATTACTGTTCATAAGAAAATCCAGATAATTCCTAGGTTCTTAATAGCCTAAACAATGAATCCAAAATGAAGATTGAAGATATATTGAAAGATTAAGGCAGATCTCAAAGAGAATGAATTTGTAGGGAGTAGCTAGATGAGAAAGGAGGCAACTGATAGAGACATTTAATTTTTGTTACTGAGCAGCATTTTAGGAATAGGTAAAGGGGTTTAAATTGTGTGCTGGCTGCAGATGGGCCATAACCCAATTTGCCTTACAGAATTTATACCTTCTTATTGAGTATTCACTGTGCTCAGGATAGAGCTTTTCCCTTATTTTTTATGTGTCTACTAAGACTTGGGAGTCCAATGATCAGGACAGGTAACTAATGCCACTGATTGGAAGATGTGGCTTTGAGATCCTTTGGGTAGGGAATGACACAAAACTAAAACTCAAATTAATTTATCCTTTTCATGAATTCTGAAATCAAGCCATGGAATACATGTGGAAGCTCCTGAGACACAGGTCTTGACAACTGAGAATTTCATACAAGGTGAATACAGCCCAGGCTATTAAACAATACACAGAGAAATGTTCCAATACCACCTTCACTATCAAAGATCAATATAAATCAGGATCTAGTATAGATAATTATGTTTTTGTGTTTTTGTTTGTTTTGTTTTTTGTTTTTTGAGACAGAGTCTCACTCTGTTGGCCAGGCTGGAGTGCAGTGGCATGATCTCAGCTCAGTGCAACCTCCACCTCCTGGGTTCAAGTGATCCTCCTGCCTCAGCCTCCCAGGTAGCTGGGACTACAGGCATGTGCCACCATGCCCAACTAATTTTTTGTATTTTTAGTAGAGACGGGGTTTCACCATGTTGGCCAGGATGGTCTCGATCTCTTGACCTCGTGATCCACCCGCCTCGGCCTCCCAAAGTGCTTGGATTACAGGTGTGAGCCACCGTGCGTGGCTGGTAATTTTTTTTTTAAGACAGTGATATTAGCAGTGGTCGATTCTAACAAAGAAACCGTAATGACTGCTTCTTTTTAAAATGCTGGCAAATTTATTTTTATTTTTAATTTTTTGAGACAGAGTTTCACTCTGTCACCCAGACTGGAGTGCAGTGGCATGATTTTAGCTCACTGCAACCTCTGCCTCTCGGGTTCAAGAGATTCTCATTCCTCAGCCTCCGGAGTAACTGGGATTACAGGGCATGTACCACCATGCCCAGTTAACTTTTTGTATTTTTAGTAGAGATGGGGGTTTTGCTATGTTGGCCAGGCTGGTCTCGAACTCCTGTCCTCAAGTGATCCACCTGTTCTTGGCCTCCCAAAGTGCTGGGATTACAAGCATGAGCCTCCACGCCTGGCCTAGATCATTCTTTTAACATTTTTCTTTTTGGAAGACAGGTTCTCACTCTATTGCCCAGGCTGGAGTGCGGTGGTGCAATCATGGCTCACTGCAGCCTTGACCTCCCAAGCTCAAGCAATCCTCCCACCTCAGCATCCCAAGTAGCTGAGACCACAGCATATGCCATCACACGCAGATAATTTTTTTGATTTTTAGTAGAGATGAGATCTCACTATGTTGCCTAGGCCATCTCAAACTCCTGGCCTCAAATGATCCTCCTGCCTTGACCTCCCAAAGTGCTGGGATTAGAGGCATGAGCCACTATGCCCAGCCCAATATTTTTCCTTTATCTTTTAAAAATGTATTTGATACAAAAATTAGCTAGGCGTGGTGGCGCCGGAGGTTGCAGTGAGCCAAGATCGTGGCACTGCACTCCAGCCTAGGCTACAGAGGGAGACTCTGTCTCCAAAAAAAAAAAAAACTCTAGTCCCTTTAGAATAAAATATTACAATAAAGTCTTTTCAACATTCATAAAGTTATTAAATAACTTTGAAGAACTAAATTAAGGAAATCAGCATTCCAATATTCTTGATATATTAGTCTTTAAGTCATCTTAACTATTTTGTCCTTAGATGCTCTCTCAAGATATGATTTTGTTTTATTTTAAGGTTAATACAAAGGCATAGAAGGCTCAGATATCTGAGCAGAGTGAGCAGCGATAGAAAAGCTGACTTCGCAGAAGAAAACAATCAGTTTTTTAACTCTGTAACTAAAATATAACCATTTCAAGGAGAGAAAAAGAGATGGTCATGTATGATGAATGAAAATCACTAACAGTAAAATACTAGCATTCCAAACCATTTCAAAAAAAGATAGTGTTGGGGTTGTTAGGCCAATGGCATAACATTCTAGTTAACCCTCATTCAGGGAATTTGTACTACTTACATTTTTCAGTTTACTGAGAGACAAGAAATATACTGGGGCTGGGCACAGTAGCTCACACTTACAATCCCAGTGTTCTGGTAGGCCAAGGCAGAAAAACTGCTTGAGGCCAGGAGTTTGAGACCAGCCTGGGCAACATAGCTAGACCCCAGCTCTTAAAAAAAATTAGCACATACCTGTAGTCCTATCTATGGGAGGCTGAGGCAGGAGGATTGTTTGAGCCCAAGAGATCAAGGCTGCCAGGAGCTATGATTGTGCCCTCCAGCCTGGGTGACAGAGCTTCTCAAAAAATATATATTAATATATTGAGTTAAATATTGGATCCATCTTATTCTTTATGAAGTATATTAATATATGGTTAATTATTTCAATAAAGTTATTAATTATTTATCCTCAAAAGGACTTCTTCAAGTAAAAAGCATCTGGATCTCTGTATTCCAACTACACGTTTGTACAGGTTCACAATCCCACAATTCTGAAATTCAAAATGCTCTGAAAAAGAATAAGTATTTTTTGGTAAGTTTGGAGCCAAAACTCACTTGAGCCAAAATGTGATTTGAACTAATAAGAGGTTATTTATAGTTTTTTCTTTCATATATACATATATGAATGAAAATATTCATATGTTTCACTGCAAAAATACTATGTTTGGTCACAGGTGCTTCCCCATACATTGCTCAGGGTTTTATGCAATGTATGGTATATGGGTCACTTTTCTAAAATCTGGAAAATTCTGAATTTTGACATGTATTTGGCCCAAGGCTTTTGGTAAGAGACTGTAGACTTTTAAGTCACATATTTCAAATATGCCACACACCTTGAAGAGGAGTGGAACAGTGCCTCTTAAGAGACATAATTTAACTTATTCTGACTATGCTAGGATAGCAGAACCTTCACTTGGAAAGAAGTGGGAACTCATCTAGATAATTGTTGAGTGTGCCTGGCCTCTCAGGAGAGCACACTGGAGAAGAACTGGTGTGGACTGAGCCTTGGGACAATTCTGGAAAACTCTGGACACCTGGGGAAAAGGAATATACCCATTAAGGCTGGGGTGAAGAAATGATGAGAACTCTGAAAGGAGCTATTCTTTTGTCTTGGATTAAGAGTACCAAAGGCAAACCTTAGCAAAAAATATGTCCCTGAGTAATGACATGAAAGTAAAACAAAAATGGCATAAAAACCTTGCGTCTAACACTTTTGAGAACATACCTAGAGGCATGGTTAGATGGAACAGCCTTATAAAGAGTATGCCTTTATTTTGGTAGCTCTCACAGAGATCTTGCTTTAAGAGCTATAATCACAAGCTAGATAGGGGAACTTTCAGGCTCCTATTGTCAGCACATAACTAATGCGTCTATGCAAAGATCTAGTTACTCTGGATGGTTAGACAAGGAACCAGATCAGGAGAAAGGTGACTAAACCAGTAGAGGGCCTATCACATAGATAGTGGACTTTTTACAAAAAGCCTTTTGTGAAACGCTGAAGAAATTAGGACAACCACTACGAACACTTAACTGTCAGTATTGCTAATTCTAAAACGCAACACTCATGTCTTTAGTCAAAGCCTCTCATTTTTGGATACTGTGCCAAGCATGTGTAAGAGGATGGTACCTATTTACTCAACAGGAGGACATCCCACAAATTCTATCACAGCCTTTTTCACATTTATGAGACAACGCTATATGCAATACAAAATTTCTACAAGCAGAAAGAGCCACCCATAACAAAGAGAATTTTCAGGTACATTTCCTGCACAGTATATTAACCCCATGTAGACTTTTATAGACAAGGGAAATTTTTGCCAAATATTTTTTTAATAGATGCATAAATCACTCCCCTTATGTAAAACTTTAATGTGTAAAAATCCTCAACTACAGCAAGTGGACATTTTACTTACTATAATTTTTAATCTATAGAAGGCAGAATTAAATATCAGAAATAGCATCTAGAATAACAGGGAAAGATCATACATCAGAAATTTAGTGTCAGCTTTTTGCTGTCATGATCTGTGAAGATCTTGTTATTTGCTGTTCAAAGAAGGTAAAGGGGAAAGTGTATTCTCATTCCGACTGGGAAACCTGAGGAAGTTTCCGTGTTTTTCCTGCCTGTATAGATCATACTTATCTAAGTTTTGTGGACATGCATGTTTCCCATATTATTTCCCATCCCAGCTTCGCTTTGTCCTTTTTCACAGGATGTGAGAAAATGCCCCTAATGGCACTCATCACTAGTTCTGGTAATGAAAGGATAGGTCACTGAGATGTACATAGGGCAGAGATGTTGAAAAGTACAAGTCATGTACTTAAAATTATTCCAAACAGATTGCCTTTCAGATGTACAAACTGCCAAGAAGGCCGTTGATGAGATCCTCTTTGTGGAATAAGTAGAACAAAAGTCCCAAGGGACTTTTAGTGATCAATCCAATAAGGGAGTTGAGAGCTAGGGATCATGACTGCAAAAGTATTGCAAGTATTTCAAGATTTGTAATGTCTTCTATATTTGATATTTGGTATTTCCTGTAGCAATTAGGGGGAAAATACTAAAAAAAAAAAAAAAAAAAAAAAAAAGAAAGAAATATGCTTGCCTTGTGGATTTTTGTTTTGTTTTGTTTTGTTTTGTTTGAGACAGAGTCTCACCCTGCCACCCAGGGTGGAGTGCAGTGGCGCGATCTCGGCTCACTGCAAGCCCCGCCTCCCAGGTTCACGCCATTCTCCTGCCTCAGCCTCCCGAGTAGCTGGGACTACAGGTGCCCGCCACCACGCCCGGCTAATTTTTTGTATTTTTAGTAGAGACAGGGTTTCACCATGTTAGCCAGGATGGTCTCAATCTCCTGACCTCATGATCCGCCCATCTCAGCTCTCAGCCTCCCAAAGTGCTGGGATTACAGGCGTGAGCCACCACGCCCGGCCGTCCTGTGGAAAGATTTTAAGAAGTCAGTTAACATCTATTCTGACTCAATGTGCCAGGCATTGAGTTAAATGCTTAGTATCCTATTTAATTTTCAAACAAATAAGGTATAGTTGTCCTTCCATATCTGTGGGTTCTGTATCTGTGGATTCAACCAACCGTGGATCAAAAATATTTTTTAAAAAGAGTAAAAAAAAAAAAAAAAAAGGATAGTTGTGTCTGTACTGAACATGTACAGACTTTTTTTCTTTGTCTTATTTCCTAAACAATGTAATAGGACCATTATTAGCATAGCATTTACATTGTATTAGGGATTATAATCTAGTGATGATTTACAATATATGAAGGATGTGCACAGGTTATATGCAAATATTACATCATTTTATATAGGGGACTTGAACATCTGTGAATTTTGGTACACAAAGAGGTTCCTAGAATCAATCCCCCATGGAAACCAAGGGACAACTGTTGTCATTTTACACATGAGGAAGCTGAATCACAAAAGTTAAATATATGTAAATAAACTGCTAGTTTAGACACCCAAACCCATGTTTTCTCCATTGTACACCACCTGTATGAATCACTAACCCCAGTGTGATCCATGTGTCAGCTGAATGACTCTAACATTGAGATCCTAATAAATGTGTTTGTCAGTTCTCTCTCACAGAATATTCTTATTATAGACAGGAAGATTTAAAGGCACATTCCATATCCTCCTCAGAAAAATTCTGCATTAAAAAGTCATTTCAGCAAAAAAGATGTATTTTACTTTTTCTAGAAAGAGCTCTGGCTTTCTGGTATCATCTGAGAAATGATAATTGAAGATATAAAGAAAGAACACTTTAGAAATCAGTAACTCTCTTATGGAAATATAGATAAGAAAATCCTTCAGTATTAACCATGAGACAGCTATTAAGTTACTACATAAGAACAAAGCTTGCCATTGGTCACTGTCACTTGTAGTCATCTTTTGGTTAATATTAAAATTCTACCCAAAAAAGCCCTAATTAAATTACTATAATAATACTGTGACTATACATATTCAATTGGGTGTCTTGGACTTTTGTAGGGAAAACAGTGTAGTTTGAAATGGGTTATATTAAAAAGTTAAAAAAATTTTAAGACAGTTTATGAAAATCATCAGAAGAGTTACATTTTATCACAGTGGTAACTTTAAAAGTCCTATAACTTTCCTAACTATATCTTACGTAAATTTAGATAAAATATTTGCTGAATTCTCTTGCCTGTAAGGCAAGGGCATATGCAAAGTATATGTAAGTGTCTGCTTAGTAAATGAAAAATAAATTTGTTAAACCCATAAGCAGTTCAAAATTCCTAATTCAAACTATAAAATTCAAAATAAAAGAACAATACTGTCCTGCCCCTGCAATGGATCTCATCCTATTACTATCTTACCTGAGTATATAGTTCTCCATTTACCATCATATATAAAACTCAAAAATAACACCTGGTTGCATCCCACTTTCATCATCAAGTCTACTTGCTATTTCAGGTATAGTCATGTACTTTCAAACTTTTCTGGCTCTAATGCTTATTAGCTGAGTGACCTTGAGCAAAGCAAATTGCTTTTCTTTCTATTTTTTTTTTTTTTTTTTAAAGACAGGGTCTTGCTCTGTCACCCAGGATGGAATGCAGTGGTGTGATCACGGCTCATTGCAACCTCCACCTCCCGGGCTCAAGTGATCCTCCCACTTCAGCTTCCTGAGTAGCAGGGACTACAGGTGTGTGCTACCATGCCCAGCTAGTTTTCTGTATTATTATTATTATTTTTTTTTTAGAGAAAGGGTTTCGCCGTGTTGCCCAGGCTGGTCTCGAACTCCTGGGCTCAAGCAATGCACCCACCTTGGCCTTCCAAAGTGTTGGGATTACAGGCGTAAGCCTCTGCACCCAGCCAGATTTCTTAACTTTAGTTTCCTCAACTGTAAAAGAAGGATTAAAAATAGCACCTACAATATAGGGTTGTTGTGAAGATAAAATAAATTAATATAGGTAATGCCATTAGAAAAATGTCTAGCACGAAATAAATGTTCAATGAATGTCACCTATTATTTTTATTCTTTTCAATTTTTGTTTTTGCTTCCTGGCATGTTGCTTCTCCCTCTTTGCAGAGTAAACTGCAACTCATCTTCAAGATCTAATTCATAACAAGTAGACACAATCCAATAAAAAAATAGAAACAAGGTTTGAATAGACATTTTACCAAAGAAGATATATGAGTGGCTAATACACTCATGAAGATACTCAACATCATTAGTCATTAGGGAAATGCAAACCAGAACCACGAGATACTATTTCATATCCACTAGGATGATTATAATCAGAGCCAGACAATAATACATGTCTGGCTGAGGCAGGAGGATCTTTTGAGCCCAGGAGTTCAAGGCCAGCCTAAGCAACATGGTGACATCCCCTCTCTACCAAAAATAAAAATAAAATAAAACAAAATAAAATAAAAATCAGCTGTAGTCCCAGTTACTCGGGAAGCTGAGGTGGAAGGACTGCTCGAGCCCAGGAGGTTGAGGCGCAGTGAGCCGTGATTATGCCATTGCACTTCAGTCTGGGTGACAGAGTAAGACCCTATCTTAAAAAAAAAAAAAAAAAAAAAAAGACTTTTTAAATGATTGAAGGTCTGGAATGATTTTTTAAAATCATAGGCATTTATCTTTTTCCATTATGAAAAAACTAATTGCTTCCCAAGTCCTGAACATTTCTTCTTAGAAGACAGAATAGCACAGCAGACATAACATTACTATTGCAATCACAACAGTAACATGTCATTAATTTACCGTATGACTCTGGACAAGTCTCCCTTACTAGGCTACAGTTTCCCCTTTAATAAAGACAAGATTAGCTCTAAGGTTCTCTCCAGCACACCTGTTGAAGAAGATTAAGGTGCTTCACACAAGATGAAAAATGAGTAGCTCAATTTCTTCACTATAAACAGGGAAGGAAATTCTTAATTTATAAGAGAAAACACAGCTGGTGCATCAGGGCCTCTTATACATGTATATACATAACTTTCATCCCAACACCAGGTCCCACCCTTCATTAACATGCAAACCCACACTTCCCATCCCTCCCGCCCTTGACCCACACCCCATATACCTCAGCTATGGTCATTCTCAGAGCACTGACAGGGGAGAGCTCAATATCCACCAGTTGGGCGGCTTTTAAACTCTGCCCAGTAAAGATTGCACAAGGACAAAAAACATAGCATAGAGTTAGAAATTTAAGGCAAACAAGGACACAACACCTAAGAACATTTAGCACAGTGTTTAGAAACAAAAGATTTAGGGCTGCAGTTGGGCTGGGAAAAAGTGAGATGAGAGTCACTGTTATTCTGATTTTTTCTGTGGAAAATAGCAATGATAAAATAACATCAAATTAGTCATAATTTTAAGACAAGCTTGACACACTTGTCTATACCCTGTATCTTCTAATGCTCTGCTTCATCCCTCCCAGGCTTCAAAGAAGTCAAATCACAGGAGAATGTGAATAAGTCATTGGCAAAAGCTGATTTGATTAAAAAAAAAAAGCACTACTATAAAGGGCAAAGGTTGTAATATAGAGGGAAATGCTGATTTCCTACATTTCTTTATATAGCTGCTAACAGAGCTACTTAAAGTATAAGAAAAGTAATGAAGATATCGCTGGCAAATGTGTTTCTATTAAACTGATACCATTAAACTCTGGAACTATATCATAAACTCCCTTGGTTCTGGTTCTAAATTTATCAAAATACTTTATGAATATAATTTGATTTTCCTTTTGGCTTGCCTACATTGACAGAATGTACTAATAATGCCAATGCGTGCCTTCTCATTTTGCAGAAGTTAAATTTCAATTTTTATGTTACCAAATTAGCATTTTTGTTCTTTTTTAAAAATTTAAATAATGGCAAACATTTCCCATAAACTCAAGGACGATTACTGTATGCTTTTAAACAATTGCCAATTGGGGCCGGACATCGTGGCTCACGTCCGTAATGCCAGCACTTTGGGAGACTAAAGTGGGTAGGTGGCTTGAACTCAGGAGTTCGAGACCAGCCTGGGCAACATGGTGAGACCCCCCCATCTCTATTGAAAATACAAAGAAAATAGCCAGGCACAGTGGTGCGTGCCTGTGGCCCCAGCTAATCGGGAGGCTGATGTGGGAGGATCACTTGAGCCCAGGAGAGGGGGGCTGTAGTGAGCTGAGATCACGCTACTGCCCTCCAGCCCCAGTGACAGAGTGAGACCCTGTCTCAAAAATAAAATAATAATAATAATAATAAATAAGTAAAAATAAAAACAAAAATTGCCAGTTGGAATCTACAGACAGAAAGTAGATTAATGATGTCAGGGGCTGAGGTGAGGAGTATAGGGAGAGTGACTGCTTAATGGGGTCAGGATTTCTTTTTAAAGTGATGAAATGTTGTGGAACTACCAAGTTATGACAGTGCACAGCACTGGAAATGTAGTAAGTGACAGTGAATCAATCTCACACTTTAACTATGGTTAAAAATGGTAATTTTTGTGTTATGTGTATTCTGCTACCATAAAAAAAATGGCAGAGGGGTAGAGGCATTAAAAAAATTGCTAATTTGAGGTTTATGTAAGTGCTTTAATATTCTAAGAAATCTGAAAGGAATTATAAAAGGCCTATAATCTTTTATAAGACCAACCAAAATATTTCATACACATGTTCATTATTCCATTTATTAATTCTATTCTGGTTTTTTTTTTGTTTGTTTGTTTGTTTTGAGACAGAATCTCACTCTGTCATCCAGGCTGGAGTGCAGTGGTGTGATCTCGGCTCACTGTAACCTCTGCCTCCCAGGTTCAAGTGATTCTCCTGCTTTAGCCTCCTGAGTAGCTGGGATTACAGGGGCCCACGACCAAGCCCAGCTAATTTTTGTATTTTTAGTAGAGACAGGGTTTTGTCATGTTGGCCAGGCTGGTCTTGAACTCCTGACCTCAGGTCATCCACCTGCCTCGGCCTCCCAAAGTGCTGAGATTACAAGCGTGAGCCACAGCGCACGGCCTACTCTGGTTAAAATTTAACCACTGATTTCTGTGGAGGGGTACAACATAAAAAATTTCAGGGAAAATATAATTTACATTTGAGTAAATGTATTGAATATTTTTCTTCTTCCCTCAGTTGTTTTCAGGTTTCAGTAACTTGTCTTATAACTTAACCTCATTTGGTAGAAGGTTGCTAGCATAAAGACACTGAGTTTCTTGGCCACAATTCAGAAAAAAAAAGTCATAATTATTCTGTGTCCTCACAGTTTTGTTATAAAATTGATGAGATATACTCAGCTTTTTCTGTCTGTCTATGCCAAGGGTAACTGTTACTTAAGCACAAACACAACTGAACAACACATGAAATGAAAATCTATAATTCCCTTACAGTATCACTGTCACAAGGCTGGAACTGGAAGGGCTGGGGTTTGTGAAATACAGCGTTTTCTTGCAAAAACAGCTGAAGATTGTAGTCCCGGACCACCTAAAGAGAAAATAAAATATCTTTAGGTCTTTAATGAGGTTAAAATGTCCAATTACATTATAAAGTTTAAGATTTATTCTGCTATTTTCTATACAAATGAGAAATCATCCAACACTGTGGTAAAAAAGAAATGGTGTTACGCATTTTATTTTTCATTTTAGACAATGGTTATTATTTATCTGTCCTATTTTCTCAAAAATAAATTTGGAAAGTGATAGTTTAGAAACTAGATCAGATTTGGGGACTGGACAATATATAATACCTTAAGAAAGCAAGAAGATAGTTTTTACACAAAAAGCTATTCTGTGTAACACAGAATAGTGTGCAGATAAGGAAACA
The DNA here is from genome assembly GCF_000001405.40 of Homo sapiens. NCBI lineage: Eukaryota > Metazoa > Chordata > Mammalia > Primates > Hominidae > Homo > Homo sapiens. The sequence continues at coordinate 72,902,978 of NC_000011.10, forward strand.
CATTGGTCTTTGCCATCTCTCCCAGCTCTAAAATTGTATGGGCCTCTTAAAGTCTGTTTCATGGCCATTGCCATCCACTAGGAAACTGCCAGATAATCCCATCCACAGCACCAAATAGTGTTTGTAGAGTATTTCTCAGCACCTTCTTGAGGAGGTTACACTCTAATTACCATCTTACAGCATACCAAGAAGACAGGCTAGAAAGGAATTTATTTATTTATTTATTTATATATTTATTTATTTATTTATTTATTTTTTGAGACGAGTCTCGCTCTGTCGCCTGGGCTGGAGTACAGTGGTGCAAGCTCGGCTCACTGCAAGCTCCGCCTCCCGGGTTCATGCCATTCTCCTGCCTCAGCTTCCCGAGTAGCTGGGACTACAGGCGCCCGCCACTGCGCCCAGCTAATTTTTTTGTATTTTTTTAGTAGAGATGGGGTTTCACCCTGTTAGCCAGGATGGTCTCGATCTCCTGACCTCGTGATCCACCGGCCTCGGCCTCCTAAAGTGCTGGGATTACAGGCGTGAGCTACCGCGCCCGGCCTGGAATTTCTATAAAAGGAGAATTCTGATAAGGCAGCATAACAAATAGCACAGAAAGGCAGCCATCTGAAAAGAATTCATTGCATTTACATACCTTGGGAAAGAGTGGAAATCGGCATCTGATGGGGCAAAAAACCCCACTTTCTATTTTGCTACCATATCGCTTACCCCTTACTTGTCTTTCATTTGCAGTATATTATAGCCCATTAGCACCTCTGCTAGAAGATGGGCAGAAGAAAAAAAAAGTTCAAAGTAACTCTGTACCTCTACTTTAGTAGTCCTGGGAAAAGGGATAATTGAGGAGACGCAAAAAGTAGTAGGTGTATATTGCATTTTGTTTACCAGTGCAATCCCATTTCTCTACTGCTTCCCTCCCCCTCACTCCACCAACCATTTATTGAGAGAGTTTACCAGGTCCAACATGAAACACAGGGATAAGGGGGATATATAGATGAATAAGACAAACAAACAAGGTTAGTATCTGCAAAGAATTTATAATCTGGGAACTGGGCGAACCAAACAGACTACATAATTAAAATACACCACGGAGTGTGTAAAGGGTACGAGAAGAGAACAAGGTGATATTTAATCCAGGCCGATGATGGGGTGAGATGAGGTGAGGAGTTGTCAGAATATGGTCTGGGAAGGCTGGCTGAATAAACATATTCTCAAAGAGAAATGTACTTTGTTCTCTTCTTGGATTCCAGTTTTAAGCTAGAATAGCTGTGAAAGCTCATTACACAGCCCTCAGAGCCTCTCTAATCACCATGCAGAAAAGCTAAGAGGATCACCTCTCTAGTTGCCAAACTTGTCCTCAAAACTATTAACCTTTTTGTTTTGTTCCTCTTGAGGAGGAGATTTCAACCTTTTAAAATTTTAAACTCTTTGTTATGGAAAATTTCAAATACATATGTAAAGACAACAATAGAATGTATCCTCATGTCTTCATCACCCAGTTTCCAAAACATCCCCTTATGGCCAATATTCTTTCATCTTTAAGCCCACCTACCTCTTCCACCCCTAATTATATTGAAACAAGTTCCAGACCTATCATTTAGTTTATAAATATTTCAGTATGACATCTAAAAGGACTCTTTTAAGAAAATATATCCATATTACAATTTACAGTAAGTACTTACAAAGCAACAAGTTCTCAAATTTCCCTGATTGTTTCTTTTTTTTACAAAAAAGTTTTTCAAATCAGGATACAAATACAGCCCCCACAGTGCAATTGCACGATGCTGTTTAGCTTTCTTTTCATATACTAGTTTCTTCATCTATCTCTCCTTTCCTCCCTCTTGCAATTTAATTGTTGAAGAAACTGGGTTTTTGTTCTGTAGAGTTTCCTGTAGTCTGGGAAGAAATGACAAACATGTAATTTTTATTACATCCTTGTAGTATTCTGTTTCCAGTATTTCCTATACATTGGAATGGGTGTTTTTTGTCTTGTTTATTTATTTATTTTCTTGGGAAGGTAACGTTTACTTCCATCAGGAAGCTTGCTTCTTTTTACAAACAGCTGTAGTGGGCTGAATGGTAGCCTCTCAAAAGATATGTTCATGTCCTAATTCCCAAAACCTGTGAATGTTACTTCATTTGGCAAAAGTGACTTTGTAGAAGTCCAAGATCGAGTGTTGACAGGTTTAATTTCTTCTGACGGTAATTATTGTCGGCTTGTAGTTGGCCACCTTCTTCTGGTATCTTCACGTGATCTTCTCCCTGTGCCTGTGTCCCGCTCTCCTTTTTTTCAAAAAGTTTTAACTTTTAATCTCTGTGGGTATATAGTAGGTATTTATATTTATGGGGTACATAAGATATTTTGATACAGGACTACAATGTGTAATAATCATATCAAGGTAAATGGGGTATCCACCACCTCAAGCATTTATCCTTACTTTGTATTACAAAAAATCCAATTATACTTTTTTATTTTTATTATACTTTCAGTTCTAGGGTACATAGGCACAACGTGCAGGTTTGTTACACAGGTATACATGTGCCATGCTGGTTTGCTGCACCCATCAACTCATCATTTACGTTAGGTATTTCTCCCAATGCTATCCTTCCCCTAGCCCCCCACCCCCCGACAGGTCCCAGTGCGTGATGTTCCCTACCCTGTGTCCATGTGTTCTCATTGTTCAACTCCCATCTATGAGTGAGAACATGCAGTGTTTGGTTTTCTGTCCTTGTGATAGTTTGCTTAGAATATTGGTTTCCAACTTCATCAATGTCCCTGCAAAGGACATGAACTCACCCCTTTTTATGGCTGCATAGTATTCCATGGTGTATATGTGCTATATTTTCTTAATCCAGTCTATCATTGATGGACATTTGGGTTGGCTCCAAGTCTTTGCTATTGTGAATAGTGCCGCAATAAACATATGTGTGCATGTGTCTTTATAGCAGAATGATTTATAATCCTTTGGGTATATACCCAGTAATGGGATTGCTGGGTCAAATGGTATTTCTAGTTCTAGATCCTTGAGGAGTTGCCACACTGCCTTCCACAATGGTTGAACTAATTTACACTCCCACCAACAGTGTAAAAGTGTTCCTATTTCTCCACATCCTCTCCAGCATCTGTTGTTTCCTTTTTAATGATCGCCATTCTGTTGTGACATAGTATCTCATTGTGGTTTTGATTTGCATTTCTCTGATGACCAGTGATGATGAGCATTTTTTCATGTCTGTTGGCTGCATAAATGTCTTCTTTTGAGAAGTGTCTGTTCATATCCTTTGCCCACTTTTTGATGGCGTTGTTTTTTTCTTGTAAATTTGTTTAAGTCCTTTGTAGATTCTGGATACTAGCCCTTTGTCAGATGGGTAGATTGCAAAGATTTTCTCCCATTCAGTAGGGTGCCTGTTCACTCTGATGATAGTTTCTTTTGCTGTGCAGAAGCTCTTTAGTTTAATTAGATACTATTTGTCTATTTTGGTTTTTGTTGCCATTGCTTTCGGTGTTTTAGTCATGAAGTCTTTGCCCATGCCTATGTCCTGAATGGTATTGCCTAGGTTTTCTTCTAGGGTTTTTATGGTGTTAGGACTTACATTTAAGTCTTTAATCCATCTTGAGTTAATTTTTGTATAAAGTGTAAGGAAGGGATCCAATTTAAGCTTTCTACATATAGCTAGCCAGTTTTCCCAGCACCATTTATTAAACTGAATCCTTTCCCCATTTCTTGTTTTTGTCAGGTTTATCAAAGATCAGATGGTTGTAGGTGTGTGGTGTTATTTCTGAGGCATTTGTTCTGTTCCACTGGTCTATGTATCTGTTTTGGTACCAGTGCCATGCTGTTTTGGTTACTGTAGCCTTGTAGTATAGTTTGAAGTCAGGTAGCACGATGTCTCCAGCTTTGTTCTTTTTGCTTAGGATTGTCTTGGCTATGCGGGCTCTTTTTCGGTTCCATATGAACTTTAAAGTAGTTTTTTCCAATTCTGTGAAAAACTCAGTGGTAGCTTGATGGGGACAGCATTGAATCCATAAATTACCTTGGGCAGTATGGCCATTTGTTTGCGTCCTCTTTTATTTCGTTGAGCCCTTCACATCCCTTGTAAGTTGGATTCCTAGGTATTTTATTCACTTTGTAGTAATTGTGAATGGGAGTTCACTCATTATTTGGCTCTCTATTACTGCTGGAATGCCTGTGATTTTTGCACATTAATTTTGTATCCTGAGACTTTGCTGAAGTTGCTTATCAGCTTAAGGAGATTTTGGGCTGAGACAATGGGGTTTTCTAAATATACAATCATGTCATCTGCAAAAAGACACAATTTGACTTACTCTTTTCCTAATTGAATACCCTTTATTTCTTTCTCTTGCCTGATTGCCTTAGCCAGAACTTCCAATACTATGTTGAATACAAATGGTGAGAGAGAGCATCCTTATCTTGTGCTGGTTTTCAAAGGGAATGCTTCCAGTTTTTGCCCATTCAGTATAATATTGGCTGTGAGTCTGTCATAAATAACTCTTATTATTTTGAGATATGTTCCAACAATACCTAGTTTATTGAGAGTTTTTAGCATGAAGGGCTGCTAAATTTTGTTGAAGGCCTTTTCTGCATCTATTGAGATAATCACGTGGGTTTTTTTTTTTTTTTTTTTTCTTGAGACGGAGTCTGGCTTTGTCTCCCAGGCACGATCTTGGCTCACTGCAACCTCCACCTCCCAGGTTCATGCCATACTCCTGCCTCAGCCTCTCGAGTAGCTGGGACTACAGGCACCCGCCACCACGCCTGGCTGCTAATTTTTTGTATTTTTAGTAGAGACAGGGTTTCACCATGTTAGCCAGGATGGTCTCGATCTCCTGACCTCGTCATCTGCCCACCTTGGCCTCCCAAAGTGCTGGGATTACAGGCGTGAGCCACCATGCCTGGCTGGTTTTGTTATTTTTAAATGTATAATAAACTATTGCTGACGTGGTCACCTTATTGTGTCATCGAATATAGATCTTATTCATTCTATCTAACTATATTTTTTATACCCATTAGCCATCCTGGCTCCCCCCACATCTGACTACCCTTCCCAGACTCTGGTAAACAACCTTCTACATTTTATCTCCATGAGTTCAATTTGTTTTAATTTTTTAACTCTCACAAATAAGTGAGAACATGTGAAATTTGTCTTTCTGTGCCTAGTTTATTTCACTTAACATAATGACCTCCAGTTTTATCTATGTTGTTGTAAATGACAGGATCTCATTCTTTTTCATGGCTGAATAATACTCCATTGTGTATATATACCACATTTTCTCTATCCGTTCATCTGTTGATGGACACTTAGGTTGCTTCTAAATCTTGGCTATTGTGAATAGTGCTGCAATCAACATGAGAGTGCAGATATCTCTTTGATATATTGATTTCCTTTCTTTTGGGTGTATACCTAGCAGTGAGATTGCTGAATCATAAGGCAGTTCTATTTTTAGTTTGTTGAGGAACTGCCAAACTGTTTTCCATAGCGGTTGTACTAATTTACATTCCCAGCAACAGTATACAAGGGCTCCCTTTTCTCCACATCCTCACCAGCATCTGTGTTACTGCCTATCTTTTGGATAAAAGCCACCTGAACTAGGATGATATAATATCTTACTGTAGTTTTGATTTGCATTTCTCTGATGATTAATGATGTTGAGTACCTTTCCATATGCCTGTCTGCCACTTATTTTTATCATTATTTTTTGAGACAGAGTCTCACCCAGGCTAGAGTGCAGTGGCACAATCTCAGCTCACTGCAGCCTCTGCCTCCCTGGCTCAAGAGATCCTCCCATCTCAGCCTCCTACAGACATATGCCACTATGCCCCGCTATAGTTTTGTACTTTTTGTAGAGATGGGGTTTCACCATGTTGCCCAGGCTGGTCTCTAACTCCTGGGCTCAAGCGATCTGCCCACCTTGGCCTCCTACAGTGCTGGGATTACAGGTGTGAGCCATTGCATGTTGCCCTGTCTGCTATTTATATGTCCTTTTTTGAGAAATGTCTATTCAGATCTTTTCCCCATTTTTAAATCGAATTATTAAATTTTTTCCACCTCTCCCTTCCCCTCCCCCCTCCATCTCTCCGGTCTCCCTCTGTTGCCGATACTGCCGTGATCTCAGCTCGCTGCAACCTCCCTGCCTTGGGCTCCCGTGATTCTCCTGCCTTGGCCTGCTGAGTGTCTGGGATTGCAGGCACACGCCGCCACGCCTGACTGGTTTTTGTATTTTTGGTGGAGACGGGGTTTCGCCCTGTTGACCGGGCTGGTCTCCAGCTCTTGACCTCGAGTGATCTGCCCGCCTCGGCCTCCTGAGGTGCTGGGATTGCAGATGGAGTCTCGCTCACTCAATGCTCAATGTTGCCCAGGCTGGAGTGCAGTGGCGTGATCTCGGCTCGCTACAACCTCCACCTCCCAGCTGCCTGCCTTGGCCTCCAAAAGTGCTAAGATTACAGCCTCTGCCCAGCCGCCACCCCATCTAGGAAGTGAGGAGCGTCTCTGCCTGGCCGCCCATCATCTGGGATGTGAGGAGCCCCTCTGCCCGGCCGCCCTGTCTGGGAAGTGAGGAGCGCCTCTGCCCAGCTGCCACCCCGTCTAGGAAGTGAGGAGCATCTCTGCCTGGCTGTCCATCATCTGGGATGTGAGGAGTGCCTCTGGCCGGCCGCCACCCTGTCTGGGAAGTGGGGAGCGCCTCTGCCTGGCCGCCCCGTCTGGGATGTGAGGAGCGCCTCTGCCTGGCCGCCACCCCGTCTGGTAGGTGAGGAGTGCCTCTGCCTGGCCGCCCCATCTGGGAACTGAGGAGCACCTCTGCCCGGCCGCCCCGTCTGAGAAGTGAGGAGCACCTCTGCCCGGCAGCCGCCCCATCTGGGAAGTGAGGAGTGCCTCTGCCCGGCAGCCGCCCCATCTGGGAAGTGAGGAGCACCTCTGCCCGGCTGCCCATCATCTGAGATGTGAGGAGTACCTCTGCCCAGCTGCCCATTGTCTGGGAGGTGAGGAGCACCTCTGCCCGGCCGCCCCATCTAGGAAGTGAGGAGCGCCTCTGCCCGGCCACCCCGTCTGGGAAGTGAGGAGCACCTCTGCCCGGCCGCCCCATCTGGGAGGTGAGGAGCCCCTCTGCCCGGCCACCCATCGTCTGGGAAGTGAGGAGCACCTCTGCCCGGCTGCCCCATCTGGGAAGTGAGGAGCACCTCTGCCTGGCCGCCCAGTCTGGGAGGTGAGGAGCGCCTCTGCCTGGCTGCCCATCATCTGGGATGTGAGGAGAGCCTCTGCCCGGCCACCCCATCTGGGAAGTGAGGAGCGCCTTTGTCCGGCCGCCCCGTCTGGGAGGTGTACCCAACAGCTCCGAAGAGACAGCGACCATCGAGAACGGGCCATGATGACGATGGCGGTTTTGTCGAAAAGAAAAGGGGGAAATGTGGGGAAAAGAGAGATCAGATTGTTACTGTGTCTGTGTAGAAAGAAGTAGACATAGGAGACTCCATTTTGTTCTGTAATAAGAAAAATTCTTCTGCCTTGGGATGCTGTTAATCTATAACCTTACCCCCAACCCCATGCTCTTTGAAACATGTGCTCTGTCAACTCAGGGTTAAATGGATTAAGGGTGGTGCAAGATGTGCTTTGTTAAACAGATGCCTGAAGGCAGCATGCTCGTTAAGAGTCATCACCACTCCCTAATCTCAAGTACCCAGGGATACAAACACTGCGGAAGGCTGCAGGGACCACTGCCTAGGAAAACCAGAGACCTTTGTTCACGTGTTTATCTGCTGACCTTCTCTCCACTATTATCCTATGACCCTGCCACATCCCCCTCTCCGAGAAACACCCAAGAATGATCAATAAATACTAAAAAAAAAAAAAAAAAAAAAATTTCCTATAGAGTTGTTTGAGCTCCTTATATATTCTCATTATTAATCCTCTGTCAGATGGATATTTTGCAAATATTGTCTCCCATTCTGTGGGTTGTTGCTTCACTTTGTTGATTATTTCCTTTGCTGTGCAGAAACTTTTTAACTTGATGTGATCCCACTTGTCCATTTTTGCTTTGGTTGCCTGTGCTTGCAGGGTATTACTCAATCTTTGCCTAGTCCTATGTCTTAGAGAGTTTCTCAGTGTTTTCTTTTAGTAGTTTCATAGTTTGAGGTCTTAGATTTAAGTCTTTAATCCATTTTGATTTGATTTTTGTATATGGCAAGAGATAGGGGTCTTAATTCTTCTGCATATGAATATATCCAGTTTCTCCAGCACCATTTATTGAAGAGATTGTCCTTTCTCCAATGTATGTTCTTGACAACTTTGTCAAAAATGAGTTCACTGCAGATAGGTAGATTTGATTCTGGGTTCTCTATTCTGTTCCACTGGTATTTGTTTTTATGCCAGTACCATGCTGTTTTGGTTACTATAGCTTTGTAGTATAATTAGAAGTCACACAATATGATTCCTTGAGTTCTTTTTGTTCAGGATAGCTGGATAGCTTTGGTTATTCTGGGTCTTTTGTGGTTCTGTCAAAATTTTAGGATTGCTTTTTCTATCTCTGTGAAGAATGGCACTGGTATTTTGAAAGAGACTGCATTGAATCTGTAGACTGCTTTGGGTAGTATTGACATTTTAAGAATATTTATTCTCCCAATCCATCAACATGGAATATCTTTCCATTTGTTTGTGTCCTCTTCAATTTATTCCTTCCTTCCTTTTTTATTTTTATTATTATTATACTTTAAGTTTTAGGGTACATGTGCACAATGTGCAGGTTAGTTACATATGTTCGCTTTTGTTGCCTAGGCTGGAGTGCACTGGCACAATCCTGGCTCACTGCAACCTCCATCTCTTGAATTCAAGCGATTCTCCTGTCTCAGCCTCCCAATTTCTTTCATTTTAAGAGACCTTTCACTTCTTTGGTTAATTCCTATGTATTTTAATGTATTTGTAGCTATTGTAAATGACATTACTTTCTTGATTTATTTTTCAGAATGCTTACTGTTCACATATAGAAATGCTACTTATTTTTGTATGTTGATTTTGTATCCTGCAACTTTACTAAAGGTGTTTATCAGTTTGAATATTTTGGTGGAGTCTTCAGGTTTTTCAAAATATAAGCCTACATCATCTGCAAAGAATAATAATTTGACTTCTTCCTTTCCACTTTGGATGCTCTTTCTTTCTTTTGTCTGACTGCTGTAGCTAGGACTTCCAGTACTATGTTGAACAACAGTGGTAAAAGTGGGCATCCTTGTCATGTTCCAAATCTTAGAGGAAACGCATTCAGTTTTTCTCCATTCAATATGATACTCATTGTGGGTCTGTTATACATGGCTTTTATTGTATTGAGATATGTTCCCTCTATACCCAGTTTATTGAGGGGTTTTATCATAAGGGGAGGTTAAATTTTATCAAATGCTTTTTCAGTATCAATTGAAATGATCATATAGTTTTTGCCCTTCACACAGAGTGATTTGTGTATGTTGAACCATCCCTGCATTCTTGGGATACATTCCACTTGGTCATGATGAATAATCTTTTTAATGCGTTGTTGAATTCAGTTTGCTAGTATTTTGTTGAGGATTTTTGCATTAATGTTCATCAGGGATACTGGCTTGTAGTTTTTATTTTTTGATGTGTCTTTGTCTGATTTTGGTATCAGGGTAATGCTGGCCTTAGAGAATGAGATGGGAAGTATTCCCCCCTCCTCTATTTTTTGGAATTGGTTGAGTAAAATTGGTATTAGTTATTCTTTAAATGTTTGATAAAATTCAGCAGCAAAGCCACCCAGTCCCAGGCTTTTCCTTGCTGAGAGACTTTCTATTACAGCTTTGATCTTGTTACTTGTTTTTTCATCTCTTCAGGTTTTGAATTTCTTCATGGCTCAATCTTGGTAGGTGTATTAGTCCATTCTCACATTGCTATAATGAACTACCTGAGACTGGGTAATTTATAAAGAAAAACAGTTTAATTGACCCATGGTTCTGCAGGCTGTACAGGAAGCATGGCTGGGGAGGCTTCCGGACACTTACAATCATGGCAGAAGGCAAAGGGGAAGCAGCTTTGTCTTACGTGGCAGGAGCAGGAGGAAAAGAGAGAAGGGGGAGGTGCTACACACTTTTAAACAACCAGATCTCATGAGGACTCACTCACTACCAAGAGAACAGCAAGGGGGAACTCCATCCCCGTGATTTAATTACCTCCCACTGGCCCCTCCTCCAACATTGGGGATTATTATAATTTGATGAGATTTGGGTGGGGACACAAATCCAAACCATATTGGTAGGTTGCATGCATCTAGGAATTTATCCATTTTTTTTCTTTTTTTGAGACAGAGTCTCAGTCTGTTGCCCAGGATGAAGTGCAGCAGTGCAATCCTGACTCACTGCAAACTCTGCCTCCCAGGTTCAAATGATTTTCACACCTCAGCCTCCCGAGCAGCTGGGATTTCAGGCATGTGCCACCACACTTGGATAATTTTTGTATTTTTAGTAGAGACAGGGTTTCGCCATGTTGGCCAGGCTGATCGCGAACTCCTGGCCTCAAGTGATCCACCCACCTTGGCCTCCCAAAGTGCTGTGATTACATGTGTGAGCCATCACACCCAGCCCTATTTATCCATTTCTTCTGGGTTTTCCAATTTATTGGCATATATTGTTCACAGTAGCCTCTAATGGTCCTTTGAATTTCTGTGGTATTGGTTGTAATGTCTCCTTTTTCACTTCTGATTTTATTTATTTGGTTATTCTCTTTTTTTCCTCACTAGTCTGGCTAAAGGTTTGCTGATTTTCAACAGTCAAGCCGAGAGCCAAATTACTAATGGACTCCCTTTCACAACTGATATACAAAAAAACCAAAAAAAACCCAAAAAAAAAACAAAAAAAAAAACCCTAGAAATACAGCTAACAAGGGAATTGAAGGACCTCTAAAAGGAGAACTACAAATCACTGCTGCTCAAATAAATTAGAGATGATACAAACAAATGAAAAAACATACTATGCTCATGGACAGGAAAAATCAATATCATAAAAATGGCCATACTGCCTTAAGCTATTTATTTATTTATTTATTTATTTCAGAAGGAGTCTCACTGTCGCCCAGGCTAGAGTGCAGTGGCATAATCTCAGCTCGCTGCAAACTGCGCTTCCTGGGTTCAAGTGATTCTCCTGCCTCAGCCTCCCGAGCAGCTGGGACTACAGACATGTGCCACCACTCCTGGCTAATTTTTGTATTTTTAGTGGAGATGGGGTTTCACCATGTTGGCCAGACTGATCTTGAACTCCTGACCTAAAGTGATCTGCCCACCGTGGCCTCCCAAAGTGCTGGGATTACAGGTGTGAGTCAGGTGCCCAGCCTGCCCTAAGCAATTTATAGATTCAATGCTATTCCCATTGAACTACCATTGACATTCTTTGCAGAACTAGAAAAAACTATTTTAAAATTCATATGAAACCAAAAGATTCTGAATAGCCAAGGCAATCCTAAGCAAAAAGAACAAAGCTAGAGGCATCACGCTACCCAACTTCAAACTATACCACAGGGCCACAGCAACCAAACAGCATGGTACTAGTACAACAGACACATAGACCAATGAAACAGAATAGAGAACCCAGAAATAAGACCGCACACCTAAAACCACCTGATCTTCAACAAACCTGACAAAAAGCAATGGGGAAAGGATTCCCTATTTAATAAATGGTGCTGGGATAACTGGCTAGCCATATGCAGAAAATTGAAACTGGACCCCTTCCTTACACCATATACAAAAGTCAACTCAAGATGGACTAAAGACTTAAATGTAAAACCCGAAACTATAAAAACCCTAGAGGAAAACCTAGGCAATACCATTCAGGACATAGGCATGGGCAAAGATTTCATGATGAAGATGCCAAAAGCAATTGCAACAAAAGCAAAAATTGACAAATGGGATCTAATAAAACTTAAGAGCTTCTGCACAGCAAAATAAACTATCAACGGAATAAAAAGGCATCCTACAGAATGGGAATTTTTTTTTTTTTTTTTTTTGCAAACTAAGCATCTGACAAAGGTCTAATACCCAGCATCTATAAGGAACTTAAACAAGTTTACAAGAAAGAAACAAACAACTTCATTCAAAAGTGGGCAAACGACATGAACAGACACTTCTGAAAATAAGACATACATGTGGCCAGCAATCATATGAAAAAAACTCAACATCACTGATCATTACAGAAATGCAAATCAAAACCACCATGAGATACCATCTCACACCAATAAGAATGGTTATCAATAAAAAATTAAAAAAACAACGGATGCTGGCAAGGTTGTGGAGAAAAAGGAACACTTTTACACTGTTGGTAGGAGTGTAAATTAGTTCAACCATCGTGGAAGACAGGGTGGCAATTCCTCAAAGACCTAGAGACAGAAAAACCATTTGACCCAGCAATCCCGTTACTGAGTATAACCCCAAAGGAATATACATTGTTCTATTATAAAGACATATGCCTGCTTATGTTCATTGCAGCACCATTCACAATAGCAGAGACATGGAACAAACCTAAATGCCCACCAATGATAGACTGGATATAGAAAATGTGGTACATGGTCGGGCGTGGTGGCTCATGCCTGTAACCCCAGCACTTTGGCCAAGGTGGGTGGATCACCTGAGGTCAGGAGTTCAAAACCAGCCTGGCCAACAAGGCAAAACCCCAGCTCTACAAAAATACAAAAATTAGCCGGGCGCGGTGGTGGGCGCCTATAATCCCAGCTACTCGGGAGGCTGAGGCAGGAGAATCGCTTGAACCTGGGAGGCAGAGGTTGCAGTGAGCCGAGATCACGCCATTGCTCTCCAGCCTGGGTGACAGAGCAAGACTCTGCCTCAAAAACAAAAAACAAAAAGAAAAGAAAAGAAAATGTGGTACATATACACCACAGAACACTATGCAGCCATAAAAAAGAATGAGATCGTGTCCTTTGCAGGAACATGAATGGAGCTGGAGGCCACTATCCTTAGCAAACTAATGTAGGAACAGAAAAGCAAATACCACATGTTCTCATTTGTAAGTGGGAGCTAAATTATGAGAACACATGGGAACAACGCACACTAGGGCCTACCAGAGGGTAGAGGGTGGAGGGTGGGAGGAGGGAGAGAATCAGGAAAAATAACTAATGGGTACTAGGCTTAATACGTGGGTGATAAAATAATGTGTACCAAACCCTCCATGACACAAGTTTACCTACATAATCTGCACATCCTGCACATGTACCCCTGAAATTAAAATTAAAGGGAAAAAAAGGTTTATCAATTTTGTTAATCTTTTCAAAAAACTAGCTTTTAATTTCATTGACCTTTTGGTACACAACTTTTTTTTTTTTTTTTTTTTTTTTAAAGAGACAGGGTCTTGCTCTGTCACCCAGGCTACAGTACAGTAGTAGCATGATCATAGCCTGCTGCAGCTTCCAATTCCTGGGCTCAAGTAATCCTCCCACTTGGGCCTCCCGAGTAGTTGGGACAACAGGTATGCAGCACCATGTCTGGCTAATTTAAAAAATTTTTTTGTAGAGATAGGGTCTTGCTATGTTGCCTAGGCTGCTCTTGAACTCCTCAGCTCAAGCAATTCCCCCACCTTGGCCTTCCAAAGTATTGGGATTACAAGCGTGAGCCACTGTGCCCAGCCTCCTTTGTTCACTTTTATATTGGGTTGTCTCTGATGTTGAGTTGTAAGAGTTCTTTGTATATTCTGAATATGAAACTTTTATCAGATATGTGATGTGCAAATATTTTCTCTCATCATTTGGGTTGATTTCACATTCTTAATAATGTCCTTTGATGCACAAAAGCTTTTAATTTGATACAGTCTAATTATCTATGTTTTCTTTCGTTACTTGTGCTTTCAACGTCAAATCTGAGAATGCACTGCCAAATCAAGGTCATAAAGATCTATCTCTGTTTTCTCTTATAAGTTAGGTCATTGATCAATTTTGAGTTAATTTTGTGAGGTAAGGGTTCACAACTTCATTGAACTTCATTCTTTTTTTTTTTTTTTTTTTTTTTTTTTTTTTTTTGAAGCAGAGTGTTGCTCTGTCGCCCAGGCTGGAGTGCAGTGGTACGATCTCAGCTCACTGCAACCTCCACCTTTCGGGTTCAAGCGATTCTCCTGCCTCAGCCTCCCAAGCAGCTGGGACTACAGGCACCCACCACCACGCCCAGCCAATTTTTGTATTTTTAGTAGAGATGAGGTTTCACCATATTGGCCAGGCTGGTCTTGAACTCCTGATCTCATGATCCACCCATCTCGGCCTCTCAAAGTGTTGGGATTACAGGCGTGAGCCATCACACCTGGCTTGAACTTCATTCTTTTGCATGTGGCTATCCAGCTGTCCCAAAACCTTTTTCTGAAGAGAATATTCTTTCTCTATTGAATAGTCATGGCACCTTTGTTGCAAATCAATTGACCATAGATGTTCAGGTTTATTTCTGAACTCTCAATTCTGTTTCATTGGTCTATATGTCTATACTTATGTCCATACCACGCTATCTTTACTACTGTAACTTTATAGTAAGTTATGAAATTGGGAAGTGTGAGTCCTCCAACTTTATTTTTCCTTTTCAATATTGTTTAAACTATTCATGGTCCCTTGTAGTTCCATATTAATTCGAAGACTGGGCCGAGTGCAGTGGCTGACGCCTGTAATCCCAGCACTTTGGGAGGCCAAGGCAGGCGGATCACTTGACGTCAGGAGTTCAAGACTAGCCTGGCTAACATGACGAAACCCCGTCTTGACTAAAAATACAAACAAATTAGCCAGGCGTGGTGGCATATGCCTGTAATTCTAGCTACTTGGGATGCTGAGGCAGGAGAATCGCTTGAACCTGGGAGGTGGAGGTTGCAGTGAGCTGAGCTCATGCCATTGCACTCTAGCCTGGGTGACAGAGTGAGACCTTGTCTCAAATTAAAAAAAAAAAAAAATTGAGGACCGGCTTTTCCATTTCTGCAAAAAAGGCCATTGGAATTTTGATAGGGACTACATTGAATCTGTAGATCACTTTGGGGAATATTACAATATTAGCAACATGAAATCTCCCAATCCATGAACATTTATTATATGCATTTATTTATATCTTTTATTTCTTTCAGCAATGTTTTATAGTTTTCAGTGTACAGGCCTTTAACTCCTTTGGTTAAGTTTATTCCTAGATAGTTTATTCTCTGAGTATTATTGTAGTTGGAATTATTTTCTTAACCTTCTTTTTGGATCATTCATTGATGGAATATAGAGATGCAACTGATTTTTGTGTTTTTATCTTATATGTTGCTAAATTTATTAGCTCTATTAGTTTTTTTAATGGGCTCTCTGAGAGTTTATAAATATAATCATGTCATCTGCAAAGAGAGGTAATTTTAATTCTTCTTTTTCAATTTGGCTGCCTTTTATTTCTTTTTCTTACCGAATTGCCCTGTCTAGGACTTCCAGTACAATGGTTAATAGCGGTGGTGAAAATGGGTATCCTTGTTTTGTTCCTGATGTTAGCAGAGGAAGATTTCAGTCTTTCATTATTGAATATGACATTGGTTGATGCTATCATGTTATGTAAGTTCCCTTCTATTCTAGTTTGCTGAGTGTTTATCACAAAAAAGTACTGAATTTTGTCAAATCTTTTTCTGTGTCTATTGAAATGATCATGAAGTTTTTTCCTTCCTTTTATCTACTTTTTTTGGTTAGACTTCGAAGTATTAAGAACAGTAACACTAGACAAATTAATTTTCAAATAAATGTAGAATAACATTGTTATTTTCTGAATTCTTTTTTTAAATTTATTTTTCTGAATTCTTAAATGAACTTTGTTATTAATTGGAAGGCATTTCCTTATGGAGACAAAAAGCAAGCACACACAAACAAATTATAAAGGCCAGTAGAGCTACCTTCAGAGTTACTATCCTAGAGAAAATACCTATGACAACATCTGCTTCAGTTACATATACAAAGCATTTCATAAAATATTAAGAAGAAAAGCAAGCTTCATAAATAATTAAAGTTTAACAAAAGCTCCTAGGGCCATCTGTTTCCATTTAGGGGATGAATGATATAGGAAGCACTTTAACATTTACAGTATGTTGGATGAATTACCACCAAAATATCTTTGGGGATATGTCACATTTTGAACATGGTAATAATAATATAAAATAAAAAAAATCTAAAAAGTGTCAAACTTCCCTTTAGGTTGCTTTCAGCAGCATAGCAAGAGCAGCATAACAAGCTCTTCATAACAGAAAAACACATGGCATAAAACTTGTAGGCCTCTTCTGGTACTTGGAACAAAAGGGCACTACATTATTCTTATTAAATTTTTATTCCTACCACTTTCAATTTAAATGTAAGAGCATCTCATTTATTCCTCATTTCTGGGGAGTGAGATACTCATATGAGTGAATGCAGAAAATGAAAGCTTATCTCTTTATGTGTCCAAACTAGTTCATAAATTCTTAATTCATTTTCTATTAAAATAATACAAGCTAAAGAGAATATAGTAGAAGATCATGGAAAGCACTATGTGTGAGTGTGTAACCTCAGGCCAAGCCACATAAACTTCTGAGTCCAATTTCCTCCATATAAAATGAACATGGTAATGGCGACCTCATGGGATTCAAGATATATCCCATGCTAAAAGTCTTAAGAAATTGTTAAGTGTGTGTAAAATATTAGCTATCTGTTACGACTATAATGTTTCCTGTTTTATAAACTAAGGGTAGTGTCTCCAGTCCAACTTATTCTTGGAAAAAAACATTTCAAAGAATTTTGCTAGAAGATAACCTCTCTGATAAAATTAGAATAAATGTCGTTGGATTAAAAATACAATTTATAATAAAATTAGAATAAATGTCGTTGGATTAAAAATACAATTTATAATAAAATTAGAAATAAAAATGTCACCCTACCACATATTCCAACTGAATGGAAACTGAAAAACTCATTTCTAAATAATCATGGGTTAATAAGGAGAAAAAAATAGATATAAAACAAAAGCCCTACATATCACAGAATGCAGTTCAAGCAGAAAGACACTTTTTTAAAAGCTTTAAACAAATTTACTTAAAAACAAGAAAGACTGAAAATATAGGATCTAAATAGAAAAAGAAGCTTGAGAAAGAACAATAACATAAACTGTAAGACAGTAGAAATAATGAATATAAAGGCAAAAATTAAGGAAATAGACACAACACTGAGAAGCAGAATAAAGGTCATTTTATCTGGTTCTTGGCAAAGATTAATAAAATAGACTGGCAAGTCTGGTCAAAATAAGACAGAGGGCACACACAATATTAAAAACAAAAACAGAGACAATTCTAGAAGCAAACAAGTTTATGACATCAAATCTGATAAATGAAATGGACAACTGCCTAGGAAAATTGGACATTTTAATGAAATGGACAATTGTCCAGGAAAATGTAAGTTACCCAAATATACTGAAAAAGAGACAGAAAATCTAAATGGACAAATAAACATAAAAAATTTGATCACGGCTGGGCATGGTGGCTCATGCCTGTAATCCCAGCACTTTGAGAGGCAAGGCGGGTGGACCACTTGAGGCCAGGACTTCAAGACCAGCCTGATCAACATGTTGAAACCTTGTCTCTACTAAAAATAACAACAACAACAACAAAATTGTTCACTCAAAAATCAACCACTTCATAGAAGGAACAAAGATAAGATTTTTTCATAGACTTTTCCCCCAACATTCTTTTCTGAAAAATTCAAATATATATACATTAAAATCAAACAAATTATACAGTAAATACTTATATACATACTACATAGATTCCTCAATTAATGTTTTACTACATTTTCCTTTTCTCTTAGATTTTGGGGGATGACAATATAGGAAAACAGATACATGACAGGACTTCAAAGCACCAGGCTAGTGATTTTTGTATTTCCGTATCAACCTAGCATTTTTAACACTTTTATAAACACAGAATTGAGAGCTCTGGTACAGTGAAAACAAGAATATATATACAAGAGGCATTCAGGATGAAGAGTCTGTGCTTTTCTTTCCTGTCTTTGGACACTGTCATGTGAAAATGGATATCCTGATCCCTCTCCTAAAAGTATTAGCCAGTTCTCACTCTCCCTGACAAAAAAAAAAAATTGAACTGGATCTTTTAAAGTAGCAGTTATGAAATGCGTATTTTTAAAAAATGCATTCCTTTAGTCAGGAAACATTTATTGTGAATTTAATTTATCAGATAAAAAACATTTGCCAACCACAGGAACAATTTATCTTCCAAAGGATAGTTTCACGACTGCAAAACATTTTAATCTATCAAATCTTGAAGAAAAGTCATTGCATTTATTTTCTCTGCATACAATGTGACATGTCAGCAAACCTGATGGATCTCAACACTTTTAAATGAAACGACTGCTGTCAAAGAATGACAGCATATAGATAGTAGGGCTTAATTTGAAAAAAACCCAAGACACTGTTGTTTTTATATCAATTACAAAACGCTCCTTTTCCCTTCGTGCTCTTTTAGTACTCTTTGTACTGACACATGACCTGTTGTTTCCCCCATGTGAGCAGAGTGCATTTAAACTCTGAGTAGAATACAAAACTGTTTAAACCCTTCTCAAAGGCAATGCACATGGCAATGGGCCAATGTTCTAAGCTACCTTGTATCAGCACCTCTCTTTTTGCCCTTGGTGCCATCTTCAACTCATCAACAAGGAGAACAGAATCTCCTCCAACTTTGTTAGAAGGAATGCTGTTACCAGGAAATTTGTTCGTTAATGCATTCTTCTAATATCACTAGTACCTTCATTTTCTTTGTATGCAGAAATACTTTAGCTTCTAAGTTGGATAACACTACACGTTGCACTAAAGGTAACTTACCTTGCTGGAGTTTTCTAATAAAAACTGGAATGTGTTCTGCACAGCTTGGCATGTTTCTAGCTCAGTCCGGCTGAAGGCTATTAAATAATCCTTGAGATGATCATACACATTTCCATCAAGAGCCTGTAATAGAGGAGTAAATAAAAGAAAAAAAATTACAGTAAAGCCTTGACATATGATATCTTCTGCCTATGAGAAAAGTAGGTATGTTCAGTTTAAAATTTATTATTAATAATAAATGGACAAAAGATACAGATTGTAAGTAAATATGAACAGTTAACAATCACTTGAGAAAATGTTGAATCTCTCTAATAAACAGGAACTAAAAGAGGTAAGATCCAATATTGGTAAAGCTGTGGGAAAACAGGACACAACTTAGAGACAAAATGCGTGGGTTCTGATCTTTGCTCATCTGCTTAGGTGTAGGAGTTAAGTGAAATAATAAACGTGAAAGGATGCAGGTGCAGTGCCTGGAAAAGAGTAGACACTCTACAATAATCTCCGTTTTCCCCCAATCCATTATTGGTAGGATTATACATTGGTATATGTATATTTACTGAACAGCAGTGACAGAAAAAACACAATAGAAATATTAAAAAAAGAAAAGTGACTCAGAGATACTGCTTTGGGGAAGAAAACCCAGTGTAATATCTATGAAGGGTTGGAAACATTCTTATTTCCTTAAACATTTTGTAACAGGGATCTTTGAAATAAAAAAAAAGGAGAGAAAATCACTGAACATTTGAGGAATGATTAAGCTATGATGTGTACTGTCACCAAAATAAAAACCGTGGAAACTGTATAGATGACAAGTATGTATCAAATAATTTTAGGTTAAAAAAACAGAATATACATATGACATATACACTAGCAATAACTATGGAAAAATATAATAATAATAATTAATAATAATCAAGGTTCTGAAGTCTTGCCAATCAGTAGAGGTAAAAATTGAGGTAAAATTCACCCAATATAAGTCACCATTTTAATAATTTTAAAGTGTACAACTCAGTGGCTTTTAGTACACTGACAAAGTTGTTTAACAATTTCCATTATCTAATTCCAGAACATTTCCACCACTTCTCCAAAAACACTGTACCTGTTAAGTGGTCATTCTCCATCCCTTCCTTCCCCCAGCCCCTGGCAACCACTAGTCTGCTTTCTACCTCTATGGATTTGCCTACTCTGGATATTTCATATAAATCAAATCATATAATATATGACTTTTGGTGCCTGGCTTCTGTTGCCCAGCATAATATTTTCAAGGCTCATTGATTTATCAGTACTTCATTCCTTTTTACAGCTTAATAATATTCAGTTGTACCACATTTTGTTTATTAATCAGGTGATATAAATTTGCCTTTTCCCCATTTTTTGACTATTATAAATAATGCTGCAAAGTTAAAAAATAAATAAATAATGCTGCTATGAACATTTGTGTACAAGGTTTTGTTTGAGCACCTGTTTCCATTTCTCTTGGGAATATACCCAGGAATGGAATTGCTCGGTCATATGATAACTCTATGTTTAATTTTGAGGAACTGTCAAACTGTTTTCCAGTGACTGCAACATTTTACCTTTCTACTAGCAATGTATGAGGGTTCAAATTCTCCACACCCTTGCCAACACTTATTCTTTTGTATTTTGGTATTTTTTTTTTAAATTATGAAAGCCATATTAGTGATTAGGAACGGTATATCTTTGTAGTTTTGATTTGCATTTCTCTAATGACTATGTTGAGCAACTTTTCATGTGCTTATTTGGCCATTTGTATATCTTCTTTGGTGAAAAGCCTACTCAAGTCCTTAACTCATTTTTAAATTAGGTTGTCAGGTTGGGTGTGGTGGGTCACGCCTGTAATCCCAGCACTTTGAGAGGCTGAGGTGGGCGGATCAAGAGATCAGGAGTTCGAGACCAGCCTGGCCAAAATGGTGAAACCCCGTCTCTACTAAAAATACAAAAATTAGCTGATGTAGTGGCGTCTGCCTGTAATCCCAGCTACTTGGCAGGCTGAGGCAGGAGAACTGCTTGTACCCAGGAGGTGGAGGTTGCAGTAAGCCGAGTTTGTGCTATTGAAATACAGCTCTGCGTGACAGAGCAAGACTCAGTCTCAGAAAATAAATAAATAAATAAAGTTGTCTTTTTGTTGTTGGGTTGTAAGAATCCTTTATATATTCTGGATACTAGATTCTTACAATATGTATGATTTGCAAATATTTTCTCCCATTTTGTGGGCTGTCTTTTCACTTTCTTGAAAGTTTCTTTTGATGTACAAAAGTTTTACTTTTTTAAAAAAAGTGATAAGGTCTTGTCATGTTTCCCAGGCTGGACTCAAACTTCTGGGTTCCAGTAATCCGCCTGTCTCAGCCTCCTAAATAGCTGGGACCACAGGCACTCACCACTGCATCTGGCTTACAAGTTTTAAATTTTGATGCAGTCTAATTTAGCTATTTTTCTTTCTTTTTTTTGAGACAGAGTCTTGCTCTATTGCCCAGGCTGGAGTGCAGTGGCATGATCTCGGCTCACTGCAAGCTCTGCCTCCTGGGTTCATGCCATTCTCCTGCCGCAGCCTCCCGAGTAGCTGGGACTACAGGTGCCCGCCACCACACCCGGCTTTTTTTTTTTTTTGTATTTTCAGTAGAGACGGGGTTTCACCGTGTTAGCCAGGATGGTCTCGATCTCCTGATCTCGTGATCCGCCCACCTTGGCCTCCCAAAGTGCTGGGATTACAGACATGAGCCACCACGCCCCACCCAGCTATTTTTCTTTTGTTGCTTCTGTGTTGGTACTATATCTAAGAATCCTCAATGGAAGTCTTCCATTGTATCTTATGTTTGGCTGTTCCATTAAACTTTTTTTTTTTTTTTTTAAATACACAAATTCTGTCCCAAAAGCACTGAGTAATAAAGCTGCACCTTCTATAGTGCTTACACCACTAGATGACACCATTGAGCACTTCAAATTTAGGCACTGCAAATATTATTACTATGATTTCCATGTAATTATGTAACATAACCAGAGACACTGCTGGTGTTAAGTCTGAATAAATTTCCTGTATCAGGACATACTTTTCCTGAACTTGTTTAGAAAAAGAAACATATAACATCTTCTGATGTAAGGTTTCTACCTTAGAAATGGTCTTGGTGGACAATCATAACATGATTACATTTTGGCAGGAAACCATTGGAGTATTTTGAGTTCAGCAAATGGTAATACAGGCATCATGAGCTCAAAAAAAAATAAGGCATGGATTTTAAGGTGAACCATATACCCACACAGTTTCTATTATCTCAGTACAATATAAACAGTACCCACTGTGCCTAGGCTCTGTGCTAGCTGTATGGGTGCAAGTGAGAGGGAGGAGAAAAGTTGAAGAAAAGAAAATCAAAGTTCTGCTGGTACTTCTGTTTTTGACCTTACCATAATCAGGATCATTTCTGATTATAGATATTTCTTACTAAAGGCATTGTACTTTTAATTTTGATAGAAGTATATTACAAATCAGGAATTATACATTCACTCAGCTTCTTAAATCCTACTTTAAAAATTCCAGCTGGGTACAGTGACTTGTGCCTATGATCTCAGCTACTTGGGAGGCTGAGGCAGGAAGACTGTTTGAGCCCAGGAGTTTGAATCTGCAGTGATCTATGATCGTGCCACTGCACCCCAGCCTGGGCAACAGAGCGAGACCCTATCTTTAAAACAAACAAACAAACAAATAAATTTCTAAACACTTCATAAAGACATTCAAGAAGGAATTTGTTGCCACGGTGTATTTCACTTCAGCAATAAAACATATATTATCTCATCATGAGATAATAACTGACGCACGTATCCCAGGGTCCACCAGTAGACACGATTATCGAAATGGCTGCCAAAGCCTTACCAAAGTGATGGCAGTGGCTGCTGCCATCATGCCGGCTAGAGCAGGGAAGCATTGCTGGGGTTGCACACTCCATGGAGCCAGTGGCTACAGAGCCCTGCCCCTTCTGAGTTGGGACGGGAGCTGCCCAGGTACCACTGCAGTCGCTCAAACTGCACCTACAGACCCTGGCCTCCTGGTCTACGGAGCAGGCAGGAGCCCCACCCTCCTGGGACTGGCTACAGCTGACCAATCTGCAGCTGTGGATCCAAGCCTCCCTGTGCTCCTGGGGGAGGGCCGGGAAGGGCCCCCTGCCCCTGTCCCTGCTGGCTTGGGGATATCTGTTCCCGCTGCTTGGCCTCTCTCTTCTCCTGGAGCCCACTCAGATTAGTGGGGTTGGGGCTGAGCCCCAGGGCCCTGAATAGCAATGGGAGGCAGAGTCCTGGGCAGAAGAGGGTGGGTTCCCAGTAAGGCCCCACCTTCAGGCCAGGGAGGGCCTGAAGACTGGGGGCTGGACTGCCAGTCCAGCAGACTAGAGTGGGGACTGGTGGTGCCTCTTCTGGGCCTTCCCATGGCTGCCCATAGACCAATCCACACACACTTCCTCCATTCTGAGGTCCATAAAAGCCCTGGGCTCAGACAGAGCAGAGCAGAGGATGGCCAGAGGAGGAATAGGGTAGAGAGAGGATGGCATGACCAGTTGCAGAGAGGAGTATTCTCTCTGCTAATAGCTGGAGACGATGGGATGGCCAGCTGCAGAGAGGAGTACTCTCTCCATTGAGAGCTGCAGAGACAACTTGCCAGCAGAGAGGGGAGCTTCAGAGACCTGCAGAGACATCCCAATGACTTGCCTGTGGACAAAAGCCACCCTCTCCAGGGCCTCCTCTCTGCTGAGAGCTGAACACTCCAAGGGACGATATGCCTACAGAGAGGAGCTACTCACTCCTCTGAGCTGTTTTAACAGTAAATAAAATTCTTCTTTACCCTTCACTTGTCTGCCTACCGCATACTTCCAGGACACAGGACAAGAACTTGGGCAAAGGCACCATGGCCACAGAGGTTTCTAGCCAGAAAAACTGGCACCCCAGAGATCCCGTAACAAAAGGAGCTTGATTAGAAATACTGAACTTTTGTTGATAGTTTTGAATTTAGATGTAGAAGCATCTTTCTTCACTTAAGTTGGAAGAATGTCAGCCAGAATTATACAGATGTGCATTATTTAACATAAAAGAGTGAAAAAAATGGCGACTTGGTGCACTAGTAGTACCTAACTACTTATATGAAAAGGATTTACTTCCAACAGGGATTTGAACCACTCTTTTTAAAAAGGCAAATCCCTACTTAATAGTAATAAATCCTAGTTTTTACTATCTTAACAATTCACAAGCACAAAACAAATGTATTTCAGTCTTGCCCTCTCTTCTTTTCCGGGTAGGCAAAAAACCCTGTAAGCCTTTAAGGGTAAGGAAGATCCTTCAGATACGAGCTGCCTTCCATTTTCTAAGGTCTAACTAAACCAGATGTTCTCAACTTTAAGCATGCCTGAGAATCACTTCAGAGCTTATAAAAGCACAGATTGTTTCAGGGCAGTGAGGCCATTCTGTATGATACTACAATGGTGGATACATATCATTATACATTTGTCTAAACTGAGAATGTACAATACAAAGAATGAGCCCTAATGTAAACTGTGAATTTGGGGTGATGATGATGGTGTCAGTGTAGGTTCATCAATTGCAACAAATGTGCCACTCTGATGGGGGATGTTGATAGTGGGAGGAATTGTATGTAGGGGAAGGGAGTGTAAGGGAAATCTCTGTACCTTCTGTTCAATTTTGCTGTGGAACTAAAACTGCTCTAAACAATAAAGTCTGATTAAAAAAACAGTAACACAAATTGTTGGGCCCCACCCAGAGTCTCTGATTCAGCAGGCTGAAGATGGGCCCTAAGAGTCTGCATTTTCTAACAACTTGCCACTGGCCTGGGACCATACTTTGAAAACTACTGAACTGCACAGTTACTTTAGCTGACTAGGTTGAGCATTTATGTGGACTTAGATTCTGGTGACCCTCTGGAAGGAGAGTGGCTGCAGGCAGAGAAGCCTACCATCCTGAATAGGGTCAAGAGCACCAATAGGTACTGTTACTGTAGATGGATCAGCAGCTGTTTTCAACGGGGAATCACGCTCTACTTTAGATGCAAGACAGGAATGACCTTGAGCTCTGAAATCAGTTGGATGTGGGTTAGAATCCCAGAGCTTTTACTTACTTTATCATGTTAATGATTTTCTCATTTATAATTAGGGAAAGTGGGAGTACCACATACTCCACAGGACATAGTGAAGATAAAGGATAAAGGTAAAGGATGTGGTATAATGTTAGTCTTTCTTGCCTTGCTTTAAAATCATCAATGCATTGGCCACATATTGATAATGGTTAAAGCTGGATAATGAGTACGTGGGGGTCATTATACTGCCTTTTTTTTTTCCTTCAGTGTATGTTGGAAATTTTTCATAAAAAAGCATAAAGAAAACCTGAATAACATATTAGGGAAAAAAAATTCCACAAAATTTTTTTCAATGGCTCCCACTGTATATTTTGCAAAGTAGAAATTCTTTAGCAGGCATTGAAGATTCTTTACAATCTGGTCCCAACATAACTCTCTCTCATTAGCACCATCTCTCATCACTGTTCTCTGCATTATACTCTACTTCCCAACTATACTGAGTCATTTTGGAAAATGACATTCACTTTCATGTTCCCAAATAAGTTATTCTCTTGGCCTAGAATGTCCTTCCCCCCTTCTCTTCCACTTAAATACTTAAATGATAATGATGGTTAACACAGGCAACTGACATTTACTAACGGCTTACTGAGTTCCAAGTGCTTTACAAAACTGACTCAACTAGCTCTTCCTTAGCGTTTTCACAATATTCTTCTATGTGCTGTATGGGTATTATTGCCAATCATGGATTGAATCTTATTTAAGTAGGTGAGAGGAGGCCCAAGTGATCAGAAGCCACTTTCTTTTTTTTATTTTATTATTATTATACTTTAAGTTTTAGGGTACATGTGCACAACGTGCAGGTTTGTTACATATGTATACATGTGCCATGTTGGTGTGCTGCACCCAGTAACTCGTCATTTAGCATTAGGTATATCTCCTAATGCTATCCCTCCCCCCGTCCCCCACCCCACAACAGTCCCCGATGTGTGATGTTCCCCTTCCTGTGTCCATGTGTTCTCATTGTTCAATTCCCACCTATGAGTGAGAACATGCGGTGTTTGGTTTTTTGTCCTTGCGATAGTTTGCTGAGAATGGTGGTTTCCAGCTTCATCCATGTCCCTACAAAGGACATGAACTCATCATTTTTTATGGCTGGATAGTATTCCATGGTGTATATGTGCCACATTTTCTTAATCCAGTCTATCATTGTTGGACATTTAGGTTGGTTCCAAGTCTTTGCTATTGTGAATAATGCCGCTATAAACATACGTGTGCGTGTGTCTTTATAGCAGCATGATTTATAATCCTTTGGGTATATACCCAGTAATGGGATGGCTAGGTCAAATGGTATTTCTAGTTCTAGATCCCTGAGGAATAGAAGCCACTTTCAATGGAGATTAATCTTAAAATATCTTTTTCAGCTATCCAACACCCAGAATTCCCTGAATTTTAATTACCACCTCTGCAAGGCTGTGATACTCATTAACCTGCACATGAACTCATTTTCTGGTGGGTAAGATAGCTGGAGGCCTTCTGGCCTGGGTGGATTATTGCTAGTGTGCATAGAGTTAATGCAGGAGATACAAAAATTAAGAAACAGTTGGAATTCAAAGCACGGGAAGTGGATGATAACCCTATGATTTGCTCCAGCCCCCTGCCTTAAATTGCAATTGTCTGAACCAATGATGGCATCTAGAAATGAAGTTCAAAGCAATTCTGGGTAGTACTGTCTCAACATGGTTTGTGATTAGAAGGCAGATTGCATAAATATTTATATAGACTTTGATTAAAAAGCCAACGATCAGAATAAAAATTGTCCCAAAAATAGAACCAAAGAGCTTGAAAACAATTTTTACAAACTCCCCATCACAGTATTTAAAACACTATATTGAAACCATTTATATACATGTCAGATTTTCCCAAAAGACCCTTAATTCCTTGAGAACAGGCAGCACTTTCTTCCCTTTATCCTACCCTTAGCAGAGGCCTCTAATAAATGATTATTGAAATGAATCAAACTGAGAAGGGTCTGAGCTACAAAAGCAGACTCCAGTTGTGTAAGAGGGAAAGCACCAAAGAAACATTTTGAGAGTGAAGTAGAGAATGAGGCATTTATCTTAATTGGGTCACCTTTATTATGATGAAAAAAATAATATGTTGTGAAAGTTGATTATAAAAATTGGGTCATTCTTGTCATATCCAACTAAATCAATTGAGGGGCCAGGAGGAAAAAGCACTTAGGGCATATAATGTTGCTCCATGAATGTAATTCTCTGCAAGCCCGCTGCTGAAACTGCCTGTGGTAACCTGAAACCAGTATTATCTAATAGCTGCCGAAACAATCTGTTGTGACTCTAAGACTAACTACCCACTGCTGTCACCAATCACAGCTTGCCAGCTCCTCAAAACTTTACTAGTGCCAACCTTCTCTTTGTTCTTTGTACATACTGAAGATCACCCAATCTGTCCCAAAATGCAATTCTTGTTTTCCAAATAAAACATTTTTAATTTAGAGATTCATCTCTATATTTTCTTTGACTTCAACAATGTAATTGGCTGGGTGCGGTGGCTCACACCTGTAATCCCAGCACTTTGGGATCAGGAGGATCACCTGAGGACAAGAGTTTGTGACCAGCCTCACCAACAAGGTGAAACCCCGTCTCTACCAAAAATACAAAAATTAGCTGGGCGTGGTGGTGCCCATCCGTAGTCCCAATTATTTGGGAGCCTGAGGCATAAGAATTGCTAGAACCTGGGAGGGAGGCTACAGTAAGCCAAAATCGTGCCACTGCACTCCAGCCTGGGTGACAGGGCGAGACTCTGTCTCAAAAACAAAACAAAACAAAATGTAATTATTCAGACTGACATGATTTTTTAATTTTTAAAGGGTAGTAGGGGTTGAGGAGGAGGTAGGGATGGCTAATGGGTACAAAAAAATAGAATAAGACCTACTATTTGATAGCACAATAGGGTGACTATAGTCAATAATAATTGTACATTTTAAAATATCTTAAGAGTGTAATTGGATTGTTTGTAACTCAAATGACAAATGCTTGAGGGGATGGATACCCTACTCCCCATGATGTGCTTATTTCACATTGCATGCCTGTATCAAAACATCTCATGTGCCTCACAAATATATATATATATATATACCTACTATATACCCACAATAATTAAATTTTTTTTTTTTTTTTTGAAAAGGAGTCGCGCTGTGTCACCTAGGCTGGAGTGTAGTGGTGCGATCAGGCTCACTGCAACCTCTGCCTCCCGGGTTCAAGTGATTCTCCTGGCTCAGCCTCCTGAATAGCTGGGATTACAGGCTTGCACCACCATGCACAACTAATTTTTGTGGGTTTTTTTTTTTTTTTAGTAGAGATGAGGTTTCACCATGTTGGTCAGGCTGGTCTCAAGCTCCTGACCTCAAGTGATCCATCTGCCTCAGCCTCCTAAAGTGCTGGGACTACAGGTGTGAGCCACCATGCCCAGCCTTAAATTTTTTTTTTAAATAAAATAAAAATTTTAAAAATTAATTTAAAAAATAATTTCTAAGTTTTAAAAACTCTTCTGGCCAGGCATGGTGGCTCACGCCTGTAATCCCAGCACTTTGGGAGGCCAAGGCAGGTGGATCACAAGGTCAGGAGTTCAAGACCAGCCTGGCCAAGATGGTGAAACCCCATCTCTACTAAAAATACAAAAATTAGCCGGGCGCAGTGGCAGGCATCTGTAATCCCAGCTACTTGGGAGGTTGAGTTAGGAGAATTGCTTGGACCCGGGAGGTGGAGGTTGCAGTGAACAGAGATCGCACCACTGCATTCTAGTCTGGGTGACAGAGCAAGACCCTGTCTCAAAAACACAAAAAACTCTTCTTACATCTTGCATAACAGTATCCAACAAACATCTGTCAAATAGAATTGCACAGACAGACAAGATCAGGGCTATGCGTATATTCTTCACAAGATCTTGCAATAGCATTCTGGGTCAATGCCATTGTTTCATTGTTGTTGTTTTAAATTTTTATCAGACTGACTTATATTTTGACCAGACACTACTTCCCTCCTCTGACTTTCTAACCTGTGCATCAAATTGCCTCTTAGACTGAATCATTCTCTTTTCCATCTGCTTTTCTTTTGAGTTCCTCAGTGTGTGATGCCACTATTCACTTGCCAACCTGTGGCAGAAACCTGGAAGTGAAGATTTACTTTTCCCTCTGCCTTGTCCCCCACATACTGTTAATTACCAAATCTTATTGATTCCACTTCTTAAATATTTACCAAACCCAACCCCTCCTCCTGATCTCCACAGCTACTCCCCTCTGGCCATCCTGTCTCATCCAGATTATTGCAGCAATCTTCTGTTGCCCTGCATCCAACTCTCCCTCTCACCAACTCATTTCCACTCTGCAGCTAGGAGGATGTTTCTAAATTGTGTATTTTACTTGACTGCTCTACACTGTTCACTGGCTACTCATCACATTTAGGAAAAGGCTTTTAAAAAAATCATTACAGACCACATTATCTGAACTTGGCATACCTCTTCAGCTTCTTCACTTATTACTCACTCCCCATTCTCCTTCCGTATTACACCTTCTCTACAATGCAGTTTTTGGCTTCTCCAATACTCCTTTTTTGCCTCTGAGCTTTCACACAGGCTTTTCTTCTGCCTTGACTACTCTCTGCTTTCTCTCCCATGGTTTGGCTCACTCTTATCAGCCTTAGTCTCTTCACTTAATCATCTACTTGGATATCTCTATTGTCTTTTTGCTTCATAACTCCTGATCATAGCATACAACCTCATACTGGTGATATTTGTTTGTATGTCCCTCTTTTTGTTTAAGTTCCATAAAGGGAGGCATCAGGTCTGTCTGTTTACCATTCCATCTTCTGTGTTGAGCATAGGGTTTGGCATACTGGTAGTGCTCAATAAATATCTGTTCAACAAATAATAACACCAATCAGAATTCGCATGATTACAAAAAATGAATAAACCTATACTTGAGCCCCATGACTGAGAAATCTAATGATGTTACATAACATTTATAAAATCGTATACAAGTTAAAGGAGTAATTGATTTCATAAAACTCTAATTCAGTAATTTTCAAATATTTTCAGTAGTGGCATCCTTTTATGTGGAATTCCAAGACATAAAATATATATAACCTTGCATGCCTTCTTCTTCCTTCTAGCAACAGATCCTGCTGTCCTGATCTCAGGGGTAAACTTGCAGGGTAGGCAGATATGCAAGACAGAACCTCAAACCACTGTCCTCTGCCCCTAATTACTGGGTGGAGGTGGTCCCTTGACTTAAATTAGGTCATCCCTGGGATAGAGGCTGAAAGATTAATCCAAAAATGGCCTATCCTTCCCACCAAAGTTATTCTTCCTACCAAGCAGATAGTGCCTATCTGTAGTAGGAAAGAATTAAACCAACTCACAGAGAAAAGCAGTGATGAGAAATTTGGCAAAGTGAAGATGGGAATGGTGGGCAGAGGACAGGGACAGTGTCCTTGAATTGGGTAGTTCTTGAGCAAGCACCATCTCATCCTTTCTGTGATTTGGTTACCTTAGCCAACAAATTCCTCTGTTTTGCCTAAGCTACTTTGAGTTGGGTCATTGTTATTTGCAATCAAAAGACTTCTTACTAAAGAGTAATAAATGATACCCAACTTATATTAGCCATATCCAAATTGTGTCTTTTGGTTGCATTGTAAGGAAAAAAAGTTGATTCACATGGACAATAAATTGCAAGTAATAATAATTCAATTGCTTTCCTTACTATTCCTGGTTCTCTTCAATTAAACAGATCTCAAAGCTTAAAGTAGACAATTTTTATGTCAAAGCTGAATTGCAAATACAATCCAAAAGCTGCATATATTTCTTACAAATTTAAAGTAAAGTAAAAACTATTTAGTGCTGGGTACAGTGGCTCATGCCTGCAATTTCAACACTTTTGGAGGCTTAGGTGGGCGTATCACTTGAGCCCAGGAGTTCAAGACTAACTTGGGCAACACAGCAAGACTCCATCTCTACAAAGAATACAAAAATTAGCCAGGTGTGGTGGTATGTGGCTGTAGTCCCAGCTATTCAGGAGGCTGAGGTAGGAGGGCTGCCTGAGCCTGGGAGGTTGAGGCTGCAGTGAGCCATGATCGCGCCACTACACTCCAGCCTGGGCAACAGAGTAAGACACTGTCTCAGAAAAAAAAAAAAAAAAAAAAAAAAGAGCTATTTAAAGCTTACAACAAATCATAAAAGTATCATAACAGTTTGAGAAGGGCACGTATGATGAAGATGCATCTGTATCTTGTCTAGCATTTTACATTTAAATGAGCAAAACACAAGAATGTTCTTTACACTTGTTTAAGTGAACAGACATGCACAAACTTCAATTCAAAGAGACCTCTATGAAGAGCCATGCCTTTTTTTTTTTTTTTTTGAGACGGAGTCTTACTCTGTTGCCCAGGCTGGTGTGCAGCGGCACTATCTCGGCTCACTGCAACCTCCACCTCCTGGGTTCAAGAGATTCTTCTGGCTCAGCCTCCCGAGTAGCTGGGATTACAGGTGCATACCACCATACCCGGGTAATTTTTGTATTTATTAAAGTAGAGACAAGGTTTCACTATGTTGGCCAGGCTGATCTCAAACTCCTGACCTCAGGTAATCCACTTGCCTCGGCCTCCCAAAGTGCTGGGATCACAGGCATGAGCTGCTGTGCTTGGCCATAAATTTCTTAATCAATGATAGAATTCACTTATAAATGCTCAGAAATGGCAGGATAAGCATTCTTTCAAGGTTTATATAAATGTGAGTTAATCTGGCAGTATGAACTCCTTGGTGGTCTCCAATATGCAAAAACTTGGTAGGTAATTTATCCAAATATACTTAAAAAAATAGCCAAACTTTTTGACTATTGGACACAAATTTCTAAGGGAATAATTCTGTAGTAATTGAGAAACTGAGAAACCATGGGACCTTTGACCAGCAATATGTTTTAATGACTCCACAATATTTTTAAACAATTGAATTTGAATGCCTTTAAGCAGCCACGTCCTTTCCAGGTAGCTATTAGGCCACACACTCCCTTACACATTACCTCTGCCCTCTTTATTCATTTTATCTACTTGATCCTTAAAATCAGTTGAGTTTGGAACCTAAACTCCCAAACTCATAATGTTAAATACTCAAAATAGTGAAGAAAAAAAAAGGAATATTCTAAGGACAAATTCAGAAACTTAGAAATCTGGAATGCTCCACTGAACATTTACTTACAGGAAAGTGTAAATGTCCTAGAACTTGTTTGAAGAAGAAGATTATGATGAATTAGGAGGGAAAATGGGTCATTTTCCTAAGCATTTGATGTAATTTCCCCTAAAGTAAGAACTTTAAACAGTCCCCTCCTTATTTAGATCCAGGAGGGGCACAGATTCTTCAGCAATAAAGTTTTGCTGAAATCTCTTGAGTTTCCTTAATGCAGCCTAGAAAAACAAACTCTTCTTTTCTGAGAGCAACGGGCATTTCTAAAATAGACTTTGGTAAAAGTCAAGGATATAAATATCAAGATGATGATAAATGTGAGTTGTCTTAAAATTAAATCATGAAATTCTACAGTCTTTCTTTGCTGATACTGGAAGAAAACAGACTGCCTCCTTGCTTTTGTTTATCTTTTTCAGAAGACCCCAAGCTACGCCTAATCAGGTTACAAAGAGAAAGTAGCTTTTTACAAGAAATCAAAACAAGTACTGGGCTGTATTTACATTACTGTAAATATCTTAATATGTAGTTGAATTTATCAGTTGATATAAAGTAAAATCAGAAACATATCATCTAATTTTTTATGTGGTTGTTTTATTTAAAAGCACTGAGTTACTTCAGGTTACTTCATGTTCTGTGAAAGAGGAAACAAATAAGGAAGTTTATGTCTGTAAATTACAAAACCAGGAAAGGAAAATTTCAATGCTGTTTTTCTATAAAGCTTGTGTTATCCTCTTGCATTACTACTAGCATGCAAGATAAGTCAGATGTCTGAAAAAGGTCTGCTGTACTACTTATGCTCACCCAGTTGTGAGTGGGCTAAAACCACATAATATTTAGGTTGCCATCTCAAAACATCATGGGCAACAGAAAACCTTGAACCCTATATACTTTCATTCAAATCCCAGTTCTACCACTTACTAGCAACCATCACTCTGGGAAGACACTGACCGTTCTTGAGCTTTCCATTCCTTATCTGACAGAATCATAAGAGTATGGTATGTGTAAATGGTGGTTATTAAAATAATAGGGCTTAACCATTTCTATGTTCTACCAGAGAATTTCATCTATCTCCCTTGTAAGCCTATAGTAAGGAATTTTGGTGACAGACTGGGCTTCTGAGTCTGACTCTATTATGTACTTGAGCAGTAGAACTGCTCTAAGTCTGTTACCTTATCTATAAAATAATTTAAAAATAGTATCTCCTTAAGAGGTCTGTTAAATCAATATTTTCTATGTACCATTTTAATTCCCTTGTTTTTTTTACTATATATTTTGGCATGGTTGCCTGGGAATTATCAGTGTGATTTTATCAAACTCAAGAATCTCGACCAGGTGCCATGGCTCATGCCTGTACTCCCAGCACTTTGGAAGGCCAAGATGGGAGGCTTGCTTGAGGCCAGGAGTTGGAGACCAGCCTGGTCAACATAGCAAGACTCCATCTCTAATTTAGAAAAGAAATAAAAATTTTTAAAAAAGAATCTCAATTGACTGACCTTTAAATTCAGATTCTCCCTTCTGCCAACTTAACTTTGCTGCTGAACACTTATAGTATATCTTTACTTCAGTTATTGTATTTTTAACTCCAGAATTTATATTTGATTCCTTTTTATAATTTGTATCAAAGATGATATTCTTTATTTGCTGAGATATCATTCTCATACTTCCCTTCAGTTCTTCAGACATGGTTTCCTTTAGCTCTTTGAAATATATTAAAAATAGGCGATTTAAAATCTTTGTCTAGTAAGTCCAATGTATGGACTTCCTTGGAGACAGTTTCTCTTGCCTCCTTTTATCCCTGTGTATGGGCTATATATTCCTGTTTCTTTATATGCTTCATAATCTTGTTAAAAATTAAACATTTAAATAGCAGATTTCTGCTCATCAACCCTACCATCCAATAGCAAAGAGGAGTTCTTCCTTAGCTGTGGTCCTGATGAGGAACAGAATATGAACACAATTATATAGCTGGAGGAAGACAGAGCTAGAGGACCAAAGGCTTGATGAAGGAACTCTTAAGGCTTTTGGGGAAACTAAAACAGAAGTTTAGATATTTAGGTATCTAAATCAGAAAAACGTATAGATTAGACAGTAAATAGGACTGCTGCAAACAAAAAAATTCTTGGCATTTCAGTTTAGTCTGAGAATTTTGCTATATTCATCTTTTGGCCATGTTATTTAAATAGTCTCTTTTGTGTGCATTTTTGACATCAAAGTATTGAACTGACAGAAAGCATTTAGCAAGAAATATAAAGCCTTAGTGTTAATTCAGTAAACAATATCTCTGATGCTGGCCAATTTGAGTATTCCTTACATTGACATTTTAGGAAAGAGTTAATAAACATGTCATGGACATATGGGACCATTAATGGAAAGGCAAGGTCTGATCTCTAGATGTTTCCATCTCCTGACCTCATGATCTGCCTGCCTCGGCCTCCCAAAGTGCTGGGAATATAGGCGTGAGCCACCGCGCCTGGCCAAAATATTTTTTTAGAACCTACTCTGTGCCAAGAACTATGCTTAGCATTAACTCTGTGTTTGTATATGTGCTTTTGAATACATAACCATGAGAACCTGGGCAAGCATTGGAAACAAACAAACAGGATAATTTCAATTATACAGGGTGCTAGAAGAGAGGCACCTAGACAAACATGAGGTTTAAAAATGATTTTCTATAGGAAATCATGTCTGAGTGCACCCAGTTATTATGCTAGGCACCATGGGAAATACAGAACATAAGATCAAATATGTGAAACAAAGACTGATGTAGCTGTTAATATAATTTAAGATAAGTGTTATGTCTGAATGGTAAGGGAAACAACAGAATAATGCTGGCTGGAGTCTCTAAGGAGTATGTCTAAGAAGTATGACATGAATTGAGATAGGAGGAAAGCATTCCAGGTAGGGAAATACATCCCCAGCACCCTCAATGGCAGAATTTAGTTACCTGAGGTAAATAAATGAAGAGTGCTGAAGGTAAGACTGGGGCAGTATTATCCAGATTATGAAGGAGTTTTTTTTTTTTTTTTTTTTTTTTGAGACGGAGTTTTGCTCTTGTTGCCCAGACTGGAGTGCAATGGCACGATCTCGGCTCACTGCAACCTCTGTCTCCTGGGTTCAAGTGATTCTTGAGTTTGAATTCCAAGATTTATACTTGAATTTAATGTCAGCCAGTCGAGACTATTAGACAAGGCTATTAGCAGAAGTTCAAGAAACCTGGCATAGCTGGAAGAACTTATAAAGTTTCAAAGATTGAGACCAGAAGGGTCTAGGATAGTTAAGGGTGTTCAAAGCAGTAGCCGGTTTGGGGAGAATTTGCCTTCTATTCTCTTCCTTGCTGGTGTCTAGGTGTGCCCACAGCCAGCAAAACAAGTCAGGGATTTGCAAGGTGTCCTTTTCCTGACTGAATGAGGGGTGAGCAGATCACAGCATCTCACCAGATGGAGAAGCTTAGGCATCTTCTAGCAGGTAGTGGAAGTCTCTATAGGTTTGTCTGGAGAGGGTCAATTTTCATCATTCTTTTACTCGTATTCTACACAAACAGTAGAGAGGAACCTGTCTTGAAAGTCCTTCAGAATTACATTAGTCACAATTTTCATTAACAGAATAGTTCAGTTCTAAACTATTGAAAAAAATCTTATCAAGCTAACCCAAGACTAATTTATCATTTTGGTTTTTGTTTTCTTAATAATTTAATTCATTAGGTTTTAAAATGGTTTTTGAGTTGCACTCTAAAGCTGATTTAAGATTATAAATATTTTCTAAAAAAATATAGTAAGGATAGGGTCACAGAAGTTTTGGTCTTTACATTTAATAAAAGTGGCCTCTGAGCTACTAAACATGTAATGCAGGATATTTTCAAATTTTAATACAGTAGCCAAACTGTACTTTTTTGGGGGTATATGGTTATTCAGGATAATAAATATTTTAAGTACAGAGCCTATGAAAAAAAGAATCTGTTTCCTTATTATAAACACTCACATGTCCATTCTAAAGTCAATTCCAGCAAAAACTTGTGCTGTGCTTGGCAGTATTTGAATCACAGAAATAACATTAGCAGAGGACGTTCAGGAAGGAAGGAAGGTCAAAAAAGACAGGATCCATTTCTCAGCAGCATGACAGTAATTCCCCCCTAAAAATTGTAACTAAGCATTTTTCCCCCAGTCGGTAAGA
Source organism: Homo sapiens (assembly GCF_000001405.40). NCBI lineage: Eukaryota > Metazoa > Chordata > Mammalia > Primates > Hominidae > Homo > Homo sapiens. Next base: position 72,939,337 of record NC_000011.10, read on the forward strand.
TTGTGGCTGCAACAGATTGGGCCTCAAAAACCTTTCTAAGGAATGGTTTTTAAATTATTAAACAAAAATTAAGTTTCAACTTCCATGTTCCACAGTTTAATGGTACTACAATTATAACTTAATTTTCTCTAGAGAGTTATAGAGATTTATTCAGATGTTAAAAGCTGCCTGTTTGATGAATACATTTCAGTTTCTTGGTTAGAATTTGATCACTGAGAAAATTCTCTGGCTTATAGGAAATCTATGAAGACGGTTGATGGCTCTTTCTTTTCCTTTTTTTTTTTTTTTTTTTTTTTTTTTGAGACAGTGTCTCGCCCTGTCGCCCAGGCTGGAGTGCAGTGGTACAATCTAGGCTCACTGCAACCCCCGCCTCCCGGGTTCAAGTGATTCTTATGCCTCAGCCTCCCGAGCAGCTGGGATTACAGATGCCCACCAAGACACTCAGCTAATTTTTGTATTTTTAGTAGAGATGGGGTTTCACCATGTTTGTCAGGCTGGTCTTGAACTCCTGACCTCAAGTGATCTGCCCACCTTGGCCTCCCAAGTGTTGGGATTACAGGCATGAGCCACCATGCCTGGCCTTGACGGCTCTTTGTATAACCGAGTAGTAAAGTTCCAGGGAGTTTCTTCGAGAACATCTGTGGACTGCTTGTACAGTCCCCTCTGGCAAGAGCCCCTAGTGTTTTATGCGGCAGTGTTACAGCCTGTATAGAAAATGCAAGCAAATCAAAATTGAAAAGGCATTTGTGACCTACCATAGGTGACTCTCAGGTCTAATTCCATAGAAGCAGGACAAATAAAATTTAGCCCCAAGTTGGAATCAGCTTTGCCATCATCCTTAGCCTTTTAAACTCATCACTACTGAGATTCTAAATACTGAAAGCCTCACAATATCTAAATGGGGCTTTGTGTGTTTATATTATGCTTACCACAATGCACTACACTTTCAATACTGAAGGGCCTTTTACAAAGCATGTTAGTATTTTAGTTGATGTAAACAGGTTTAATTAGAAACATGCTAGTTTCTAAAATGCAGTTACCAAATATTGTTTTAATATTAAAGGAAATAATATATGTAATGAGGTTAGTATAATATGTGGCAATAAATAGTAAATAAGCTATTTTCCTTTCTGTCTGGCAGTAGCCATCAGGTAAGCCAAGATGGGTGCATACCCGCACATCCAGGAGCTATGGAGAAAGAAGTAGTCTCATGTCATGCGCTTTCTTCTGAGAGTCAGCTGCTGGCAGTACTGCCAGCTCTCTGCTCTCCACAGGGCTCCCCGCCCCACCCAGCCTGATAAAGCGCGCCGACCAGGCTGCAAGGCCAAGCAAGGTTACATTATATATAGGATTCATGTTCACCGTGGTGGCAGAAAACGCCCAGTTCCTAAGGGTGCAACTAATGGCAAGCCTGTTCATCATGGTGTTAATCAGCTAAAGTTTGCCTGAAGCCTTCAGTGCGTTGCAGAGGAGTGAGCTGGATGCCACTGTGGGGCTCTTAGAGTCCTGAATTCTTATTGGGTTGGTGAAGATTACACATACAAATTTTTTGAGGTTATCCTCATTGATCCATTCCATAAAGCTATCAGAAGAAATCCTGACACCCAATGGATCACCAAAGCAGTCTATAAGCACAGGGAGATGTGTGGGCTGACATCTACAGGCCGAAAGAGCCATGGGCTTGGAAAGGACCGTATGTTCCACCATGCTATTGGTGGTTCTTGCCGGGCAGCTTAGAGAAGGCGCAAAACTCTCCAGTTCCACTGTTACCACTAATATAAGTAAAGTTTGTAAAATTCATACCTCATAATTTAGGACAGTCAAAAAAATAAATAAATAAGCTATTTTAATATTTTTATTCTCCTTCAAGGGACCAGAGGCCACATGAGTCTTGTTCACTATGTGTCCCCAGTAAATGACACATAGAATGACAGTAAATATTTGTTAAATTATGAATTAATGAATGGCCTCAAATAAAAACCTTTGCTAAGTCACTGAATCCCACACGTTCAAAATAGTATCTAAGAGGATATAAAAACTATACTTAAATTATAATTTATATAATTTTTATATTTATAAAAATACAAATTATAAATTATGTTGGATGTCAGTTTGCTTAGTATAAAATATAGACTCCCAACTCTATTAATATATTACTTATTATTACTTTATCATTAACTGTTTTGTTCTTGTATTGATCTATTTTTTCTTTTAACTCATCACTGGTCAGAAGAGTTGTTTAAACAACATGAAATAAAAATGTTCAATTTGTTAGTAAGCAAAAAATTAAAAATTAAGATTTCTTTACCTTCATCCAGATTGTTGCTCATATATGTACGTTTGTTTAAATATAAAATACAGTTTTGACAAGGGTGCAAGGATAGGCACTTTCATACACTGCTTTCAGAAGTATATACTGATATAATCTTTTCAGAGGGCAATCAGCTAGCCAAATGAAAAGTATTAACCAATCTTTGTTTTTGACCAGGGAATGTAGCTTCAAAAAAAGATATCTTAAGGAAGTTATCAAAGAGGTGTATTAAGATTGTAAAAAAGAACCTTCACTAAAAAGCATTAAAAAAGTTTATAAAAGCATAAAAAAGTAATAAAGTTAATGGCATATTAATATGATCAAATACTATGCAGTCATTAAAATCACATTTTCAAGTAACATGTAAAGGCAGTGATACAGTTTGAATGTTTTGTCCCCTCAAAATCTCATGTCGAAATGTGATCTCCAATGTTGGAGGTGGGCCTAGCAGGGGGTGTCTGTGTCATGGCAGCAGATCCCTCATGAATGACTTGCTGCTGTCCTCACAGTAATGAGAGCGTTCTCACTCTATAAGTTCACACTAGAGCTGGCTGTTTAAAAGAGCCTGGCAGCTCCCTCCTCTCTTGCTCCATCTCTCACCATATGACATGCAGGCTTCCACTTTGCCTTCTGCCATGATTGTAAGTTTCCTGAGGCCTCACCAGAAGCAGATGCCAGCAGCATGCTCCCTGTACAGTCTGCAGGACTGTGAGCCAAAATAAACCTCTTTTCTTTATATTACCCAGCCTTGTGTATTTCTTTAAACCAATGTAAATGGGCTAACACAGGCAGGAATAGCTCAGAATGTATTTTATGTGAAAAAATAAAAGGACTTACGTGTATAACAATTTTGAAACATGTATATGTAATACATGCCTAGGAAAGATTAGAAGGATATGCCAAGATGACAGTAAGAGTGGTTTACTGTTACAATGTGAAGTTATTTTAATTTATCTTTAGGTTTTCTGTACTTTTCAAATTTTCTTCTGGTACTTTGGTAATCAAATGGAAAATACATACTTTATTAAAATTAAAAAGTATTGACAAACATGCTATAGAATGTTATGGTATATGCTATGCTATTCATTTTATTTTATTTTTATTATGGCTCTCCTAGAGGATGTGAAGTCATATCTCACTGTTTTGTTTTTAGACACAGGGTCTCGCTCTATCACCCAGGCTGGAGTGCAGTGGTATGATCATAGTTCGCAGCTTCAAACTCTTGGACTTCAGAATCCTCCCACCTCAGGCTTCCAAGTAGTTAGGACTACAGGTGCATACTTCCCAAAGTGCTGGGATTATAGGTGTGAGCCACCATGCCTGGCTAAATCACAAATTCATTAATACTGACTTTTTCTTTTGAGACAGAGTTTTGCTCTTGTTGCTCACGCTGGAGTGCAATGGTGCGATCTTGGCTCACTACAACCTCCGCCTCCCGGGTTCAAGTGATTCTCCTTCCTTGGCCTCCTGAGTAGCTAGGATTACAGGCGCGTGCCACCATGCCCAGCTAATTTTTTGTATTTTTATTAGAAATGGGGTTTCCCCATGTTAGCCAGGCTGGTCTCGAACTCCTGACCTCATGTGATCTGCCCACCTCTACCTCCCAAAGTGCTGGGATTACAGGCATGACCTACTTTGCCCAGCCCTGACTTTTATATTTACTATCTACATTTAACACTTACTTCAACTTCAACCTACTTAATTCAACTATAGTTAGGATTAACTGAGGACTACTGAATAGAATTCCAAGATGTCTGATGGAGAGGTTTGAGTAGGAAAGGATTAGTGAGACACTGAATCAGGAAAAAGACAGCACAGAACAATATGGATTATGGGAAAACAGTAAATGTGAACTTCATATTACCTTGGTTATTTATTAATAGCTTTAATGAAAGGGAAGGAAATTGAAGAGAATGACAGGTGAGACGGAGATGAAGGGCACAGAAATGGAAGTGAGAATTCCCTGGGTCAGTCTATTTGACTTTTGAACATATATGTTTCAGTGTTTTACATATTTAAAATATAAAATTATATTGGCTGTTTTGTTCACTGAGGCACTCAGAATGATACCTCACACTTAGTATTTATTCAAGAAATACTTGCTGAATAAGATACATAAACATTGTATTTTGATATTTTATTAGTTCATTAACTACAAGAAGTTTCAGTTAGCACATCTATAATTAAATATTTGTTCTAAGGCATGTTCAAATATTGTAAACTACTACACTAAGAACGTATGAAGATAAACTGACTATTAAATACTCAGACTTTAATCATTATTCATTGTGATGCTGCCAACTTTAACTTCTATTGCATGACATGGAGGTAAAACAACACAATTACTTCTAAAACTATTCCAATGAATAGAAAAAGAGGGAATCCTCCCTAACTCATTTTATGAGGCCAGCATCATCCTGATACCAAAGCCTGGCAGAGACACAACAAAAAAAGAGAATTTTAAAACAATATCCCTGATGAACATCGATGCAAAAATCCTCAATAAAATACTGGCAAACTGAATCGAGCAGCACATCAAAAAGCTTATCCACCATGATCAAGTGGGCTTCATCCCTGGGATGCAAGGCTGGTTCAACATACTCAAATCAATAAACATAATCCAGCATATAAACAGAACCAACGACAAAAACCATATGATTATCTCAATAGATGCAGAAAAGGCCTTTGACAAAATTCAACAACGCTTCATTCTAAAAACTCTCAATAAATTAGGTATTGATGGGACGTATCTCAAAATAATAAGAACTATCTATGACAAACTCACAGCCAATATCATACTGAATGGGCAAAAACTGGAAGCATTCCCTTTGAAAACTGGCACAAGACAGGGATGCCCTCTCTCACCACTCCTATTCAACATAGTGTTGGAAGTTCTGGCCAGGGCAATCAGGCAGGAGAAGGAAATAAAGAGTATTTAATTAGGAAAAGAGGAAGTCAAATTGTCCCTGTTTGTAGATGACATGATTGTATATCTAGAAAACCCCATTGTCTCAGCTCAAAATCTCCTTAAGCTGATAGGCAACTTCAGCAAAGTCTCAGGATACAAAATCGATGTGCAAAAATCACAAGCATTCTTATATACCAATAACAGACAAACAGAGAGCCAAATCATGAGTGAACTCCCATTCACGACTGCCTCAAAGAGAATAAAATACCTAGGAATCCAACTTACAAGGGATGTGAAGGACCTCTTCAAGGAGAACTACAAACCACTGCTCAATGAAATAAAAAAGGATACAAACAAATGGAAGAACATTCCATGCTCACGGGTAGGAAGAATCAATATCGTGAAAATGGCCATACTGCCCAAGGTAAATTATAGATTCAATGCCATCCTCATCAAGCTACCAATGACTTTCTCACAGAATTGGAAAAAACTACTTTAAAATTCATATGGGACCAAAAAAGAGCCTGCATTGCCAAGTCAATCCTAAGCCAAAAGAACAAAGCTGGAGGCATCACACTACCTGACTTCAAACTATACTACAAGGCTACAGTAACCAAACAGCATGGTACTGGTACCAAAACAGAGATATAGACCAATGGAACAGAACAGAGCCCTCAGAAATAATGCCGCATATCTACAACTATCTGATCTTTGACAAACCTGACAAAAACAAGAAATGGGGAAACGATTCCCTATTTAATAAATGGTGCTGGGAATACTGGCTAGCCATATGTAGAAAGCTGAAACTGGATCCCTTCCTTACACCTTATACAAAAATTAATTCAAGATGGGTTAAAGACTTAAATGTTAGATCTAAAACCATAAAAACCCTAGAATAAAAGCTAGGCAATACCATTCAGGACATAGGCATGGGCAAGGACTTCATGTCTAAAACACCAAAAGCAATGGCAACAAAAGCCAAAATTGACAAATGGGATCTAATTAAACTAAAGAGCTTCTGCACAGCAAAAGGAACTACCATCAGAGTGAACAGGCAACCTACAGAATGGGAGAATATTTTTGCAATCTACTCATCTGACAAAGGGCTAATATCTAGAATCTACAATGAACTCAAACAAATTTACAAGAAAAAAACAACCCCATCAAAAAGTGGGCAAAGGATATGAACAGACACTTCTCAAAAGAAGACATTTATGCAGCCAAACGATACATGAAAAAATGCTCATCATCAATGGACATCAGAGAAATGCAAATCAAAACCACAATGAGATACCATCTCACACCAGTTAGAATGGCGATCATTAGAAAGTCAGGAAACAACTGGTGCTGGAGGGGATGTGGAGAAATAGGAACACTTTTACACTGTTGGTGGGACTGTAAACTAGTTCAACCATTGTGGAAGTCAGTGTGGCGATTCCTCAGGGATCTAGAACTAGAAATACCATTTGACCCAGCCATTCCATTACCGAGTATATACTCAAAGGATTATAAATCATGCTGCTATAAAGACACATGCATACATATGTTTATTGTGGCACTATTCAAAATAGGAAAGACTTGGAACCAACCCAAATGTCCAACAATGATAGACTGGATTAAGAAAATGTGGCACATATACACCATGGAATACTATGCAGCCATAAAAAATGATGAGTTCATGTCCTTTGTAAGGACATGGATGAAGCTGGAAACCATCATTCTCAGCAGACTATCGCAAGGACAAAAAACCAAACACCACATGTTCTCACTCATAGGTGGGAATTGAACAATGAGAACACATGGACATAGGAAGGGGAACATCACACACCAGGGCCTGTTGTGGGGTGGGGGAGGGGGGAGGGATAGCATTTGGAGATATACCTAATGTTAAATGATGAGTTACTGGGTGCAGCACACCAACATGGCACATGTATACATATGTAACTAACCTGCACGTTGTGCACACGTACCCTAAAACTTAAAGTATAATTTAAAAAAAACTAGACAATTACATGGTCAATAATTACAATGCTCAAAATGTCAATACCTGCCAATATCCTCTAATGCAAGTCTGTAAAATAGGTATTGTGGAAGTATCTAGCATATTTTACCTTTAAAATACGATGGTATAAACAGAGTAATAGCTACCATTTACAGAATATCTATTATATTCTAGGAGCTTTGTGCAGTAACTCTACTTTTTACAACCACCTTTAAGGTAGACAACATTTTCATTTTACAGAGCAGGAAACTGAGTCCCAAGATGTTAAGTATAATGCCTAGGGAAATTTTTCAAGCTTAAGTAAACATTCATATTCACAAGACTACTCACAAGGATGTAGGACAAAAATGACTGCCTGCCAACAAGGCAGCACCAGGTGCCCCTCTTTGTGGGACTAGTCTTTGCAGCCATCTATGCAATAGCTCACCCAGCTACCCAAGAGCTATTCTCCTTGTGTCCCAGCCTGCTTTCCCAGGCCCCAGGTGAGATTCAGGTCCAAGAAAATGAGACTCACATCACTGGGTCTGGGAGTCACTCTGGTTTAACAGCTGCATGCCCCATGGGGCCAACATCTCTTAACAACAATGCTGTAGGTACGAAGCATTTTCCAATATATCTTATTTCTTAGTTAAGGGCTTTAAACCAAGTGGAAGACCTAGGTTTTATGTTCAAATTTATTTAAACTTCCCCTGGGTAAGAAATGCTGTGTGTCACAAGAGAAGTTTGAACTCTTCTTATCCAGACTCACACTCAGGCCCACATCTGGCCAAGAGGAGCAGAACTGAAGAGGTTTTCCCACAACAATGGTTGATCTACAAAAATCCACTTATGCTCTCCCATGTAGTGTCCCCTCTGACTTGTGATACACACTTACAAGTTGTCTGACTAGAACTAAAGCCAAAGTCAGTGTTTACTTGACTCACATAGGAATTGACCACAAGATCTTATTCTAAGCAATGAACTAATCAACCAGAGTCACTGAGTCTAGCAAGAAATGGGTATATTATAATGAAAGATTAATAGCCACACCACTATATTGCTGGTCCTAATGGACGTGTAGGAACTCCCATCCTCCAGCACATTCTGTTGGAACAGCCCTTACTTTAAATCTCCCAAAAGTTAGTTCATAGATTTCTGATTATAAATTACAGTGTGATAAAATCATTAGTTAAAAAAAATATTGAAAACATAATTTTCTCATAAAGAAAATTAAATACAGAAAAATCCAAAGAAAACAAAAATCACAGGTAATCTCACATAAATATGGGAACATTAACTTATAAAACAGACTTTAAAAACAAATTCAAGACTATATTTTACATATTATTTATGATTCTCATTTTAATCAGTTAATACAGTGTTAACATTTTTCATGGCACTATAATGGTATAATCTTATACAACATAATTTTTATGACATCGTTTGGGTATCATACATTTTTTGTTTGTCTGTTTTGTTTTGTTTTTTTGAGACAAAGTCTCACTCTGTCACCCAGGCTGGAGTGCAGTGGTGCGATCTCGGCTCACTGCAACCTCCACCTCTGGGTTTCAAGTAATTCTTCTGTCTCAGCCTCCTGAGTAGCTGGGATTACAGGCATGTGCCACCAGACCTGGCAAATTTTTGTATTTTTAGTAGAGATGGGGTTTTGCCATGTTGGCCAGGCTGGTCTTGAACTCCTGGACTCAAGCAATCCACCCACCTCAGCCTCCCAAAATGCTGGGATTACAAGCGTGAGCCACTGTGCCCAGCCACTGGATATCATAAATTATTGGCTGCTTATTATGAAACATTTCAATTACTTCAAAATTACTGAATGTTTCATTTTTCAACATTTTAGTTGCTTTCCATTTTTAATCTCATTGTCATCATCAAGCATGTAGACAAATATCATAATAGATATTTATTATATCCTTAGAATAAATTCTTACAACATAATTTCTGAGACAAAGAATATAGTTTATTTTAAAGCATTTGATACATATTACCAATTAAGTCCTCCAAAACAACTGTATCAATTTACATTATCAATAATAGAATATGAGTGTATTAACAAAATTTTAACTTACCATTTTAATGGATACAATTAAGATTAACATTGTCATAATTTTCATTTCTTTTTTTTTTTTGAGAGGCAGTCTCGCTCTGTCGCCCAGGCTGGAGTGCAGTGGCACAATCTCGGCTCACTGCAAGCTCCATCTCCCAGGTTCACAACATTCTCCTGCCTCAGTCTCCCGAGTAGCTGGGACTACAGGTGCCCGCCACTACGCCTGGCTAATTTTTTATATTTTTAGTAGAGATGGGGTTTCACCACGTTAGCTAGGATGGTCTGGATCTCCTGACCTCGTGATCTGCCCACCTCGGCCTCCCAAAGTGCTGGGATTACAGGCATGAGCCACAGCACCCAGCATAATTTTCATTTCTTTGATTACTGGTGGGATGCTAGATTTTCACAGTCACTAGTCTTATTTTTTATTGAGATATTAGTCACACACCATTAAGTTAATCATTTTAAAGTATACAATGCAGTGGCTTTTAGTATATTCACAAAGTTGTGCAACCATCACCATTACCTAATTCCAGAACATTTTTATCACCACAAAAAGAAACCTGGCCGGGCGTGGTGGCTCACGCCTGTAATCCCAGCACTTTGGGAGGCCCATGGCGGGCAGATCACCTGAGGTCAGGAGTTCAAGGCCAGCCTGACCAACATGGTGAAACCCTGTCTCTACTAAAAACACAAAAATTAGCTGGGCGTGGTGGTGGGTGCCTGTAATCACAGCTACTCAGGAGGCTGAGACAGGAGAATCACTTGAACCCTGGAGGCAGAGGTTACAGTGAGCCGAGATCATGCCACTGCACTCTAGCCTGGGCACCAAAGAGCAAAACTCCATCTCAAAGAAAGAAAGAAAAGAAAAGAAAGGAAAGAAAAAGAAAAGAAAAGAAAAGAAAAGAAAACTTTATAGCCATTAAGTAGTCAGTGCCCTCTCCCCCTGTGCCTGGCAACCACTAATCTACTTTCTACATTTCTGGATTTGCCTATTCTGGACAAATGAAATGGAATCATACAATATATACGCTTTTGTGTCTGGCTTCTTTCACTTAACACAATGTTTTCAAGGTCTACCCATGTTGTAGCATAAATCATTACTACATTCAATTTTATGGTTGATAATATTCCACTGTATGGGTTTACCACATCTTGTTTATCCATTCACTAGTTGATGGACATTTGGGTTGTTTCCACCTTTGGATTGTTATGAATAATGCTGCTACAAACATTTGTGTACACAACTTTTTGCTTGAACACTTGTTTTCAGTTCTCTTGGGTATAAATCTAAGAGTGGAGTTTTGGGGTCATATGACAATTCTGTTGGATAGTTTGAGAAACCACCAAATGCTAATGTTCACATCACTGTTTTTCCACAATGGCTGTTCCATTTTACATTCTCACCCAATTTCTCCATCTCCTCACCAACACTTGTTATTTTCTGTTTTTAAAAATTTTAGTCATCCTAGCGGATGTGAAGTGGTATTTCATTGTGATTTTGATTTGCATATTCCTAATGAATAAAGGTATTACTCATCTTTGAGAAAAAAGTCTATTAAAATCCTTGCCCTTTTAAAAAAACTGGGTTATTTGTTTTTATTGAATTGTAAAGCTTCTTTATATATTCTAAATATTAAATCCTTTTCAGATATGTAATTTGCAAATATTTTCTCCCATTCTGTGGGTTGTCTTCACTTTCTCCATAGATTCCTTTGATACACAAAAGTTTTTATTTCTGCAATTTGTCTATTCTTTCTTTGGTTGCTTGTGTTTTTGGTGATATCTGAGAAACTGTTGCCTATTCTAAGTTAACATAGACTTGCATTTTTTTTTTCCCTCAAAGAGTTTTATATAGTTTTAGCTCTTAAGTCTTTGATTCATTTTGAATTAATTTTTATATATGCTGTGAGGTAGAGGTCCAACTTCATTCTTCTTGCATGTGGATATTCAGTTGTGCCAGTACAATTTGTTGAAAGACTATTCTTTCCTCCACTGAATTGTTTTAGTACCTTTGTTGACAATCAGCTACTGATGTATGATTAGTAGTCTTTTGTATTTCCCTTTTTAAAACTGAATTTGTAGTTTTTCCTTATTTCTTTTAGGATATTTTAATTTTTCATTTATAAGAATACTTAACTCCCACATTATCATTTGGCTTCTCAGATATTTAGAGGCAGCACAGGTAGTAGTTGCGGTGGAAACTATTTGTTGTTGTCCGCCAAATGTTATCCCTTTCTTCCTGGGCACATGCTGTGGGACTACACTTCCTAGCCTCCATACCTGCTGTGAGATTGACCACGTGACTAATTCTCTCTAATTCAGTGTGAACAGAAGTAACATTTGCTCCTTTAAGGACTAGATCTTAAGAGAATAGGTGTGTCTTCTCCATGCTCTCTTTCCCCTATCCACTGGCTAGAACTCAAATAAATCAATGACACAGGTTTAGCCAGGCCATGAGAGAAAGTGATGGACTACCCTGCTATCTGAGTCTCTGAATAACTTCATGAGGCAAATGCTACCTATCTACTCCAAACCATTGCATTAGAAATAATTAACACCTATCTTTTGTGAACCACTGCATTTTGGGTCTTCCTATTCTAATTGTTTAGCCTTTATCCTAATTAATACAGGATTAGTATCTGGTGTAGGATATTGCTGTAACAAAAAAACTAATATAGGTGGCATCTGTTAAGTGGCAGAGTTGTAAGCAGTGATGAAACAGATGCTGCAGATTGGGAAGCTGGTAAACCTTGTTACACTATGACAAAACATCTGGCATATGATAACACAGCAAACGAGAGCGACAGATTACGCAGCTCTAGGGCAGAGTTTCTCAACCTTGGCACTGACTTATACGTAAAGCACTTACTACAAGGCTTGGCATTTAGCTCAATAAATGTTTGCTCTGGTGTTATTATTACACATTTCTGAACTGTGGGATTGTAAAATTTATCACCATTTTCCCATATAGTGCTTGCCTTTGCTAGAATCCTTAAAAATCTCACCCCTACACTAAGATCAGATAAATATTCTCCCATGTTTTTCTCTATTACATTTATCTTTAACAAACCTATAACTTACTTTGGCCTGGTTTGATGGAAGAAACAAAATTTTTCTTCCTAAGAGTCTCAATGTCATGACTTTTAAAATCTGTTATTTTCCCATTGATTTGAGGTTTACCCTTTCACAATCTCTTTATAAATTCTTAATATCTAACTGAGATCAATCATGCTTGCTGAGGAAATGAGGCTAGCGTTCAGTATAGCAGAGAAAGTCCTTACTCCCATAAAACTTAGGGAAAATCCTATTTGACAAGAATACTGTAACAGCTATACTCTTTCTTTCACTTACAAGATAACTTTCAGAATCTACATATTGTTGGCATTTTCAACAGGCACACTTCAGGGCATTTTTATTTTTGGCAAGAATCAAAAATTCCCTGAAGCTTCATGGTAGGTCTGCATATGTCTTACCAAATGAAGACAAGATTAGACAGGAAGAGCACCCATGAGTTTAATGCTTGGAAACTCCCTGTGTACTTTAACTTATATTGGTCTTGCTTGGTCACTCAGATGAAGCAACTCTCTCTTCTCTATCTTAATACCAGAAAGATATATATGGCCTATGAAGGAAAACACTAATCTAGTATTAGTCTCTAGTATTTTTAGAGCAAAAACAATTCCATACACTTTTTTGTTTGCTTGTGTTCACCAAGTTTGACTATCTTTTTTTTTTTTTGAGACAGGGTCTCACTCTGTGACCTAGTGTGGAGTGCAGTGGCACTATTTCGGCTCACTGCAACTTCCGCCTCCCGGGTTCAAGTGATTCTCCTGCCTCAGCCTCCTGAGTAGCTGGGATTACAGGCATGTGTCACCACGCCCAGCTAATTTTTATATTTTTAGTAGAGACAAGGTTTCACCATGTTGGCCAGGCTGGTCTCAAACTCCTGACCTCAAGTGATCTACCGGCCTCGGCCTCTCAAAGTGCTGGGGTTACAGATATGAGCCACCATGCCTGGCCTATAGTTAATTTTGGTAAGAAAATTTGGTTAAGATACATAAGAGCTTATTGGTAGAGATGAGACATTAAGTTATATGGATTAGTGGAAGATAAGGGAAGGAAGAAAGATAAATGAATACTTACAGAACACCTACTATGTGCCAGGCACTTACACATATTTACAATTCATGAAAAGGATATTGTTCACCTTATTTCCACAGGTGAAGAAACAGGATCTTACAGTTTAAGATATATAATAAAGCAATAAAAGCCTACTCCTGGAGGGAGGCTTTCTTGATAGAATTATCTGCTTTTCCTCAAGGTCAGCAGTTCACCCGCTTTAAAGCCTCAGACAATCCTGAAGCAAACACAACTACTCCTCTATGGTGCTGGCAGACTTTGACTTGAAAAAATTTTGTTACTGAAAGTGCAAAGAATAAGAGATATTTATGAAGTTATTGTGCTCCAATAGAAAATAAAATAAACATAGTATTAGATATTAAGAAAAGTAAAACACACCAGAAAACATGAGATGCCTAACAGTGCTGGATCAGAAAGAAAAGGTATAGTTAGAGAAGAGGAACATTCTTTGAGAAATGGTCTTGAGAAAGCATGACAAGCATTAGAAACTAAGGTAGTGAGGTAAACTCCAGATCTTAGATCTCCAGAAACCTACTGCTGGTGATGAGTATACTTCCCATCAATTCCTTTTTCAAAATTCCTTTTTCACAATTTCTTTTTCAAAAAATCTTTAATCTCTAATTCTGCTTTCTGAAATATCTACATTTGGAAAATAAATTCTCTCTCTTAAGGCCAGTTGAGAGCTTATTTGACACTAGTACTCCTTGTAAAACATCATCTAATTTACAGCTATATAAAAGATACTGCTAATATATCACCTAAATCAATTTCAACCACATGAATTTATTGAACATGAATCCATAAAAAGTCACTCAACAAAATATTTATCAAGAGTCTACTATTTGTCAGACATTATTCCAGGTACTGGAGACACTGCATGGGGGAAAAAAAAAACACAAAAACTCTTGCTCTTAAATGTTATGGCAGGTTGTAATAAATACAATAAACATAAACAAAGAAAAGAAATAGAGAATGAAGAAAAGATGCCGCCTTATGTTGTGTAGTCAGGGAAGGCCTCACTGTTAGAGTCACATTTGAGCAAAGACTTGAATGGAGTGAGGGAGTATCGAGTTCTGTGGCTCTCTGGCATTAAGAGCTTGCTTGAGGAAACATCACATGTGAAAGTCCAGAGGTGACAATGTGCTTGGTGTGGAATAGTAAAAGGCCAATATGATTAAATTACAGTGAGGGAAGGGATAGTAGATGACCTAGGACTTTGATAAGAATTCTGAATTTTAAATTTAGTGAGAACAGAAGCCACTAGTAGGTTCTGACCAAAGAAATGACATAATCTGACTTAGGTTATAAAAGGATCACTTTGGCTATTACGCAGAGAATAGACATAAAGGTAGGGGTGGGAGTAGAAAGCCAATTAGAAGAATCTTGCTAAAGTACATGCAAAGATAATAATGGTGGCTTAGATTATTAGAATATTAGCAGTAGATGTGGGGATTTTTTTTTTTTTTTTTTTTTTTTTTTGAGACAGGGTCTCACTCTGTCACCCAGGCTGGAGTGCAGTGGCACAGCATGGCGGCTCACTGCAAGCCTCAAACACCTGGGCTCATGCAATTCTCTCAACTCAGCCTCCTGAGTAGCTGGGACCACAGGTGCATGCCACCATGCCTGGCTAATTATTTTATTTTTTGTAGAGATGGGGTCTCACATTGCCCAGGATGATCACAAACTCCTGGGCTCAAGCGATCCTTCCCCTTCAGCCTCCCAAAGTGTTGGGATTACAGGTGTGAGCCACTGTGCCCAGCCAAAAAATCATTCTATTTAAAGGAATTATTAATGGGATGAATGAGGGGTTTGGAGTGGGGCAAGAAGGATGACACTAATACTTTTAGCTTGAGTAATTCCAAGAATATAGTTGTCATTACTGAAATTGGGAAGATCAAAAGAGTAGCAAGTTTGGGAGGGAAAAATCAAAGGCTGAGTAGGTAACCAGGCTGGTCAGGAGATGAGTAGTGTACAAAGAGATTAAGAAAATATATTGAGTATGATGAAAGCCAGATTTATCAATGGTAAGGAAGATATTTACATACAAACATAGAAAGGGGGAAGGCTACAAAGAATCTTGAAGTATTGAACCTGCCATCAGACATCTCAATGTGAATTGATATCTATACATATACACACACACACACAGATATATACAGAAACAGATCTGGCTGTATGTATATGTAATAAAGATAGGAAAAAACTGAAGTGCTTTTTCTACCCTCACTCACCACTCAACACAATACTTCTGACTTCAGATGTGTGGGGACTTTCCCACATGCCAAGCAATTCCCTGGCAGATACCAGCTGGACATCCTCCAGTCCAATTCTGACACTCTCTTCCTGGAGAGCGTCAGGTCTCACAGACTGCTAACCCACAAGACTGCTCCCCACTTCAGATGCTAATTGGAAGTCTCAGGTTGTGACCTGTACTTCTGACCAACCAGCTAAAAATTGGCGTTCCTATGACACCTTTCTTAGGGTCGATTAGTTTGCTATAGTGGGTCACAGAACCCAAGGAAACATTTTATTTATACTTACTCATTTATTATAAAACATTATTACAAAGGAACAGATGAACAGCCAGATAGAAGAAATGCATAGGGCAAGGTATGGAAGAAGGCATGTGAGGCTTCCATGCCCTCTCTGGGTGGGCTACCCTCCAGGAGGCTCCCCGAACCCTGTCCTGGGTTTTTCATAGAGGCTTCATTTCATGGGCATAATTGGTTACACCACTGGCTAATGGTGATCAAGTCACCCTTTAAGCTCCTCTCTGAAGTAGGTGGGTGGGGTGGAGCTAAAAGTTCCAACCCTTTAATCATGTTTGGATCCCTTGGCAACCAGCCCCCATCCTGACGCTATTCAGGAGCCCACTAAGAGTTACTTCATTAAGACAAGATTCTCCTATGACCCAGGAAACTCCAAGGGATTTAGGAGCTCTGTGTCAGACACTCCTATCATTCAGGAAATCAGAAAGGTCTTAGGAGCCCTGTGACAGGAACTGGGGTCAGAGACCAAATATAGGAACAAAAGATTCTCTTAGTGCCCCTTATCTACAAGGGCTTTAGGAGCTCTGTGCCAGGAACTTGGGGGCAGAGACCAAACATGTATTTCAAATTATAATATTACAGTGCATACATACATATATTTCCTAGTTCTGCCCACTACGGACTCAAAGTAATAGCACACAGAAGCAATGAGCACACCAAGTGCTTAGTTTTTAAATATCATCCTCCACTAAAAGGAAACAGGGGTTCTTGGGGAAATAGTTGATTCCAGAATTGGGGCAAAGAAAGTACATGATAAGCCTGGAACATCCTGCACCAGAGAGGAAGTGCTCAGAGAACAATGGGGACATACTCCTATCAGTCAAGTATGGAGCAATTTGAGCGTAAAAATAAATAGTAAGAGTAACAAATTTCAATCCATTGAATAAAACAGAAATCCATGGACATAATGATATAAATAAATAAACAAGCACATAAATGGCAGAGAATAGAAACTTCTTCCTTCCATTAGAATGCCAACTAAGAAAAGTAGAAGAAATGATGAAAATAGAAAACCACCATTTGGCAACCATCATAAAGGTGGTTGATTCAGGAGGGTTTCATCAAAGTATGCTAAGGCTGGTGAGTGGAGGTCTGACAAGGAACAGGATATTGGCAGAGTCTCCCCACAAAATACTATTTGTCTCAATCTGTTGAGGCTGATACAAGAAATACCATAAACTGTGACTTATAATCAACAGGTTATTATAATCAACTTTGACTTATAATCAACAGCATTAATTTCTCTTACTTCTGGAGACTGAGAAATCCAAGATCAAGGCGCCAGCAGATTTGGTGTCTGGTGAGGGCCCACTTCCTGGATCATGGACAGTGGCTTCTCAAGTGGTGGAAAGGGCAAGAGGTCTCTCTGGGACTTCTTTTATAAGGGCACTAATTTTGCCCTCATGACTTAATCAAAGACCCCACCTCCTAATATTATCCCCTTGGGGGTCAGGACCTCAACATATGAATTTTGGGGAAACTTCAGACCATAGCACTATTGCATAGGGGAAAAATGATGATTTCATAGTGGAAAAAAAAAAAAAACCAACCCTAGAAGACACCAAATTGACTAGGTGACCAATATTAATATCACCAGGGGTGAGACAGTTTGACATCATGCACTTCTTCATGTGATACATAGAGAAGACACAGCATCATTTCTGAGGTATTTCTGCCAAGAATGCATGATCTGACAGACATCCAACAGAATCAAAGGACTCTAGTCTTTTTTTTTTTTTCTTCTTTTTTTTTATTATACTTTAAGTTTTAGGGTACATGTGCACATTGTGCAGGTTAATTACATATGTATACATGTGCCATGCTGGTGCGCTGCACCCACTAACTCGTCAGCTAGCATTAGGTATATCTCCCAGTGCTATCCCTCCCCCCTCCCCCCACCCCACCACAGTCCCCAGAGTGTGATATTCCCCTTCCTGTGTCCATGTGATCTCATTGTTCAATTCCCACCTATGAGTGAGAATATGCGGTGTTTGGTTTTTTGTTCTTGCGATAGTTTACTGAGAATGATGGTTTCCAGTTTCATCCATGTCCCTATAAAGGACATGAACTCATCATTTTTTATGGCTGCATAGTATTCCATGGTGTATATGTGCCACATTTTCTTAATCCAGTCTATCATTGTTGGACATTTGGGTTGGTTCCAAGGACTCTACTCTTTAAAACTGTCAAAGTCATAAAAGGAAAAAAACTGAGGAACTCTTCTAGATTGAAGGAGACTAAAGAGACATGGCAACTAGATTTAATAAATGATCCTGGATTGGATCTCAAGTCAGAAATAAAAAAGATATTTTTGGAACATCTCGTAAAAATGTGTATTGGGTCTGTGGTTTGGATGGTAGTATCTGCTGATGTTGATTTCCTGATTTGGATAGCTAGGTAAGGGAGTAATCTTGCATGGCGGATATAAATTCTGGAGTATTGAGAGGTGAGGAGGCATTATGTTCACGATTTGCTCTCAAATGGATCAGAAAAAGAATAATGATAATGGATATAGATATTTATATATACACAAGCACATAAATATATAGTGAGGGAGAGGGAACAAACAGAACAAAATGTTAACTGGGGCATATAGGAGTTTGTACTTTCTTGCAATTTTTCTACAAGTTTGGAATTATATAAACATAAATTATTTTAAAAAGTTAACATAAAAACCTATTCTTCATTTCTATTGAATGATAAATGTATACAATATCTGAATCTACAGATACATATATGTCTAAACACACGACTCTTACCTCACCATTTAACTACTTTAATGTACTCTGTTGTAATCTTAAAATATTTTGGCTTCATTTCACATGAAAACCTCAGCAATAAGTGTTCCCACTATTTTACAAAGGGGAAAGATGGCTTGCTTTAAATCAAGTCAGAGGAAAACCTTTGGAGCTAAGGACTAGAGTGCAAAAGTGACAAGTTCTGGCCAGGTGCAGTGGCTCATACCTGTAATCCTAGCACTTTGGAAGGCTGAGGCAGGCGGATCACTTGAGGTCAGGAGTTTGAGACCAGCCTGGCCAATGTGGTGAAACTCTGTCTCTATCAAAAACATAAAAATTAGCTGGGCATGGTGGTGCTGACCTGTAGTACCAGGTATTTGGGAGGCTGAGGCAGGAGAATCACTGGAACCCAGGAGGCGGAGGCTGCAGAGAGCTGAGATCGCACCACTGCACTCCAGCTGGGCAATGGAGCAAGGCTCCATCTCAAAAAAACAAAACAAAACAAAACAACAACAAAAAACAGTTGTTGGATTCTATATGTAAACACCACGGAACAAAATCTAATAAGTGAGTATTTCAATATTTTCCTATACTGATCCATCAGTTTCGACCTCAAGTTCACCAATTCCACTTTCTCCTTTTATTAAAAATCTACCTTCAGAGAAAGGTCTCTTATCTCCTTCCCAAGTTTTATCTATAGTCACTTAAAAGTAATCAGATTTAAGAAAAAAAGTTATCTATTTTAACCAAATCTCCCTAAGAAATAATCTTTTTAAAAGTTGAAAAAAATAAACAGTAACACAAAATTCAGACTCTTGTTTCATAAAAGGACATTCTAGTCTGCCAAAACAACTTACCCATTTCCATCTATGGAAACAGAAGCACTGGAATAGATAAGTCTCTCAATTATTTTCTTGCTTCGGCACTCCTACAGGATATTACATATACTCATCAGTAAGATATGTGTGTGTGTGTGTGTGTGTGTGTGTGTGTGTACATCCATGCGTGCATGGGACACACATCTCCTTACATATCAGAATCTTGGGAGGACAAGAGGAGAGACAAGCCACTTGAGATTCACAGGCTTAGATGGTCTGTATGATTCTGTCAATACTCTTTACCCATTTTAGAAATTTCAATCCTGGTTTCCCTGTTATTCTTTCTTTTCCACTTCATATATCCAGCAGTCTTTTTTTTTTTTTTTTTTTTTTTTTTTGAGACGGAGTCTCGCTCTGTTGCCCAGGCTGGAGTGCAGTGGCCCGATCTCGGCTCACTGCAAGCTCCACCCCCCAGGTTCACACCATTTTCCTGCCTCAGTCTCCCGAGTAGCTGGGACTACAGGCGCCCGCCACCATGCCCGGCTATTTTTTTTTTTTTGTATTTTTAGTAGAGACGGGGTTTCACCGTGTTAGCCAGGATGGTCTTGATCTCCTGACCTCATGATCCGCCCGCCTCGGCCTCCCAAAGTGCTGGGATAACAGGCGTGAGCCACCACGCCTGGCCCCACAGTCTTTTTAGTCAGAAAGGCTCAGTCTACTCTGAGACCGTCAATTTAGGGTTGCTTCTACAGTCAGTCAGGTGCCACATGAAATAAAAAGTCTCCACACAATGTGGGCTTGGTTTCAATAAATTGCTAAGATAGACATTTCAACGCACCTGCTCCCAATAGCTTTCTATGTGTTTACTGAAAGGAGCAATAGAAGTATTTAATATTAAATGTCAGGCACTGGTCCAACTGAGATCAAGACAGATCATGTACATTATATGCTGATGAGCAGAGGTAGAACTATACTTCAAATTTCCCTGATTTTAAGTTTCTAGGGTGTGTGTGTGTGTGTGTGTGTGTGTGTGTGTATGTGTGATATCAATATACCTCAGATATTTCAATGCACTGACCTCAGTCTAACTTTGAGGAAGATGGTTTTAAAAGCACAGATATATAGGAAGAAACCTACACACTTCAAACACATATTAATATAGGGTATTAATCTGTTCTGCACTGCTGTAAAGGAATATGTAAGGCTGGGTAGTCTATAAAGAAAAAAGGTTTGGCTCACAGTTCTGCAGACTGTACAAAAAGCACAGTGCCAGGATCTATTTCTGGTGAGGCTTCTGGAAGCTTACAGTCATAGTGGAAGGCGAAGGCAGAGCAGGCATGTCACAAGGGAGCAAGGTGGGAGGGGAGATGCCATGGCCAGTCTCATGTGAACTCACTCATTACTGTGAGGCGGGCACTAAGCGATTCATGAGGGATCCACCCTCATGACCCAAACACCTCCCATTAGATCTCACCTCCAACTCTGGGGATCACATTTCAACATGCAATTTGGAAGAAACAAATATCCAAACTATATCATATGGAATATATGCTCTAGTCTGCTGCTCCTTTGGATTTAAATGGATTCAAAGGCAGAGATCTGCTAGGTCAGGGGGCTTCAAATGTGGAGTCCATGTGCTGTCATTCACTCTTCTCACACCTATGACAGTGACTGATAATGGATTATGGCACTTGAGCCTAGCAGTTTCATAATACTTCTTGGTCCAGTGTTCCATGCAGCTGCTATTAATTTCTTACAACTGACACATAAACTGAAACCTATTTGCCATTCCCATTCCTTTAAAGTTACAAAGATTTCTAGTAAAATAGTATCCATTCTGTTAGCCACCAGAAAGTTCTCTCTGCTTTGATAATGTTGGGAGTTGATGTGGAGAAAGGGTATGGGGCAAGGGACAGGGCATAATAAAGAACCCCAGGGTGTGAAATACACTCTGATAATAAGAATACAGGTAAAGAAAGGCTTTAATAAAAAGAATTCCCAAGTTGTAGATAAGAAGACTGAGCCAGAAATTTGGGGGTGAAGACAGAGAAAGTAAATTATGCTTAGGGAAAGAGGCACACATACCTCTCACTTACTATGTTTTCCTACTTTTGATCTAAAGCACTTTTTAGTGGTTGCAGAGTAGGGTAAATAGAAAATGGTGACCTAGGAATGGGGAGGTAACACACATGTGAGGCTGCCTTAGCACTGCTCAAACCTAATGCTTTCCATCGCCAACATTGTGACTTTTCACCCTGTTTTTATTCTTTAATATTCAGTTTTAAAATGTGGTATCTGCCCTCCCAATTCTTAGCTGCTCTACAAGTATATCAAATCCAGGTGTTTCTAGGTCATTTTGAATTGTATTTCTCTGTATTTAGTACTTTTTGTTTGTTTTTTGAGACAGAGTCTCACTCTGTTGCCCAGGCTGGAGTGGGATCATAGCTCACTATAGCCTCGAACTCCTGGGCTCAAGCAATCCTCCCACCTCAGACTTCCAAGTAGCTAGGACTACAGATGTGTACCATCATGCCTGGTTTATTTTTAAGAAGTTTTTTGTTGTTGTTGTTGTTGTTGTTGTTGTTTTTAATAGATGGGGTCTCACTATGTTGCCCAGGCTGATATTGAACTCCTGGCCTCAAGTGATTCTCCCGTCTTGGCCTCCTAAAGTGCTATGATTACAGGCGTGAGCCACCATACCTGGCCTACTATTGTTTTAAATGCGGATGTGTAGTTCAGAAATGGATACTTTTGAGAAATGAATCTAAAGTGACTTGAAGACAGCAATTCCCTACCCTGTTTGCCCAAATCTTTCAGAGCAAGTTATTAAATATACTAGCCTAAAGCAAAATGCAATGATCTCTAAAGATTGCTGTCATTTTTGTTTATAGTTAATCACATGTCAAGAGAATCATCAATAGTCAAAAATATTTTATAGAATTATGTAACTTAGTTTATAAATTGCAAAGGTGAGTCTAGTGGTATGTAGTTTGTTTACTGTGACAACAAACATGTCACCCCTTTTCACTCTATTTCAACTCGATGTGTAAATGCCACATTTCGTAACAAGAAAGCTCTTGGAGAAAAGAAGTTGTATTTGTTTCATCTCTGCATCCCTGAAAGTATCTAATACATTTAGATAACCCTTAATAAGCATTGTTATTGAAACCTAAGAATTCCATTGAAATATTCAATTCTAGATCTTCAATTTTAGTCTTAGAGTTTCTTCTAACTGAAGACAGTAATAAGTTTATTTAGTATATGGCAGAGGTTCTCAAGGTAAGATCAAGGGACCACTGGGGGGAATCTCTGAGACCCTTTTAGGGGACCTGTGGGGTCAAAGTTATTTTTATAATACTAAGACATTGTCTGCCCTTTTAACTCCCACTCTTTCACAAGTATGTGGTATAGTTTTCTAGAGGCTGAATAACGTGATGATGCAATCGCTCTGACAGCTAATGAAATCTGTACTTGGGCATTCTTGTGTCTCTAAATTTTCTCAGTTTAAATTTCAAATACATTAAATACCAATAAGTATAACCTACATCAACAAAAGCTCTTTGATTCCTCAATAATTTTTAAGAGTGTAAAGAGGTCCTGAGACAAAAACGTTTGAGAACCTCTGGTATAAGCGATTGATATTCACTGTAAAAAGAACAGGAGTTTACAAAATATACTTTATATAAACTAAGTGATTTTTGAGATGTTTTTCTTCAACCATTGTCAACTAAGGATATGAACTAAATTCCCCCTTTTTTTTTTAAACTAAGAATGTTCTTTATGTAAAACAAATGACAGAGAGGTAAGCTTAATGTGATTTCCTATCAAATTCTGGAAAAGATGGTTAAACAAATAGCTTTGTAATTTAAAAAATACCAATAATCATCAGGAGCCAGCACAGGTTAAAATAAAAAAAAAAATCACACCAAAATGATATCACAAAGGTCCCTCCTATTTTTTTTAAGCAATTAGAGTCAATAGATTACAGAACTGCCACAAAAGTTAAATATCTTGATTTCAGCAGGCATCAGTGGAAGTGACTCTGGATGAGTGACAGTATTACACAGTGGTTAAGAGAAGGCACACTGGAGCCAGACTGGTTGAGTTCAAACTCCAGTTCTACCACTTAACTGCTTACCTGTGTGAGCTGGCAAGTTACCTCTCTATGCCTTGGTTACCTCTTTGGTAAAAGAGGGATAATAATAGCACCTACTACAGAGAGTTGGTAGGCTAATGAAAGCAAATTATTTAGATCAGTGCCTAGCATATACTCAGTACTTTACGTGTGTTTTTAAAAAAATATTGTCTTTGTTTCACTGATGTATTTCAAATATCCAGAACAGTGTTAGGCCCATAGTAGACCCTCAATAAAAATTTTAAAATTAAATAACATCTTATTAATAGCAATAATGATGATGACTACTTTTCCATTTACTATGTGCTTACTATATACCTGGCAAAGTAGTGAGCATTTACTACGCACTATCTCATTTAGATTTCCTAAAGCAATCTGGGATACTTACTAGCAGCCTCATATTACAGATGAGCTAAGTGAGGCATACAGAAGGGAAATAATTTTCCCAAGGCTGCAAAACTGGTAAGCAGTGAAACCAGGAGTCAAACCAAATTTGCCTTGCTCAAAAAAACTTCTCTTCTTTAGCCATTATGCTGTGTGTGATTAAGAACAAGACTGAAAAAAATGTGGATTGGATCAGCAGCCCCCAACCTTTTCGGCACCAGGGACCAGTTTCGTGGAAGATAATTTTTCCACAGATGGGTAGGGTGGGGTGGTTTTGGGATGAAACTGTTCCACCTCAGATGATCAGGCATTAGATTCTCATAGGGAGTGTGCAACTTAGATTCTTCACATGCGCAGTTCACAATAGGGTTCTTACACCTATGATAATCTAATTCTGCTGCCCATCTGACAGGAGGTGGAGCTCAGGCAGTAATGCTCACTGGCCCTCGGCTCACCTCCTGCTGTGCGGCCTGGTTCCTCACAGGCCATGGACTGCTGAGGTCCAAGGCCCTGGGGTTGGGGACCCTGGATTAGATGACAACTCTGTGTCATGAATAGATTTCACAGTTGAATAACAATGGCTAATTAATAGATGGGTAAACTTGGAAGTAGATCTTTACTTACCAAGTAACCAGAGGGCTCTATCCATTTCAATGACTTAACTAATCCCTGAAGGAATAAATAGTAGGAAAGCCTATCAAATTTATGGATGATACAAACATGGATAATATAGTTAATATTATGGATGACACAATCAGCATTCAAATATTTCTCTAAAGATTGAAATGATGTAACAGAAATCAAGAGAATTACTTTTAAAGAAACAAAAACAAATATATCCTGACTATAAAAAATCAGTGCAATATGTACAGGAAAATGAACAACTGGTTGATGGTTCCAATCTTATGTTCTCATCACATCGAATCATGTACTATTGTCTTTGCACTGGCTCTTCCCTTTGCTTAAGATGTCATTATAACTCTTCTTTGATGTCATTATACCATCTATCTTTTAAGACCCAACACAAATGTAACCACGTCTGAGAAGTCTTCTTTACTCCCTGAGATGGGGTTGGTTATTCCTTCCCCTTTGTGCTACTACCACACTGTGTACATGCCTCTAACAGTACACATCTGCCTTCTTCATTCCTTAAGGGCAAGGGCTGTGTTTTTGTTGCCTTTTCGTCTGGAGTCTAGCAGAGTTCCTGACATACAGTAAGCACTCTCTTCATGTTAACTTCTATCATCATCATCAGCAGCAGAATCTTCTGCGTTAACTTCCGAATCTACCTCTTTCTCCTTTACAACCCACAGCCCCAGGTCTTTATGGTAATAGCCTTACTGGTATTCTTGCTATTAGTATCTGCCTTTCATATTGCTGCCAGAGTAATCCTTCCAAACATGTAAATTTGATCATTTCACTTTTTTTTTTTTTTTTTTGAGATGGAGTCTTGCTCTGTTGCCCAGGCTGGAGCGCACTGGCAGGATCTCGGCTCACTGCAAGTTCTGCCTCCCGGGTTCACGCCATTCTCCTGCCTCAGCCTCCCGAGTAGCGGGGACTACAGGCGCCCGCCACCACACCCGGCTAATTTTTTGTATTTTTAGTAGAGACGGGGTTTCACTGTGTTAGCCAGGATGGTCTCAATTTCCCAACCTCATGATCCGCCCGCCTTGGCCTCCAAAAGTGCTGGGATTACAGGCATGAGCCACCGCGCCTGGCCAATCATTTTACTTCTTAATTCAAAGGTCTTTGATAGATCCCCATTGCCTGTAGAACAATTCTTAACAGTGGATACAACCCCATTCATATAACTTCCTAGAATCCAGCCTCATCTCTTGCTACACTCCAGCTGTACATTATACTGTAGAAATATTGAACTACTTCTATCTGTAGCCCAGAATTATTGTTGCCTCTATACTTGGAAAGTTCTCCATTTGCCTGTCTTCCAGGAAAACTAAATTTGATTCAATTCTATGAATTTTTACTGAGCGCTCTTCTATGCACTAAAACACAGTAGGAAACAATACACAGTTCCTCCTTTCAATGCCTTACATTCTACCAGGTGAGACAAAATAAGTCTTAACTTAAAAGCTACTTCTATAAAGCCTTTTGTGACTTTCCTTCTATTTCCTATGTTCTAATTACATTTGTACATACTGCCATTATAGTATTTTTTTAAAACTCAATATTTTCATGTATTTATTTCTGAAACTTTTTGTTAAAGTATAACATGTAAATGTGACTCTTCATAAGTCTTCAATGTGATTATACTTGGGTAATTACCATCCAGATCAAGATTTAGAGCATTTCCAACACCTCAGAAGGCACTCTTTCCCATTCTATGTACACCCCTCACCCAAGATAACCATTGTTCTGACTTCTATTAGCACAGATTAGTTTTGCATGTTCTTAAGTATATAAATAGAATCACACAGTATGTCATCTCTTGTGATAAGATTCTGTTGCTCTACCTCATGACCAGGATTAATCCATGCTGTGTGTAATACAGTCATAAAACAGAACACAATACTGGAGGGGAAATGAATGAACTACAGTTCTATGTATCAATATAGATACAATCTCAAAAATATAAACATCGGCAGGAAACATGATTCTATTCACATAAAGTAACAATGAGGCAAGAGAAGAAGATAAACAACATTGTTTATGGATAAATTCCTGTGTAATAAAACAATAAAGAAAAGCATGGGAACATTTAATATAACTACCAGCGTGATGGATACATCTACAGGGCAAGAAGGAAGATGTTCACTTTATTATTCTTCTTTGAACTGAGCCTTTTTTTTTTTTCAGTTGGTCTCACTCTGTCGCCCAGGAAGGAGTGCAGTGGTGCGATGTCGGCTCACTGCAACCTCTGCCTCCCGGGTTCATGCAATTCTCCTGTCTCAGCCTCCTGAGTAGCTGGGATTACAGGTGCCCGCCACCACACTCAGCTAATTTTTGCATTTTTAGTAGAGACAGGGTTTCGTCATGTTGGCCAGGCTGGTCTTGAACTCCTGATCTCAAGTGATCCTCCTGCTTCGGCTTCCCAAAGTGCTGGGATTACAAGTGTGAACCACCACACCCGGACTAAACTGAGCATATTACTTTGTTATACTAATACGGGAATTACAGCATTTATTCTTACAAAATACTTACTTGCCTGCATAGCTTCACTGCAAGCTCCCTGCAAAGAGACTGGTTTTTCATTTTTGTGTCCCTAGTACTTAATGATGCAAACAGATTCCTGCATGAATACATTCAACAGATATATATGTCAGTTACTGTGCTAGATTCCAGGGATACAATTGTGAGCAGAAAACACAATTTTGCTTTCATGAAGTTTATAGTACACTAAAGGTAGGAGGAAAAGGCAAAGAGACAATACAATCAGGTATATAATTATAAATTACAAGGATTATTTTGAAGGAAAAAAACCTGACGCTAGAAGAAAATATAATAGAGGAATATGATATAGTTTGAGGAAGGATTCCCTAAAGAAGTAGATTTGGACTGGGATGTGAACCCTGATTATGAGTTAAGAAAGTGGCCGGGCGCGGTGGCTCACGCCTGTAATCCCAGCACTTTGGGAGGCTGAGGTGGGCGGATCACGAGGTCAGGAGATTGAGACCATCCTGGCTAACACAGTGAAACCCCATCTCTACTAAAAAAATACAAAAAATTAGCCGGGCCTGGTGGCGGGCACCTGTGGTCCCAGCTACTCAGGAGGCTGAGGCAGGAGAATGGCGTGAACCCGGGAGGCAGAGCTTGCAGTGAGCTGAGATCGCGCCACTGCACTCCAGCCTGGGCGACAGAGCAAGACTCTGTCTCAAAAAAAAAAAAAAAAAGTTAAGAAAGTAAATGAGGATAGTGAAGAGAGGGATTGTTTTAGGCAGTAAGAGCAATATGTAAAAAGACCCTTGTGTAGTGGGGGAAATAGATGAGAATAGAGATAGGCTGGTAACAGCCGAAAAGTGGAAACAACCCAAATGCCCATCAACTTTTGAATGGGTAAACAAAATATGGTATATCCATATCAATATGACTATTATTCAGGTACAAAAAAAAATAAAGTACTATTACTAATATATGCTACAACATGAATGAACCTTGAAAACATGCAAAGTGAAACAGTCTAGACACAAATGGGCCACATATTGTATGATTCCATTTATATGAAATGACCATTAAGAGGAAAATTCAGAGACAGAAAGCAGATTAGTGGTTGCCAGGAACTAGGGAGTAGGGAGAACACAAAATGACAGCCAATGGGGTATAGAGCTTTTTTGGGGGATAACAGAAATGTTCTGGAATGAGATAGTGGTGATGGTTGTACAACCTAGTAAATATAATAAAACCACTGAATTTTACATTTTAAAACGGTGAGTTTTATGGTATGTGAATTATATCTAATTTTTTTTAAAAAGAAGTGGGCAGAGAGGCTGGGTGCGGGTGGCTCATGCCTGTAATCTCAGCACTTTGGGAGGCCGAGGCGGGCGGATCACGAGGTCAGGAGATTGAGACCATCCTGGCTAACGCGGTGAATCCCCATCTCTACTAACAATACAAAAAATTAGCCGGGTATGGTGGCGGGCACCTGTAGTCCCAGCTACTCAGGAGGCTGAGGCAGGAGAACGGCGTGAACCTGGGAGGTGGAGCTTGCAGTGAGCCGAGATCGCACCACTGCACTCCAGCCTGGGCAACAGAGCAAGACTCTGTCTCAAAAAAAAAAAAAAAGAAGTGGGCAGAGAACAGAGCATATAAGGCCTTTGGAATTATCTTGAGGTTTTCCAATTTTATCCTAAGGGCGATAAGAAGCCACTGAAGGTTTTATGTAGGGTACAATGTAGATGCTCCAAAATTACTTTCTGAACAAATGAAAATAATTACAGATAAATAACACTGGTACTCTGTCCTTAAGACTGATAGATCTTTGCCTTTTAATTTGAAACTATAATTTATCATTCTGTTTCCTAGAAAATACCTTCAGGTTGACCTAAGCTTTTGTTCAGAAACGGTTACTCCTCTCCAGAGGCTATTTTTCAGATGTGCTATCTTACCTGTAGTTATGTCTTGATGTCTCATTGAAAGATAATCCATGAGGACTAACCAGGGCTGGGATTCCAATACATAGGATCAGAATAACTGTGGCACATGTATCTTAATGGAGAGCCCTGAAGAGGAACTCTTCTTGCCAAATAATACATATTTCCAATTATGCTGACAGATGATAAATTACAATATCCATAAATGGGGGGTTATTCTGATTTCCAAAATGATAGTGCTGGCATGGAATTTCAGAAGCCCTGCAAACTTTCTCTGTTCTTGGCAGGGTTAAAGGCTATAAACTATATACCCCATGAGCATAAGGCCTGCTTACAGAAGTCAGGATGCTCTGACCAGTCATCCTCACTCCAGAGACCAGCAGTGCTTCTGTGTACCCAAGGTTCATCCTTTGACCAACACTTCTCCTTGGTGCTTTAATGGTTTTATTATAGTAACATTAAAAGATATTTCTATAAATTGGTAAACAAAACAAAAATAAAACCCAGTTATCCTTTCCTTCAAAACTGATAGGTAATAATATTAAGGCTTTGTCCAGTGATTCATCTTATATGAAAAACATGGTTTTAATGATATACACACATATATACATATGCTACTACCTTTCATATAGATTTTCTTTGAAATCAATTTAAAATAGTATACCTGGGGTATCACTTAGGTGGCTGGTCTTCTCAGACTCCAGATGTCTCCTCCTCATTGTCAGCACTAAGTTAATACTTGAACTGTCCAGTGTAGCCATGTCAAAATCAGTGTTAACAGTCTACCTACTCCCTTCAAAAACCTTATGAGAGACGGAGCTGCATTCCAATGTTTATTATCTTCACCTACAGACTTTCTCCCTCTTGGATCATGTTAGAATGGTTTCATTTAATTTAATTTGGCTTTAAGTTATTTATATCAGGAATAAAAATCGGATTAGAACTGTGCAGAAAAGCTAGTTGGCATTTAGGTTTTGCCACCTCAGTTAATTTTTTAGAGTATGTGTCTGAGAAAGAAAGAGAAAAACACTGAGAGGGACAGAGACAAAAAGATGAATCTTTGTCTTAATTTTTTGAGGGTAGAGAGTATTTGTCCCATTTCCTTACTTCTTTGTGTGCCTTGCACAAAGTGGAACTTTAGGCAAAATTATCCTCCTTTAAGACACCACAGAATACAAGAAGCATCGAAGATATAAAAAACATTAAAAGACTAGAAAAAAGCCCAAATGTTAGAATCAATGAAATACGGTATGTTTTGACTAGTTAATTTAATAAGAAAACAAATAAAATGGCTTAACATGCAATTAAGTCAGAAATTATAAAGCCATGTCTGAAAATAGAGTTCAGCAAACTCCACACTATGTTATTTGTGATAAAGAAGCAAAATTCTTAGGCTTAAGTGATTTATTGGATGAAGTTTAAACACACACATTGGTTATGCTAGGTACAACACGACCAAATACACACAAGTGAGACCTGACCCTCATTATTACAGGAATAGGGGACTGGGCTCAGAAAAAGACTTGTCTGTGGCCAGGGACTATTTTAATCTGTGACTAAGCACCTCAGTGATGGAATATCATCTTTATTGTATTTTGTGACATGATTACATCAGCCTGAGAACCACAATCAACAGTCATCAGAATACCAGTAAAATGAACCCAACTTGCTGTTTCAAAGTGGTTTGAAAAAGAAAACTAGAGGGAGGTACTTGATAAATGACTGATAAAGCAAGAAAACTCACTAAAGCCACAAATGGCTAAGAATGTTGAACAGATAATACATATACCACTTCCTTTCTTAACCCCAAAATTAATGCTAACAGTGCTCACCACCTCAAGTTTTTAACCAACAATAAATATTACAGAATCTAAGAACACTACCAAAACCTAACAGTCTACAATCCAGTGAGTAAAAATACTTACAATTCTAATGTATGAAAATTGTCTTTTATCTAAAAGCCCTACAATAAAAGGTAATGGAAAAATATCATGTGTTATAGAAAACTGCATTTAAAACTAAGATAACAAATAATCATGTGTTCACATTTTAACCTGGTTGGTTTTAAAAAATCAAAGCTACTTTAGTGGCATTTTAGAATTCTTTCCTCAAGGTCAAATTTTTTTCAACCTCACTTAAAAACTATTGCTAGCACTCTCATGGCTCTCTCCAAGATTAATGGAGCCACTGGTTTCTTCTGTGCATTACTTTCACTCCCCTTTTCATAAAAGTCCATCCCTGTGAAATGCCACTGTCTGCTGCCACAGCCTGCCGACATCCCACTCACATACAAAGCCTGGTGAGATGCGAATTCTTCTATGAAGAAAAGACTTCCATGAAGAAAGGCCGCTGAACCTCTCCTTTCTCACTCATTTAACACCAATTTTGGGGTTAGGTATACAAAATGGGACAAAACATACCCCTAACCCCCACTGCCCTCATATTTGCCTTTGGAACCCAACCACAACATTGTGAGAAAGGCAATACCAAGAAGCCAAGTGCAGAAGCTCCAGCTGACAGCCTCGGGAAGGTCTGAGTCAATAGGCAGCATTAATGAGAAACGTGAGATAGCAAGCCCTCAGAATTCAACCTTCACATTTGAGTTTCTCTAGCTGATGTGAGTGGTACGGAGATAAGTTATCCCTACTGACCCCCCTGCCCAAAGTATAGACTTGAAGGCAAACTAAATGCTGTTGTTTTAAGCCACTGAGCCTTACAGTCATTTGTCATGCAGAGTAACACTATAAGTAACTGGAACAGGTCAAAATATAAAAATCAATCATATGTTTATATATTAATAAAAAGAACTGAAAGGAAAAATTAAAACCTAAATGTTACAGTAACATTGAGAAATATGAAATGCTTAGGAATAAATTTAACAAAATACGTGAAGACTGCTGAAGTAGACAGAACTATAAAATGATCCCAGTGACCCTTGCCCTTGTATAATCCCCTTTCCTTTGAGTGTCAGTAGAACATAATCACTCTTGTGATTATGCTACGTTAAATGGCAAAAGGGAGATTATCTGCGATTACCTAATCACATGAATCTTTAAAAGCAGAGTTTTCTCTAGCTAGTAGCAAAAAAGTCAGAAATTCAAAACATGAACAGGACTGGACACACTACTGCTGGCTTGGTAATGGAGAATTATGTACAAAGGACCTGAGAGCACCTCTAGGAGCTGAGAATGACCCCAGCCTACAGCCAGCAAGAAAACAGAGTTAAGTCCTACAACCAGAAGGAACTGGGTTTTGCCAACAACCTGAATGACCCTGGAAGGAGATTCTTCCCCAGAATCTCCAGATAAGAATGCAGCCAAGGTGACATTTGGATTTTGGCCTTGTGAAACCCTAAGCAGAGAACCTGGCTAAGCCTACTTGGACTTCTGACCTACAGAACTGTGAGATAATAAATGGAGGTAGTTTAAAACGTCTAAGTTTGTGGTGATTTGTTACATAGCAACGGAAATCAAATATAACTGCAAAGGAACGAGAGATAAAAGTTTGGGAGGATAGAAATATTCTAGATATTGATTGCAATTATGATAGTGACAATATGGTTATACATATTTGTCAAAACTCAACCAACCCTATTTTAAAATAGATGCATCTTATTGTATATTAATTGTACCTCAATAAAATTGATTTAAAAAGAGTTAATCTCTTTAAAATTTTCTTCTTATGCCTCTTGTCACCCTATACAATACTCTCGTTAATAGTTTTATGTATTCTCTGCTTCAGTACCCCTCATCTATTGTTGATTCTCCAGCCCAAGACATTAAATTAAACTCTGAAATGAGAATATTCAATTACCTGTTAGACCTGTCCACTGAAGGATGTGAACTGATTACCATGTTTTGATTTATATTTTTATGAGTTTACCTCAAAAAACTCTAAAATTAAGATCATCTAGGTAAAGCTTAGACCTCTATAAGAAATTTGGTAGTTGGAAAATCCTGTCTTAGAACATTTCTTTCCAAACTATATTTCAAGGTGCCCTAGTATTCAGCCTGATGCCTTAGGAACCATGGGAAAGTAGAGGATGTCACAGGCAGGTATAGGGAGTGGGGAAAACACACAAAGAGGAAACAGGCTCACAAACTTTAACCAAATAACTTCCCTTTTATCTGCTTTATATATAAAGATTCCATGTAGGAGTTTGTTTTAAAAAGTTGTTCAACTGCTAAAAATATTTCGAAATAATTACTTTAGAAGTTTGGTAAAGACTTACAAGAAGCATCCTAATTTTATCTTTCTGAGTCACAGGGAACCAATCATAAAATAACCAATGTAGCAGGGAAAGAATCTATTACCCCATATTCCATAAGCCCCTTGTGGGCGGCACCAGAGAATAACCTTGTTTCTGGCTCAATGACAGTATGGATCACATCCAATTCATCTCTGTATCACCAAGTGCCTATCACCTAGTACAAACTCAAATGCTTCCCGAGCTTCAAATGATATGCAAACAATGCTGAAAGGTACAATAAAAGGATTGTAAGCTGGCACTCTTTTGTACAGCTTCTAATGCATACCACTTCTAGGTATATTCCCTTAAGAATCTCTAGCACAAGTGAGCCAGGGAGAATGTACAAGACTGTTGATAACAGCACTGTTTGTAACAGTAAAACAATAAACAACTAAAATTTCCATTAAGAAAATGGGTAAGTTATGGCCGGGCGCGGTGGCTCATGCCTATAATCCCAGCACCTTGGAGGCCAAGGCAGGCGGATCACCTGAGGTCAGGAGTTCAAGACCAGCCTGACCAACATGGAGAAACCCCGTCTCTACTAAAAATACAAAATTAGCTGGGTGTGGTGGCATGTGCCTGTAATCCCAGCTACTCAGGAGGCTGAGGCAGGAGAATCACTTGAACCCAGGAGGCAGAGGTTGTGGTGAGACGAGATCGTGCCATTGCACTCCAGCCTGGGCAACAAGAGGAAAGCTCCATCTCAAAAAAAAAAGAAAGAAAAGAAAAGAAAAGAAAATGGGTAAGTTATTTATGATATATATATACAATGAAATACTATATAGCAAAGATAACAAAGAAAGTTAAAAATTCATACAAATGAATCTCAACAAATACAATGTTGAGTGAGAAAAATGCAAGTTGCATAATATCACAGGGCATGATACTATCTAAGACAACACTATCTATTGTCAGAGTGGTAGTTACAATCTGTTGAACATAAGGGAGATGTTTTGGGAGGGGTCACCTGGGAGATTTCCACTGTACTGAGAGTGTTTCATTTTTGAAGCTTGGTGGTTGGGTAAATGGGTACTCATTTTATTATTTTCAGCATATTTATATAGTTAGAACATTCATAACACAGTTTTTAAAGTTCTATACCAAGGGTGGGCAAACTAAGGCCTGTAGGCCAAATCCAGCCCATCATCCAGCTTTGTAAGTAAAGTTTTACTGGAACATAGCCACATTCATGGCTGCACTGCAACAGCTGAACTGAGTAACCACAACACAGAAGCCTATTTATTATCTGTCCCTTTACAAGAAATGTTTGCCAACCTCTGTTCTTTAACAAGATATAAGTAAAGACCTAGAGTGCAAATGAAGGAGCAATTAATTGTGAAATAATCAAATATAACCAAGTGGTTACTGGGAAAAATGACCAGCAGAGTTGATAACAGACAGGTAAGGGCGGGGGGCGGGATGGAAGAAAACAAAGTTTTGGTCCATTTTCTGTTGCTATAACAGAATACCACAAACTGGGTAATTATAAACAACAGACGTTTATTTGGTTCATGGTTCTCGGGACTGGGAAGTCCAGGTGTAGGGGCCTGTATCTGGCAAGGGCCTTCACGCTGTATCATCCCATGGTAGAAAGCAGAAGAGCAACAGAACACAAGAGGGAAAGTGGAAAGGGGCCAAACTTTTCCTTTTATCAGGAACCCACTCCTGTAATAAATAACTCACTCTCACAACAATGGCAATAATCCATTCATAAGGGCTCTGCCCTCATGACCTAATGACCTTTTAAAAGTCCCACTTCTCAGTATTGTTGCATTGGGAATTAGGTTTCCAACACATGAACTTTAGAGGACACATTCAAACCATAACAAGTAAAAACAAAATAAGCTTTAGAGCACTGCTGTTCAACAGAGTTTTCTAAGATGGCAAAAATGTTCTATATCTGCACTGTCCAACATGGTAGACACTAGTCACATGTGGCCTTTAAGCATTTGAAATATGGCTACTGGGACTGAGAAACAGAATTTTAAAATGCATTTATTTTTAGTTACTTTCAGTATTCACAAGTACCAGTGGTAAAGGCACAAATATGAATAATTAAAGGGCAGGCTGCAGACAGATTTGAGAATCATATGGTATTTATGGGAACTGAGTCAAATGATTACTCTCTCCAAGAAAGAGGGCATTAAAAAAAAAAGGATATAAAGCAAGAGAAGCAGAGATTTAACAGAATTAAAGCAGAATTAAGCAGAATTTAATAGAATTGAAGACTTCCATGCTAATTAATTAAGTAAACAGACATTAGGTGAATCAGAGGTACAAGAGCTAGAGACGACAGAGAAACCAGAAGAGCCACAACTCAAAATAAAAAAGATGAGTTATATACGCCTACATATGAATGAGGAAGATTTTTGGAATTAATGCTTAGCCAGAAAAACCGAAAAAGAACTTGGCTTTCTGTTCCTGGCTTATTTCACTTAACATAATGTCCTCTAGGGTCATCCATGTTATTGCAAATGACAGGATTTCAATCTTCTTTATGGCTGAATAATATTTCATTGTGTATATATACTACATTTTCTTTATCCATTTATCCACTGACGGACATTTAGGTTGATTCCACATCTTAGCTATTGTGAATAGTGCTATAAGACATCTCTTCAACATACTGATTTCCATTCATTTGGATATATATCCAGCAGTAGAGAGTAGATTGGTGGTTACCAGAGGTTGGGAAGGATAGGAAGGTGGGGCCAATGAGAGGTTGGTTAATGGGTATAAAATTACAGTCAGATAGAAGGAATACATTCTACTGTTTAATAGCACAGCAGGGTGACTATAGTTAACAATAATTTATGGTATATTCTAAAACAGGTAGGAGAGAAGATTTGGAAATGTTCTCAACACTCCATGATATATAATAAATATTTGAGATGATGGATATCTCAATTACCCCCATTTGATCCTTACACATTGTACGCATGCATCAAAATATCACACATACACTATAAATATATAGTTATTATGTATCAATTTTAGAAAGGATTTGTATATTAATGTTTTTCTCTTCATTTGATCAAAAAAAGTCTGCAAAAGATAAGTCAAATTATATTTTCTAGATTTCTGCCATACAGAAAGATGTTTATCTTTTATTACTTCACCAAATTATCAACTAGTCAATGTATGTTTGGCTTCCACTGAAGAAATATTTGTCTAGAAATAAATCCTATTAAGAATTACTAAGCTTTTAAAAAATCTTCCATTAAATTGACGTTTGTTCTCTTTTCTACTATGACACACTGTATCTCATTCTTCCTCATCCAAACCACAAAGAAAATATTTCACAAGCTTCTAAAAAATGTTAGTTCATATATTGCACAAGAACATGCTATGAAAAAGGAACATGTGAGGAACAAATTATCTCACCACAAACCAGCTGAGTTGATTTCTGTAGATTTGATGAAATCAGTTATCTGATTTCCAGGGTCTAGCAATAGTTTTTTGTTTGTTTGTTTTAGTTTAGAGTTTAAAGAAATCTGCCTAATAATATACAGACAGAGAAAGATATATTCAGTATCTGCTCTAGTAACTACTGGCATAAGAAATAAATAGTATTTCTTGGGGAATCTGTCCAAATACTTGTATTTAGATATCAACATGAACTTATTCTTTTTATTTCCTTTTTTTAAGAGATGAGGTCTCACTTTGTCACCCAGGCTGGAGTGCTGTGGCAGGATCATAGCTCACTGTAGCCTTCAATTCCTGGGCTCAAGTTATCTTCCCACTTCAGCCTCCTGAGTAGCTGGGACTACAAGCACGTGCTAATTTTTAAATTTTTTTGTAGAGACAAAGTCTCACTATGCTGCCCAGGCTGGTCTCAAACGCTTGGACTCAAGTGATCCTCCCACCCCCGCCTTCCAAAGTGCTGGGATGACAGGTGTAAGCCACTGTGCCAGGCCTGATCTTATTCTTCAGAATAATTAGGCTGGGGAAAAGAAAACTGGAGGAATCACATTACCTAACTTCAAATTATACTACAGAGCTATAGTAACCAAAACAGTATGGTACTGGCATAAAAATAGACTCACAGACCAATGGAACAGAAGACAGAACCCAGAATCAAATCCATACATCTACAGTGAACTCATTTTCAACAATGGTGCTAAGAACATACACTGGGGGAAAAGTGCTGGGAAAACTGGACATCCATATGCAGAAGAATGAAACTAGACCCCTATCTCTCACCATATACAAAAATCAAATCAGAATGAATTAAAGACTTAAATCTAAGACCTCAAACTATGAAACTTTTTTTTTTTTTTTGAGACAGAGTCTTGCTCTGTTGCCCAGGCTGGAGTGCAGTGGCATGATCTCGGCACACTGTGACCTCCACTTCCCGGTTCAAGCGATTCTCCTGCCTCAGCCTCCTGAGTAGCTGGGACTACAGGTGCCCACCACCACACCTGGCTAATTTTTGTATTTTTAGTAGAGACAGCATTTCACCATATTGGCCAGGTGGTCTTGAACTCCTGACCTTGTGATCCACCTGCCTTGGCCTCCCAAAGCGCTGGGATTACAGGTGTGAGCCACTACACCCAGCCCAAAACTATTAAAATAAAGCATTGGGGGAAATTCTCTAAGACACTGGACTGGGCAAAGATTTCTTGAGTAATACCCTGTAAGCACAGGCAATCAAAGCAAAAATGGACAAATGGGATCACATCAAGTTAAAAAACTTCTGCACAGCAAAGTAAACAATCAACAAAGTGCAGAGACAGCCCATGGAATGGTAAAAAATATTTGTAAATTATCCAGTTGACAAGGGATTAATAACCAGAATATATAAGGAGCTCAAACAACTCTATAGGAAAAAAAAATCTAATAATCTGATTTTTAAAATGAGCAAAAGCATCATCACTGGCCATCAGAGAAATGCAAATCAAAACTACAATGAGATACCATCTCACACCAGTTAGAATTTTAGTATATGTGCTGCCGAAGCGAGCACGCTCTCACACCAGTTAGAATGGCAATCACTAAAAAGTCAGGAAACAACAGGTGCTGGAGAGGATGTGAAGAAACAGGAACACTTTTACACTGTTGGTGGGACTGTAAACTAGTTCAACCATTGGGGCGATTCCTCAAGGATCTAGAACTAGAAATACCATTTGACCGAGCAATCCCATTACTGGGTATATACCCAAAGGATTATAAATCATGCTGCTCTGAAGACACATGCACATATATGTTTACTGCAGCACTATTCAAAATAGCAAAGACTTGGAACCAACCCAAATGCCCATCAATGATAGACTGGATTAAGAAAATGTGGCATATACACCATGGAATACTATGCAGTCATAAAAAAGGATGAGTTCATGTCCTTTGTAGGGACATGGATGAAGCTGGAAACCACCATTCTGAGCAAACTACAGCAAGGACAGAAAACCAAACACCACATGTTCTCACTCATAGGTGGGAATTGAACAATGAGAACACTTGGACACAGGGTGGGGAACATCACACACTGGGGCCTGTCATGGGGTGGGGGGAGCGGGGAGGGATAGCGTTAGGAGATATACCTAATGTAAATGACGAGTTAATGGGTACAGCACACCACATGGCACATGTATACATATGTAACAAACCTGCACATTGTGCACATGTACCCCAGAACTTAAAGTATAATAAAAAAAGAAAAATAAATAAATACATAAAAATAAAAAATAAAAATGAGCAAAAAATCTGAATAGACATTTCTCAAAAAAAGTCATATAAATGGCAAGCAGGCATATAAAAAGGTGCTCAATATCATTGACCATCAGAGAAACATAAATCAAAACTATAATTAGATAGCATGTCAT
Source organism: Homo sapiens (assembly GCF_000001405.40). Lineage (NCBI taxonomy): Eukaryota > Metazoa > Chordata > Mammalia > Primates > Hominidae > Homo > Homo sapiens. Next base: position 72,978,485 of record NC_000011.10, read on the forward strand.
CCCAGGTCAAATGACTTTTATCCAAAAGACAGGTGATATGTTTGGCTCTGTGTCCCCACTCAAATCTCATCATCTCAAATTGTAATCCCCATATATCGGGGGAGGGTCCCTGTGGGAGGTGACTGGATTATAGGAGCGATTTCCCTGATGCTGTTCTCATGATTGTGACTGAGTTCTCACGATATCTGATGGTTTAAAAGTGGCACTTCCCCCTTCGCTTCCTCTCTCCTACCCCCATGTCAAGAAGGTACTTGATTCTCCTTTGCCTTCTACCATGATTGTAAGTTTCCTGAGGCCTCCCCAGCCATGCGGAACTGAGTCAATTAACCCTTTCTTCTTCATAAATTACCCAGTCTCAGGTAGCTCTTTCTTTTTTTTTTTTTTTTTTTTGAGATGAAGTCTCACTCTGTCACCCAGGCTGGAGTGCAGTGGTGCGATCTCAGCTCACTGCAACCTCCACCTCTCAGGTTCAAGCGATTCTCGTGCCTCAGCCTCCCTGAGTAGCTGGGACTACAAGTGCATGCCTCCACACACAGCTAATTTTTTGTATTTTTAGTAGAGATGGATTTTCACCATGTTGGCAGGCTGGTCTCAAACTCCTGACCTCAGGTGATCTGCCCACCTCGGCCTCCCAAGGTGCTGGGATTATGGGTGTAAGTCACCATGCCCGGCCACAGGTAGTTCTTTAAAGCAGTGTGAAAACGAACTAATACAACAGGCAATAAAAAATGCTGGTAAGGATGTGGAGAAAACAGAACTCTCATACATTAAAACTACTATGAAAAAATTAAAAGTCCAATAAAAGAAACTGTAAAGTTGAAGAAGTCTCCCAAAAAGTACAACATAATGACAAAGATGGAAAATAAGAAAGAAATGAAATTTAAAGAAGCAAGCTAGGAGATATCATATCTTAATAATGGGAAGTTCCAGAAAGAGAAAACAAAAGGGAAGAATTAATCCAAGAAATCAAAGGGTACACTGAGAATATTCCATAAACTTCTAAAAAAAGAAAAAACAAACAATTAGATCAGATACAAATAATCAAGAACTAGGATGGCTTTGGATTCTCAATACTTACACAGTAAAGAAGAAAACAATGAGGTATGGACTCCAATGTTTCAATGAAAGAGTTTTCAACCTTTAATTCTATATCCAAGTACAAGCAAATAATATGCCATTTTCATAAACATAGTATCTCAAAAAACTTACTTCCCATGCCCACTTTCGCAAGAAGGTACTGGAGGATGTGCTCTACCAAAGGACAGTATAAATCAAGAAAAAAATAAGACATATCATAAAGAAAACTGGAGATCTAACACAACAAAGACATATAGGAAGATCTCAGGATAAATACTTGCATCTGACACAGAGGGCAACTAGTCCAGATTAGAAGAATGTAACTCAAAAGACAGTCATAATGAGGGTTGTTATCACCAAGATAACTGCTAATGTAAGAACAGAATGTCCAGGAAATACGAAAAGAACATAAAATAATTGTTTTGTTCCCTAAGAAGGCAGGAGGGGATGAGATATAATCCAAAGCTGAGGTGAAAAGATCACCTTTAGACAGGAACAACTGCTACTGAGACTCTGGAAGAGTCTTCAACACAGATGAAGTGGACAATATTGAAGCTGTCTTCCAACGGTTTCTATCGTCTCTGTAAATTAGGAAGAAAACCCACTTGCTAAGCATAAAAGAGAAGGGGTAAGTTTGAGGTTTGAAGAGGGGGGAAAAGTTGAAATAACTGTTAAAAATAGTAGGAAAAGTTAACTAGGGAAAAGACAGTAGGCCATCTAAGCAGTGTTGAAACTGCTGCACTGGTTTCTCTATTAATTTATGATCATGAATCTGCTCCGTCGAAACTTTTCTTCAGCAGTACTTGGCTGCTTAGATACAGATTATCCAGTTATGGGGGCTCATCAGAGTTACAATTTCATTTCATTTGAAGAAGGGCAAAGATAAGAATATAAGTTAGAGTATTATTTAAATAATGAGCTATGAACTTTAACGAGGATAACAAAGAAAATGAGAAAGGATAACATGTATTAAATGGTTAGGATAATGCCAAGGCAATATTAAGCAATAAAAAAGATAGCTATTATTATTACTAACCACAGTCCTCCAGCAGTAAGTGATTTCCATCACTCTAATTTGCAATCATGTATATATGTATGTGTATGTGTGTGTGTGTATATATATATATATATATATAATGTATGTATGTATATATATGTATGTGTATATATATGTATATATGTGTGTGTATATATATGTGTATGTATATATATACATCTCACTCTCTTCTACCATATTGAGCTCTTTGAGGATAAGTAGTATGTCTTACTCATCTGTCTCTTCCCAAAGCCTAACTCAGTAGTTAGCATGCTGTAAGAGGCTCTTAAATGTGTATGATTAAACCAACAAATCAAATACCCTGCTTTTAAGCTACCCATATAGGGCATTATCACCTTAACATTAATTCAGAAAAATAGATATTTCCTTAACATTAATTCAGAAAAACAGATATTTTCAAGAAAGGCATCTAAGGGCCACTGACAATTCAATGGTGGAAATTTACTAAGTAGCTAACAGCATGATTGATAGGAGTTTTCCTGTACTGCAGACTATAGAATTAGCATGAGGAAGAAAATGAGTTAATGTACAGTACATGAAAACTGAAAGTATGTTTTCTCATTTTTAAGGGGCAGGAGGGACCAACCCCTGCCTCTATTTTTAATCAGTTTAGTACCCCACAATGTTTCATTAAATGAATACTCCAAAGCATGACCTACCCAATGCTGATCAAATATATGCATAAAGACTTCAAAGTAAGTTCGAGAACATATATTAATCTGTGAGCTGGCCAGGCCCTTTAACTTCCTCTTTGCTTTAGGCAGAGAGCAGATCCCCCAAATAAGAATGTACTTTCTCTGGTTTATTGAAGGCCATCTTTTTTAGCTGTAGATCCAATAGAAAAAAAATAGGATTTTATTTTTGCTGTTGCTTAAGTTAATATAATGTTCATTTAAAAATATTCATAGGGAAAAATATACAGCTTTGATATAATAGTAGACATATATAGAATATAGTGAATTACAACCTTAAGTGCGAGCTGTGCTAAAAATCATCTTTAGTAAATGTGTTCTTTGAAACTGTTGGTCCTTGTAAGTCTGAAGCACTATGTAATACCTAATACGATACTAAAACCAGCCAGGCCCAGTAGCTCACCCCTATAATCCCAGCATTTTGGGAGGCTGAGGTGGGAGGATCTCTTAAGCCCAGGAGTTAAAGAATAGCCTGGGCAACAAAGTGAGACCACGCCTCTGCGAAAATAAAAATTAAGAAATTAGCTGGGTATGGTGGCAGGCACCTGTGGTCCTAGCTACATGGGAGGCTGAGGCAAGAGGATCCCTTGAGACCAGGAGGTTCAGGTTGCAGTGAGCCATGTTCAAGCCACTGCACTCTAGCCTGTTATGACAGAGCGAGACCCTGTCTCAAAAACTATATATACTAAAACACCTAAACCTCTAGGTCTAATACTTTATGGAAAATATATGCAGAGTTTTCATCTGAGATGACAAAACAGTTCCTTGTCTCTATATTTTCTAACCTGTATTCTAATAAGCAGAAGTCACAACAGAAGCTAGGAAAAGGGGATTTCAGGCAGTGAACAAAAAGGAAAGAAAAAACGTTTTTGCAATAGGATACTTCTTAGTCCAGTTTGACTCCCTTCAACACTCTTGTTTTTGCCTGAAGGTCCCGAGAACTGTCCCATCTCTACTTTCAAGGAAAGAACTTGCAGTTTCTGGCCAGAGTTGACCTCTTTTCCAGAGCTACTGCAGAAAAAAGAGCACCTGCTCTGGCTGCATCCCCATTCACAATTGCTGATTTGTAAATTAAGCAATTCGACTACAGCAATGTGTGTGTTTGTTAGTCATTAAGAACAATACATTTGAGGGGGATGGGTTGAAAATAAGAAAAAACAAAATGATAAAATGTTTGGGTTTTGGGAAAACAGGAAAGAATGACAGATACAATCCAAAGCAGAGCTTGCCTGTCAGCAACAAGGGAGAAACCTGGCAACAGATTACAAAGGTTTCCTTTTCCTCTACTATCTTCTCTTTATTTCAGTGAAAGTTAAAGACACATCATAGGTGGTATAAACAGGGAAATGCTAGATCAAGTTTGGGTACACAAACTGTAATCTAATCTATCTGCATTTCAGAGTAATACCCAGAGGACAGACATCTTCATATAGCTACTGAACATACTCTTTTGTTTGTCCCGTACGCAGCTCAAAATCATCAAATAGTAATGTGCAATTTTACCCATAAATTCAGGATAAACGTAATGAAATTTTTTAAAAATCTAAGTTTTTTTAGAAATAAAAAATAGCCAAGCACAATGGCTCACACCTGTAATCCCAGCATTTTGGGAAGCTTAGGAGGGAGGATCACTTGAAGCCAGGAGTTTGAGGCCAGCCTGGTCAACATAGCAAGACTCTTGTTTCTAAAAATAAAAGAAAGGGGCCGGGCGCGGTGGCTCATGCCTGTAATCCCAGCACTTTGGGAGGCTGAGGCGGGCGGATCACGAGGTCAGGAGATCGAGACCATCCCGGCTAAAACGGTGAAACCCCGTCTCTACTAAAAATACAAAAAATTAGCTGGGCGTAGTGGCGGGCGCCTGTAGTCCCAGCTACTTGGGAGGCTGAGGCAGGAGAATGGCGTGAACCCGGGAGGCGGAGCTTGCAGTGAGCCGAGATCCCGCCACTGCACTCCAGCCTGGGCGACAGAGCGAGACTCCGTCTCAAAAAAAAAAAAAAATAAATAAAAGAAAGGTGCCAGGCATGGTAGCATGCACCTGGATCCCAGCTACTCAGGAGGATGAGGCGGGAGGATTGCTTGAGCCTGGCAGTTCAAGGCTGCAGTGAGCCGTGATCATCACTGCACTCTAGCCTGGACAACAGAGCGAGACCTTGTCTCTAAAAAATTAAAATTAAAAAAAGCTTCATAATTATCATTAGACATAGTTGTGGCCAAAATTGTAGTTAATAAAAAATTCAGGCTAAGAGATACACTATAAAAATATATTTTTAATAGAAATATTCTTTTGCATAAAACTTTTCTTATAAAAATTTTTCAAAAAATACAGATACAATCTAACAAAAATTATGCTAAAATGTCTTTCTCCGATGATTCAGAAGATACCTGAAGATTCTGCCTAGCTTCAATAATTTATTGAAACCATGACATGAGTCTCATAAAATAGCTCAGAAGTAGTTTCCCAGTTTGAGTCATTATTTTATTTCTTACATCACTCTTGTATCTTCTACATCAATAACCACTAGATAACAAATGTTTGCCGCACCTAGGGAATAATATAATCCTTTACTGTGACTTGTCTGTAAACATTTTCTTAACTAAAAATTAATTCCAAATTATCTGAAACAGATGCTATCCAAACAATAACAAGTATATTCCAATGAGATGCAACATAGCCTGGCTACTCTTTTATAGATTCAATCCCATAAACCCAACACCCAACTTAAGTTGTTTTTGTTTTCAATGAAGTAAAATTACCATAGATATGAAAGCTGTATTACCTTCATAATGTTAACTAAATCTGTTTGATAGTAGCGATCCTGATGTGCATTTGCTGCCGCTAGGGTAAGAAGATAATCATTCCTTGCGTGGGTAGCTTTGGAATTACACTCAGATCGCCGGGCTTTTAACTAAAACATAGCAAAATAAAATAATCAGTGCAAACTGATATTGTACTGCAAAACACATAGGAATCCTACTCTTAGTTTGCAATTAATGGCTCCCCAACAAGAATAAAGGTAACCACGTGCGGAAAACATTTATACGTATATAAAAATTATTCATCACTACTAAGGAATGAAACAGTGACTAGAACTGTTATACAGGGCAGGAGCATTTTCAAATATTTGCTTAACATACTTCTAAAGCTTTGTAGATAACTTAAAAATATTTTGCCCATTTATTCAAATGACTAAATAAAGGTTCTGAAATAAGTACCTTATCTTCAAAGGTATGGGTAAAATCTAGTGGAGTTAGAAAACAGTTTTTTAAAAATCAGCACTCCTAATGTGCCAGATGAACTGCATGCTAGTTTGAAGCCTGGCAGCCACAGCCAGGTCTCTAAGCTTACTTAATCAGGCATTCCACAGTGTGAAGTTTCCGAAGGAAAAACTCACTCACATCTGGCCCAGAATATCACTCAGGGGTCTAAATCTAAACGAAATAGATTTTGTAGAGCTTTCCAAAGCCCCCGGATTAAGTCTCTTGGACTAAGAGCTAAAGACAACAGGCTGCCTAAGCAGGTAAGGTCCAGAAACTTATCCCTAATGCAGTCTTGAGAAGCAAGTGTGTCCAAGGTGTTGACAGCTGGGTGCAAAACCCCCATGAACTGGGAGGGAAAGTTCCTCCCTGAGTCAGTGACTTTAAAATGCTTCTCTAAGGTAGAAATAATCCACCTCCACCCTCAAAGATCCAATTCTCTGTTTTACAAGCTAAGAGGTTTCTCAGTTGTGAAATACACTTATTGAAAACTTACCTTTACACTTGCCTTCTGTAAACTGATTCTTGATTGAAAAAGACTAAGTTTAGATCTATAATAAAAATAGAAAAGTATGTTTAATAAAATCATCTAATTATATCACAATAAAATTACTAAATATATTATTAAAATTTAAAAATAATCTTTTTTGAAGATACTGCTCTAAAAAAGAATGAAAAAATGGAAAACCAAGAGTAATGATTATTTTCCTTTATTTTACTACAGGAAGAATTTATTATCATGGTAAAACAGGAAATACTGGGATTAATATAAGACAAATATCCAGAATGACCAAAAAAAAAAAAAAAAAAACTTGACCAAAAAAAAATCAAAATATATTGGTGTCTCCTAATAAACAAGAGCCATCAAATTATAGACTATTCTCAGTACCATACAACTTCATACACTTTAGTTCCTGCAAAGGTTAGAGAGACCCAGGGACAATCAACCTATGGAGGCAAGCGTCAGCAAACTTTCAGGGCTGTGTGTGAAAGACTCTAACAATAGGCTCTATGAAGTCCTTACTTCTATTATTTCCACCATTAAAAGTACTTCTTGTTTGGGTACCTGCCTGTGTGCCTCCTCTGCTCTAAGGGGGTATTCTGAACTTACTGAGAAAGTCCTGGGACTCTGCCCTGTATGATGTAATCTTCTCCCACTCTTGGGTTCTTATTTCCCTTGATCCTTTTTCAGTTTGGGAGAGTAACCATAATCTAACAATAGGTAGTACAAACATGTTGATTTTACCCAAACAGCTGCAGATAACCATATGGAGAAAGTCAACAGACAAATGCTAGGGAACAAGCAACACTCCCAGGACCAGTGATTTTTTTTTTAAAGCTGCAATGTTTGTCCTGACTTCAGTGTCAGGGTGATTTCCATGAGAGAATTCAATACATGTGTTGGCAGCTGTGCCTCATGAAGTAAAGTTGCTGGCCAGTTTGGGACTGGATGATGGAGCAGTTAGTCTTTGCAAAGCCAGTGTGAAGAGGATAGGAAAAGCAGCCTCTTATTTTTCTAACAAGAGAAAACATTCAGGGATGAACACATATGCAGCCCAACTACTTCCCCATTGTTAAAAAAATTGGGTTTAAAAGATTCCTGTTATTTTTTACCTTGTCATAGTCATATTTCATAATTACTTTATTTTATTTATTTATTTAGAGACGGAGTCTCGCTCTGTTGCCCAGGTCGGAGTGCAGTGGCGTGATCTCTGCTCACTGCAACCTCTGCCTCCTGGGTTCATGCCATTCTCCTGCCTCAGCCTCCCGAGTAGCTGGGACTACAGGCGCCTGCCACCACGCCCAGCTAATTTTTTGTATTTTTAGTAGAGACGGGGTTTCACCATGTTAGCCAGGATGGTCTCAATCTCCTGACCTTGTAATCCACCCGCCTCGGCCTCCCAAAGTGCTGGGATTACAGGCGTGAGCCACCGTGCCCGGCCCCAATTATTTTACTTTTATTAATCATATTCCTGTTTATTTTATCTAGAAAAGTAAAGGCCACAAACTCAAATCTCTAAGAAAGCCTTTTCAGAATAAGACTGTGTTTGGGGATATTCCCAGTTCTCCTTTTTTTACAGTCATTACCCAAATAGGCTGAGTTGCATGTAGATCTTCCAATATAAGGTTTTAAATTTCTGGCTTCTGCTTTATTTCCTAATCCTAATATACTTCTTGTGTAGTATTAAGGTAGGTATTAGTGATAGATAGAATAAAATAGTACCTGTTCTCAAACATTTCAATCTAGAAAAAATAAGGCAGGATTTTTACACCCAAACACTACACAAATAATGAACTATACCGCGTGCTACTCTTTACCACCTACCCTTCAAAATTAATGTTCCTTGGGGTTCCAAACTCAACTTCTCATCTATTCTATATACTATGTAACTACCATCTGATAGGCAACTGACCCTCAAAGCGAGATCTTGAGGCCCAAATTCTCATTTAAGTGCCAGATATTTGACTACCTTCCAAACATATTCACCCCAGTGTTTCCCAGGCTCTTCAGAATAAACATATCCAAAATGAAATTCATCATCTCCTTCAAATTGTATCCCTCTTCCTTCTATGGTCTCTCCTAATGTGTGCATCTCCACACCATCTATCAAATCATCTATAAAAACTATAGGTAGTACAGTTTAACTTCCCCTTCCTGATCTTCCTCCTTATCTCTACTTAGAAAATTTATACTCATTCCTCAAGATTCTATCCAAACATCACTTCTTCTATAAAGCTTTCATTTATCATTAGGCAAAATTAACCTCTATATTTTCTAGGCTTTCCTAAAAGTGTTTTCACATTACTACTGCAAGTAAGTTATTAGTTAATATTAAGTGACTTTAGGCACTTGATTTCTTTGAGTTTCTAATTCTAGGCCTTAAATTCCTTGAGGGCACAAAGCTTACCTTACTCATCTCTGTACTCACCATATCCAATATAAAGTATTCAACAAACTGCGAATAAATGAAGATAAAGTGGCATTCCTTACTCTATAGTTGAAAAGTTAATATTAATATGTCTAGCTTGCTGTATCCCCTCTGAATTTGGGTCATGTTAGAAGGCAATTCCTTGTGATCAGCTCTGTGAATCAGACCCTATCAAATCCCCACTTCTCAGAAACGCCCCTCCACTGTGCTCATGTTCATCCTGTGGGCTGTGGCTAAATTATTTGTTTATACATGCTTTACAAATCTGTCAATTCTCTGTTCTAGGATCTCTGAAAGTTTAAGAAAACAAGTTTCTAAAAACGACTATGACAGTATATTCCCAATGGACATCTAATCTAAAAACTTCAGGTCTTATTGAGAAGATGGGTTCACTGACTCTATAAAAGTACAGGAAATATTTGTAGGTTCAAACAATAAAACAATAAATACAATAAAACAAATTAGAGAAATATTAAATGTGTTTTCCTGTAACATCAAGTCCTTCATGAATACTCACTTACCAGCCCTTGATAAACCGCGGAGCCCCTGAATTTTCACAAGTTGCTTATAAGGTTGCTTACATTTCTTGTGAATAAAAACTGTATTAGAAAGATAGCCCCCTCCTTACTGGTCTGTTTGTACAGGTGTTCAAAGCCTTTCTGATATTATGATTAGGAGTTCAGACTCCTAGATTTTGCATCAGTCAGCACACTGACCCTGAGTCTCAGCTCTCCTTCTCACAGATGTCTTCAGAGTCCAGTTATACAACATGCTTTTTCTCATCAACTTTTTATCTTTCCTCAAATTGTCACTGCAAAAATCTCTATTATATTGCTTGCTTTATATCACCTTCTATTACCAGTTGCCAGTTCCTTCTTTTCCTACTTATTCTTAAAAAAAGGTCTTATAATTCACATATATTGAATTCATACAATTGCTAAAGCATACATGAAAAATTATGTATATATACACTAGATTTTTGTGTAAAAGAAAAAAACAGTGCCTGGGGCAGGGTTTCTACATGGAGGTCAGTGCTTTTGTTCACTTGATGTGTTCATGGACCTTCAGTGGCATCCTGAGGATCACAGGAATTTCCAACTACAACTGATTGAGAATCCAGCATGAGAAAAATGAGGCTCTTAAACCCTGATATTCAGACACCATAGCAGTGACTTCAGGCTTTTGATAAGCTTTCAAGTCTGTAAATACAATGTTCATTTACCTTCTTTTTCAAAATTCAATTTAATGTGAAAAACTGACTAATCTAATATTCCCATTTTGCTATATTAATTCAGATAAAAATCAGCCAATTAAAAAAATGTGACCTAAAGTATATAACACATGTAGGTCAAATGAAACCACCACTACCTGAGAATGGGTCCATGCTCACTACTAATAGAGAACAAACTATTAGCAACAATAACATTTATTTGCATAATAATTTTCTCAGAAATGTTAAAACACATACTTTGCCTCGATGTCAGCTTTCTCTCGTACTGCATGAGCCATCTGTTCAGTCTCAAAGTATTTCTTTTTGCCTTTAGCTAAATCTTTCACTGTCTCTTGTAATTCAGTTTGGATCTTTGTCAACTGGTCCACACACTGTAAAATACAAAAGTACAATCATTATGATTTTAGTTTTCAGGCTTACAGAAAATGACTTCATCCTAAGGACTATACACTATGCCTTCAGGATGGAAATCCAGGGGAAAAGTCAGTACGTTCAGTGTCCTTCAAATTGCAGATTAAAATCCTGTGAATTAAAATCCTGGTATTTCCATCTCAAGTACTACACATCAAACAGTGTCACAGTTTGCCTAACAACCATACATTGAGAAATAACCCGAGTGCTGCTGATGACTGACGTTAAGGTAAGACATGGAAGAGCAACTATGAAAAATGTTCTCACTGTTGGAGATATCATGATAATAAAATCAAAAGAATAAGGCAATTCTGTATTTCCCCATAATCTTAACAAAGTCTCTCTTTATGTTTGGGTAACCGACAGTGCAAAGGGTACTGAAGAATTCACCCCTTAGACAAGAGGGAGTGAAATCTGAGTAGTCTGACTTGGTAAGTCCAAGGTGAACAAGAGAAGCACGAAACCTGGGTACCACATAACAATTATTACTCAAAACCATCCCCTGCCCAACTCCGTGGATACACATATACATTCGAGGAGAAGGGATGGACATAACAACTAAAACAATGTTTAATCAATTAACTCTTATAACACACCGGGGCCAAGCAACACTGCCTCAGGACCTTTCTGAGTATCCAAAGGAGATTGACCCCACTTTGAAACAAACCAATTAGAAGTTTCACCAGCCTGAGACCAGCTTAGAGCAGTTACATCTAAAAACTTCTAAGCCTGAAATAGCACTGGTGGAGACTGGCAAAAGCTCAGCAAAGCAGGAGGAGACACTGGTGAAGGACTATTGTGCAAGGGTGAATAGTGTGGAGGAGGGCAAGGACATCAGAAGAATGAGGATAAAACAAGAATAAACTTAACCATATGACATACAGGCTAGACTTTCCCAGAAGCTGTTAGGTGTTAAGAAAGGACTACAGGGGATGAGACATCTAGAAGATTCTGCATGGACAGATAAAAGCAAAATAACCACTCATATTTATTAAGCACTTAATAAGTGTTAGGCTGTGAAGGAAAAGGTTAAAAAAACACAAAATAAAACAAAACTTTTCCCCTCTGCACGAAACTGGGCCTTTGCTTAACTTTCTAGATCTGTGTTTCAATAGAAACCTGATGAGAAGACACAATGTCAGCTGTGTTATTAGGCAACATTGCTTACAAACCCTGGTAGGCAAACTGCATCAATTTGGGATAAACTAAAAATTAACTATAAATATCTGATAGGAACCCTCCACCCCAAATCAACAGAATATACATTCTTCTCAGCACCACACTGCACTTATTCCAAAACTGACCACATAGTTGGAAGTAAAGCACTCCTCAGCAAATGCAGAAGAACAGAAATTACAACAAAACTGTCTCTCAGACCACAGTGCAATCAAACTAGAACTCAGGATTAAGAAACTCACTCAAAACCACTCAACTACATGCAAACTGAACAACCTGCTCCTGAATGACTACTGGGTACATAATGAAATGAAGGCAGAAATAAAGATGTTTTCTTTGAAACCAATGAGAACAAAGACACAACATACCAGAATCTCTGGGACACATTCAAAGCAGTGTGTACAGGGAAATTTATAGCACTAAATGCCCACAAGAGAAAGCAGGAAAGATCTAAAATTGACAACCTAACATGACAAGGCAAAGAACTAGAGAAGCAAGAGCAAACACATTCAAAAGCTAGCAGAAGGCAAGAAATAACTAAGACCAGAACAGAACTGAACGAAATAGAGACACAAAAAAACCCTTCACAAAAATCAATGAATCCAGGAGCTGGTTTTTTTGAAAAGATCAACAAAATTGATAGACTACTAGCAAGACTAATAAAGAAGAAAAGAGAGAAGAATCAAACAGACGCAATAAAAAATGATAAAGGGGATATCACCACCAATCCCACAGAAATACAAACTACCATCAGAGAATACTATAAACACCTCTACGCAAATAAACTAGAAAATCTAGAAGAAACTGATAAATTCCTCGACACATACACCCTCCCAAGACTAAACCAGGAAGAAGTTGAATCTCTGAATAGACCAATAACAGGCCCTGAAATTGAGGCAACAATTAATAGCTTACCAACCAAAAACAGTCCAGGACCAGATGGATTCACAGCCGAATTCTACCAGAGGTACAAGGAGGAGCTGGTACCATTCCTTCTGAAACTATTCCAATCAATAGAAAAAGAGGGAATCCTCCCTAACTCATTTTATGAGGCCAGCATCATCCTGATACCAAAGCCTGGCAGTGACACAACAAAAAAAGAGAATTTTAGACCAATATCCCTGATGAACATCGATGCAAAAATCCTCAATAAAATACTGGCAAACCAAATCCAGCAGCACACCAAAAGCTTATCCACCATGATCAAGTGGGCTTCATCCCCGGGATGCAAGGCTGGTTCAACATACGCTGATCAAGTGGGCTTCATCCCTGGGATGCAAGGCTGGTTCAACATACGCAAATCAATAAACATAATCCAGCATATAAACAGAACCAACGACAAAAACCATATGATTATCTCAATAGATGTAGAAAAGGCCTTTGACAAAATTCAACAACGCTTCATTCTAAAAACTCTCAATAAATTAGGTATTGATGGGACGTATCTCAAAATAATAAGAACTATCTATGACAAACTCACAGCCAATATCATACTGAATGGGCAAAACCTGGAAGCACTCCCTTTGAAAACTGGCACAAGACAGGGATGCCCTCTCTCACCACTCCTATTCAACATAGTGTTGGAAGTTCTGGCCAGGGCAATCAGGCAGGAGAAGGAAATAAAGGGTATTCAATTAGGAAAAGAGGAAGTCAAATTGTCCCTGTTTGTAGATGACATGATTGTTTATTTAGAAAACCCCATCGTCTCAGCCCAAAATCTCCTTAAGCTGATAGGCAACTTCAGCAAAGTCTCAGGATACAAAATCAATGTGCAAAAAATCACAAGCATTCTTATACACCAATAACAGACAAACAGAGAGCCAAATCATGAGTGAACTCCCATTCACAACTGCTTCAAAGAGAATAAAATACCTAGGAATCCAACTTACAAGGGATGTGAAGGACCTCTTCAAGGAGAACTACAAACCACTGCTCAATGAAATAAAAGAGGATACAAACGAATGGAAGAACATTCCATGCTCATGGGTAGAAAGAATCAATATCGTGAAAATGACCATACTGCCCAAGGTAATTTATAGATTCAATGCCATCCCCATCAAGCTACCAATGACTTTCTTCACAGAATTGGAAAAGACTAAAGTTCATATGGAACCAAAAAAGAGCCCGCATTGCCAAGTCAATCCTAAGCCAAAAGAACAAAGCTGCAGGCATCACACTACCTGACTTCAAACTATACTACAAGGCTACGGTAACCAAAACAGCATGGTACTGGTACCAAAACAGAGATATAGACCAATGGAACCGAACAGAGCCCTCAGAAATAATGCCACATATCTACAACTATCTGATCTTTGACAAACCTGACAAAAACAAGAAATGGGGAAACGATTCCCTATTTAATAAATGGTGCTGGGAATACTGGCTAGCCATATGTAGAAAGCTGAAACTGGATCCCTTCCTTACACCTTATACAAAAATTAATTCAAGATGGATTAAAGACTTAAATGTTAGACCTAAAACCATAAAAACCCTAGAAGAAAAGCTAGGCAATACCATTCAGGACACAGGCATAGGCAAGGACTTCATGTCTAAAACACGAAAAGCAATGGCAACAAAAGCCAAAATTGACAAATAGGATCTAATTAAACTAAAGAGCTTCTGCACAGCAAAAGGAACTACCATCAGAGTGAACAGGCAACCTACAGAATGGGAGAACATTTTTGCAATCTACTCATCTGACAAAGGGCTAATAACCAGAATCTACAATGAACTCAAACAAATTTACAAGAAAAAAACAAACAACCCCATCAAAAAGTGGGCAAAGGATATGAACAGACACTTCTCAAAAGAAGACATTTATGCAGCCAACAGACACATGAAAAAATGCTCATCATCACTGGCCATCAGAGAAATGCAAATCAAAACCACAATGAGATACCATCTCACACCAGTTAGAATGGCGATCATTAGAAAGTCAGGAAACAACAGGTGCTGGAGAGGATGTGGAGAAATAGGAACACTTTTACACTGTTGGTGGGAATGTAAACTAGTTCAACCATTGTGGAAGTCAGTGTGGCGATTCCTCAGGGATCTAGAACTAGAAATACCATTTGACCCAGCCATCCCATTACTGGGTATATACCCAAAGGATTATAAATCATGCTGCTATAGAGACACATGCACACATATGTTTATTGTGGCACTATTCACAATAGGAAAGACTTGGAACCAACCCAAATGTCCAACAATGATAGACTGGATTAAGAAAATGTGGCACATATACACCATGGAATACTATGCAGCCATAAAAATGATGAGTTCATGTCCTTTGTAGGGACATGGATGAAGCTGGAAACCATCATTCTCAGCAGACTATCGCAAGGACAAAAAACCAAACACCGCATGTTCTCACTCATAGGTGGGAATTGAACAATGAGAACACATGGACACAGGAAGGGGAACATCACACACTGGGGCCTGTTGTGGGGTGAGGGGAGGGGGGAGGGATAGCATTTGGAGATATACCTAATGTTAAATGACGAGTTACTGGGTGCAGCACACCAACATGGCACTGTATACATATGTAACTAACCTGCACGTTGTGCACATGTACCCTAAAACTTAAAGTATAATAAAAATAAATAAATAAATAAATATCGGATAGAAAAGCCAGGCTTTGGGCTTCTGTGAGTACGGTGTATCCGGACATGTCCCTTACAGGGACACTGGAAGCTCTGTCTATAGAGTTGTTGTAAAAAATTTTAGTCTCCTTTAGGGGCTAAAGCTGGCTCTGCAAATGTGTCTCACTCCCTTGTCCTAGACCTGTCACTTGGAGGACCAAACAGAATAACTGGTCAGCTATGTGGACCGAGACATACAATAGTGGGAGAATTATTTCCATTAATGCTAGATGCTTCCCTACTGGCAAATTGTGTTTCCTGTACTCTGTCCTTCTCAGTAAACCTCTTGTCAGGTGTGGCCTATGAGAGCCAAGGGAGTCTGAATGCTTATTACTTCTAAAAAGACCCCTTGTGGGCACTGCACAGGTGCTATGTTTCGTACTTTACAGGTATTATCACATTTAGTCCTTGAAACGACTCTATGAAAAAGGTAGTAGTAGTAGTAGCAGCAGCAGCAGTAGTAGTAGTAGCAGTGATCCCATTAAGATGAGAAAATAGACTCAGATGTTAAATAATTTACTCTGAGTCACACGGCAAGGATGTGATGATACCATTTACTATGGAACCCATTAAAGTGTGTACCCTAGTTCTGTGATGACCATGTTTTAAGATATAGTGTAAACTCACGGTGAAACCCCGTCTCTACTAAAAATACAAAAAAATTAGCTGGGTGTGGTGGTGGGCGCCTGTAGTCCCAGCTACTCGGGAGGCTGAGGCAGGAGAATGGCTTGAACCCAGGAGGTAGAGCTTGCAGTGAGCCGAGATCATGCCACTGCACTCCAGCCTGGGTGACAGAGCGAGACTCCATCTCAAAAAACAAAACAAAAAAAAGATATAGTGCAAACTGTATCTTATAGATGTAGTTTATCTTAAAAGCTTTTAAAAAATTGACATATAATTCACATACAACAAAATTCACCTTTTTAAAGTATACAATTCAGTGGTGACAAGGTTGTTCAACCATTACTCTGCTTGAATTCCAAAACATTTTCCTACCCCAAAAAGAAACTCTGTATCCATTAGCTGTCACTCCCCATTTCTCCCCACTTCCAACAACAATTAATCTATTTTTGTCTCTATGGAGTTCCTTTTTGGGATATTTAGTACAAATGGAATCAAATAATATGTGGCCTTATGTTTCTCACTTCTTTCACTTATCAAAACATTTTTAGGGTTCATTCAAGTTGTAGCAGGTGTCAGTACTTCATTCCTTTTTATCGCCGAATAGTATTTTGTTACATATAAACTAAAAGTAAGCTTTTATCTTGCAGAACGAAAAGCTGTTTTCCCCCTAAATTGTAATAGTACTTATCAAATACAAAGTTTTTGTTTAATAAATGACAAGATGACAACCTGACACTCCCATAAAGAAGTGCTAAACATTCTAATAATGCTGTGTTTGCAGGTGTGAAGAGCTAAAAGCAGGCTCCATGGCTACAATTTTGATATTAAGAACCAAAAACTGGGCCAGGTGCGGTGGCTCACACCTGTAATCTTAGCACTTTGGGAGGCTGAGGCGGCCAGATATCTTGAGCCCTGGAGTTCGAGACCACCCTGGGCAACATGGTGAAACCTCATCTCTAAAAAAAAAGTACAAAAATCAGCCAGGTGTGGTGGCAAGCACCTGTAGTCCCAACTACTTGGGAGGCTGGGGTGGAAGGATCACTTGAGCCCAAGAGGTTGAGGCCACAGTGAGCCGTGTTCATGCCACTGCACTCTAGCAGGGGTGACAGAGCAGAGAAAAATTCTGTCTCAAAAAAAAAAAAAAAAGGAAGAAGTTAAAAGTATAGTCTCTGAGTATGACAGAGACACAATAATAAACTTGCTAATAACTTGAATATAAGAATACAAATAAAAGTAACCTGGGCCAACACATCGAAGTCCTACAAATGATTAGGTTCTCTAACCCAGTAATAATGCCCTAGAAATTTATCCTAAGAAAAAAATTTAAAAAGTTAATTTTTACTGTAGACTTAAGGGTAATGTCCAAACCCAGTTGTATAATTAAAGAAAGCAGAATGGAAAATTCACAAAATAATAAAAAATAATAAACATAAAGGTTATGTAGAAACATGAACAATTAATTAGGAAATTGGGAGAATGAGGATAAAAGGAGCAAGATAAAAGGAGTAAGAGAATTAAGTAGTCTACTATGGTGAAGGCATTTACATGTATTTTTCTATAAACCTGTTTCAATATTAAGCTTTGTTTTAAAAGCATTGTACAGGATTTGGAATTAGGAAGTAGTAGTATATTCAAGTTCCCACTCTGTTATTTACTACCTAAGTCTCTTTAACATTTTTAGCTTTAGTTTTATCATTTGTAAAATAATAATACTTAAATACTATCAGGGTTGTGTAAAAATCAAATGTGACTATAATGGATATGGCAGCAGTTTGCAAACTCTAAAGTGTTATACAAATGTGAACCACAATATTTCAAGGATGGTAAGTAAACTCTAGTATAAATGTGAAAGATACGGACAAAAGTATGGTTAAGTAAACATAAGAATGGCAAAAAGCCTTAAGTTATTGTAGCTCTCATTCTAATTTTTAAGCAAATGTCAGCATACAGAAAATAATTTTGAAAAATGTAATAATTCTCATAATCCTCATTATAAACTGGGGCTCTGCATAATTGTAATACAATTGTGTTTATCTTCCAAGCATTATAAAAGAAAATAGTCAAATTAGAGAAAATCTTTAAAAAAACATGAACTTTAAAATGTTGTAGAGGAAAAATTTTAAGTCAGATTGGTTCTGATCATGACAGAACAACTTGGATCAGACTACCTTTCTCTAGACTGGAAAGTGTAAAAGTTGAACAAAATACATTTTTAAAAAACTGCCAGCATTAAAGACCACCACCACACACTGGACTTAAAGGACTAAGACACCCAGGAAAAGAGGAATACACCAAGGTAAGTCTTAAATTCAACTTAATGTTTTTCCTTAGGGCATTTGTTGAATCATGGTATAAAGAAATAGGACAGAAACAGAAAGTGGCATTTTTACGAGACTGGGGAGACAGAGGTTGGAGTTTAGGGATGCCAAAAGAACAGGAACTTGAGAGGTAAGGGTCTAGAAAGAGGGGTACTGCAGAAAAGCAAGTCCAAAAATCTGTATGCAATTTCCCCTTGGGTTAACAGATGACTTCTAAAAAGCAGGTGTTGGGTAAAATGCCAAGAAATCCAGTAGAGAACTATAGCCGAGAGGCCAAAGAGTGAGCAGAGATCAGAGCATCAGAGCAGCTACACGATGTTGAGAAGACAAAGGTTAGAGTTCAAGTCTTGTCAAATTAGAAGGGTCTTGGTAAGCACCCTATATTTTCAGTTAAAACTCTAGGAGTAAGTGAAACAGAATAGCCCTAAAAAGCCTAAAACCAGAGATCCTAACAGAATCAAGGTGATCTAATAGCATTCTATCCACTTGCCAGAAGAAAGCTTAACCCTCTTTGGAAATAACATCTTCCCAGAGCCTCTACAGTTTTTATCCACAATGTCCAATATTGTGAGTCATAATCAAACAGAAGACCCAAATAACCAAAAATCAAGAAAAACCGCAGGCGGTTAAAAGAGACCTACAGTAATTCAGATAGTGAAATTATATAATAGAGATCAGTAGTAACATGTTTAAGAGGATAAAGGAAAAACATGGAGAACTGTACCAGAAATATGGAATGTAGTATTTAAAAGTCAAATAAAAATCCTGGAACTGAAAAGTACATTAAGATTCCAAAATATGAGGTTTTCTTTGTTTTGTTTTGAGAAAGGGTCTCCCTCTGTCATCCAGGCTGGAGTGCAGTGGCACGATCTCGACTTCCTGCAATCTCTACCTCCTGTGCTCAAGTGATCCTCCTGCCTCAACCTCCCAAGTAGCTGGGACTGCAGGCATGAACCACCACACCTGGCTAATTTTTACATTTTTTGTAGAGACGGGATTTCACCATGTTGGCCAGGCTGATCTTGGACTGAAATGATCTTTCCACCTTGGCCTCCCAAAGTGCTGAAATTACAGGTGTGAACTACCACTCCCGTCCCCAAAAGATGAGTTTTTAAAGCAGATTCAAAATAGTAGAACAGTATATTAATAAACTTGTTAAATATTCAGATTGAAGTACACAGAGAAAAAAGGGTGGAAAACAAAATGCTGAAAAAGTAGAAAAGACATGAACAGAGTCAAAAGGTCTAACAGCCAAAAAGTCATAAATGAGAGTTAAATGGAATTATCTTGCTAGAAGATTTTTATATTGTTCATGAGGTAGTAAAATACTAATTCAAGGTAGATTGTAGTAAGTTAATTTGGACCAGGCGAGGTGGCTCATGCCTGTAATCCCCGCACTTTTGGAGGCTGAGGCAGGCAGATCACTTGAGGTCAGGAGTTCAGGACCAGCCTGGCCAACATGGTGAAACCCTGTCTCTACTAAAAATACAATAAAATTAGCCAGGTGTGGTGGCACACGCCTGTAATCCCAGCCACTCAGGAGACTGGGGTGGGAGGATCACCTGAGCCCAAGAGGCAGAGGTTGCTGTGAGCGAGATCATGCCACTGCACTCCAGCCTGGGTGACAGAGCGAGACTCTGTCTCAAAAAAAAAAAGTTAATTTGGAACAAGGATTGGGGAATAGTAAGATTAATGATTCAAGGTAATGTAATAAGTTAGGGAGGGATATTATAATCTCTAAGGTAATTACTAAAAGAATATAGGATTTAAAAAGTAAGAAGCTAATAGTGGAGGAAAAAATTGATAATAAAAAATATTAGATTGCTTAATATCACCAACCATCAGTGAAATACAGATCAAAGCCACAATAAAATATTAATTACCTCACACCTGTTAGGTGGCTATTATTCTTTAAAAGGATAACAGATGTTGGCAAGGCTGTAGAGAAATTGGAGCCCTTGTGCACTGTTGGTGGGAATGCCAAATGATGCAGCTGCTATGCAAAACAATTCTGGTCATTTGGGAAAATGAAAAATCTGGGATTGCTACCTTTAAGATTTATAAATCTGGCACATTGGGGGTCACCATGTGGAGAGAGTTGTTAGTGAGTGAAGCCATTCAGAAAAGCAGAGCTAATGGATGGAAAGAAAGTCTGAATTCTAATACCATCATTTGAACCCCTAGATCCACCCATGCTTGAAGTCCTTCAATTTTCAGTTATACAAGCAGATACATTCCCTTCTTGGCTTAAAGCAGTTTGAAGGAGGTTTCTTTCATTTGCTATCTCAGAGTCCTGACAGGTATACCCAATATGTACTGAATATTTAACAATTGCTTAGATGTAACATAGATCATCAGCAATAATATAAAACAAGTTAATTCACAGACATGAGCATTTGTTGAATCTTACCAAAGATTCTTTTTTTTTTTTTTTTTTTTTTGAGATAGAGTCTCACTCTGTCACCCAGGCTGGAGGGCAGTGGCACGATCTCAGCTCACTGCAATCTCCACCTCCCGGGTTCAAGCAATTCTCCTGTCTCAGCCTCCCGAGTAGCTGGAACTACAGGTGCACGCCACCACACCTGGCTAATTTTTGTATTTTTAGTAGAGATGGGGTTTCACCATATTGGTCAGGCTGGTCTTGAATTCCTGACCTCAGGTGATCCACCCGGCTTGGCCATCCAAAGTGCTGGGATTACAGGCGTGAGCCACCACACCCGGCCTTATCAAACATTCTTTGCCCAGGAATGTCAGTTAAATTCAGGTCTGAGATTACTTCATCAATGGAAGAGAAAAGCACCAGAGGTAGTTAAACTCTCTAAATATTCTGATATTGAGTAAGGTGGCAGTAATTCAATTAGATCTGATGAATGCACTGGAAATTTGAAATGCAGTATTTCCTCCTGGTTGGGAAGTTATACTAGTATTAATTCTCTGCCCCTACCTTACACCCTCTTTCTGCACAATCAGACACACACACACACACACACAAACACACACACACACACACTTTCTTCCAACTCAAAATCACTGGCCAGTGATCACATAGGTTACTCACTATGTTTGTTTTGAAAGAGATATTTTTTGGCAAAGATAAAACACAGGCATTCTTATACAAATATGTTTAACTGACTAATATTAGGTGAGTGCTCTAAAGAAATTAACATTTTACATAAAGACACATATACATCTAACATATTGATTTCATGCTACTAGAATCATCTTTGGCAAACGGAAAATTGGGGGGTTTTTGGTGGGAAAGGTGTTTGTAAAAATGTTCTGAAAATCCTAATGACAATTAGAATCAAAACACTGGATGGCTTCTAAAATATTATTTCCCGAAATAATTACTTTAATATTTTCTTTCTTTTACTTTAATATTTTCTAAAGTATTAATACTTCCACAAGAAAATTTTAATTACTTATTAGGTATAATGATAATCTCAATTTTTGTAACTCTATTTCCAAAAGAACACAATTCAATCACCTATTTTCAACAGCCAACTTTTCTAAAAAGTCACATTAAGCAATGCCATTTTCCTATGAATTTTTTATTTCTGTGTAATAAAATATGTCCATTTGAAAACATTTACTCATGTGTAACCCATATAATTAAAGTTTAGAGTCCATCAGGTTTTTTAAAGTAAGTTTTTTATGTTTAGTCAAAATGTGTTAATTTCCTTTAAATTATTATACAAAATGGGTCAAGTTGAAAGTAAGACAAATTAATGTAAACTTTTTTCAAGAACTAGTGGGATTAATAACCTTGTAACTATTCTAATACACATCAAACTATACCGATATTGTGAAACTAAGTAGATCTATGTACTTGAATTATGCCGAAAAGCGGTATTACTAAAAAGTATTTACTGAGCTTTTTGAACGTCCATGGATTTGAATTACATTCATTTTTAGCAGTTAATAAAACATAGTACTTAATGAGAACATGTTGAAATCAGAAAATCCTAGTAAAATGTCAACCAGAAACATATGGGACCATATAGTTTTAAATAAAATTTAGCATAACCTTGCAGATTATAAATGTAGCACTGGGATATTAAAATGCATATAAGAACAGAAATAAAAACAATACCCTTTTTAGTTGCTGTTCTTTTAAGCTTCTCACTGTCCTTGCAGGCTCAGAAATGAAGTTTTTATAGTTTTCACATATATTCATCCGAGACTGGGCTACCTGCATTGTTCCCTCGAGAAAAGATTTCCAAACGGGATACATGCTCCTAAATTCAAAGAGGGATAGAAAAGCATTAGGCAGGGAACAGGAAGAAAAAGTTGGCTAACCTTTTGCTCACAGGGCAGCACTGACAGAATAAATGAATGTCTTCTTTAATGTATTTATAATGGCTTATAGGCAATATGTCAGCACACATAACAAGCAACATGGCATATACTCTATTCTTCTTATAGCTCAGCAATAGGGAGTTCTGATTCATTAGTTATTCTTAATAATGGAGTAAAGTGCTACAAGAATTACAAAGCTAACACTATAAAAATTAGTGAATATTTCAGACTCTCCAAGTCTTTTGCTGTCACAGGGCCATAATTATGAATATCAAGTTTTATTACTTCATTAAGTTATTTTCCTAATTTTAGTAATAAGGTAACTGAGGCCCAGAGAGATTTTAGAGTATCACTTTAGGTCATATAAGAAGAAGGTGGCACTACTGAGATACAAGACGAAGATTGGGTACCTGTATATATAGTACATTGTCTTTCAACGACATCATTTTACTCTTATATAAACTGACGCGGCTGGAAAAATATATCATGAACAACTGTTGATGTGCTTGCAAAGTCTATTTTGTCTGACAAAAGAAATCTATAATAGTGTGGCTCTACATCTGTCTCCCTGTTACAACAATGCTTAGCATCACACTGTGCTTTGGATTCATTCCAAGCAAGTGCCATCACCTTTGCTTGATAAATGTGCTCAGCAATCTCAGTCAAGTCAAAGAATTATTAATCCTTTGCTTTTTCTAGCCAACTTCCTCTTCAACCTTCTTTCCTACTTGCTAAATGCCTTAGTCAATTCTAGCATGCTCCTACACTATTTATAAACACAATCGATAATTTATAACAATGGCAATGCTTTATTTTTTAAAATGAGTCCTTAAAGTGAAATTCTGATAGATTATAATATTCATCTCCTGAGATTTCCCTTTTGTGGGAAATCCATATCGATTTTCAACCACAGCAACATGTGGGACTAAATGCTATACAGAATGCTCACTGTGGTCAACAGATGACAGTGTAGAAGCAAGAAAAAGAAAAATTGCCTGGGTCCCTATCTTAGTTAGAAGTAAAGGAAAAAACTTGATAAACTATGGTTTTCAACCATGGAGTCTTACAAATTTGTTCATGTAATATACCAGATGAATCGGTTTAGATGGAAATAGTCATTATTTAGGCAGAGGTGTATCACTATTCCTTTGGAAAGATTCAATGTGTTGCACCAGCAAAAACTGTCAGCATAAAAGCACTGATGAAGTTAAGAGCAGCAAAACGAATGCTCTCCATGGCCTCACTGCATGACAACCAATGGAACTTGCAATGTAAACTCACCACAGGCTCTCCCTCCTAAGCAGTCCCAACAATTGATTTTCTTGAAGAATGTACTGAGAGAAAAATTCAGTACTATGATTTGTAACTATTAATTTATACTTAAAATACATTTTAAAATAATAAAAAAAATGAAAAAGAACCATTATAAATTGTGATAGGAAGAAAGAGAGGAAGGGAGATACCCTTCATCCATGTTCTTCTCTCAGTGTAACACCCTCTTCTCTTTATCCCTTCTCCTAGTTAATAGCTGTTTGCCCTTCCAGTCTCAGTTTAAATGTAACTTCCTTTGGGAAGTCTTTCACCGTCACCACCAAGCCAACCCCCAAACTCAATCAAGTTATTCTTTGTTAGTTGTTCTTGGTTCCAGCACTTTTCTTTTAATTATAAATATTTTAATGTAATTGTTTATTAACATCTGTCCCTCTCACTATAGTGAAAGCTCCATGAAGGCAGGGGTGTATGTCTTGCTATTGCAAGGACCTAGCAAATAAAGAATGGTTACAATAATATATGTTGAAGGAGTAAATAAATGAATGGATGAATGTATTAACTATGAAGACTGTACAATAAAAAGACAAATCCTTTCATTAAAAAGATAGTTTAAAAAGAGACCTTTAGAGTTTAGCAGATTTATAGCAGGGAAACATATCCTGAACACTGATATACCATGAAAAGCACAGAATTCAGTCACCAGTCAGAAGACCTAAGTTCAAGTTCTAGTTTTAACAAAATAATCATAAGTAGCACACTTCACTATACTTTCATTTCCTCAACTGGCAAATGGAGAAATAACAAAAATACCTGCACCACTTACCTCACAGGGCTATTTTAAAAATTAAATGCAAATGATATGAAAATTCATGATACACAGATTCTTTTAAATGAATACATAGTAACAGCAGCAGAATTGTAACAAATAGAAGCACTTCTTGTTAACATAATAGTGGTACTCCCAATGGTAGTGGTGTTTTTCATTCCAATTAAGGAAAAATAATCATAGGTCATAGAGTGATTTTTTTTTTTTTTTTGAGACGGAGTCTTGCTCTGTCGCCCAGGCTGGAGTGCAGTGGCGGGATCTCGGCTCACTGCAAGCTCCACCTCCCGGGTTCACGCCATTCTCCTGCCTCAGCCTCCCAAGTAGCTGGGACTACAGGCGCCCGCCACTACGCCCGGCTAATTTTTTGTATTTTTAGTAGAGACGGGGTTTCACCGTTTTAGCCGGGATGGTCTCGATCTCCTGACCTCGTGATCCGCCCGCCTCGGCCTCCCAAAGTGCTGGGATTACAGGCGTAAAAATTTTATTTCACCAGGTTTCATATGAAGCAATTGTGAAGGATAAGAAAAGTATCAGCCAGCGTGGTGGCTCAAGCCTGTAATCCCAGCACTCTGGGAGGCCAAGGTGGGCAGACTGCCTGAGGTCAGGAGTTCGTGACCAGCCTGGCCAACACGGTGAAATCCCGTCTCTACTGAAAATACAAAAATTAGCCAGGCGTTGTGGCTGGCACCTGTAACCCCACCAGCTACTCAGGAGACTGAGGCAGGAGACTCGCTTGAACTGGAAGGCGGAGGTTGCAGTGAGCCGAGATAGTGCCACTGCACTCCGGCCTGGGCAAGAGAGTAAGACTCCAACTCCAAAAAAAAAAAAAAAAAAAAAAAAAAAGGATATCAAGCATATACGGTACTTTGCCATTCTACATATCACATGGTAAGTACTACGTTATGTATTTTACATTTATCATATCATTTAATCCTCATCGTAATTCTGTAAGATAGGTATTATTCCCATTTTACAGAGGAGAAAATTGAGGCTCAGAAGGTTGTGAAATTTTTCTAAGGCTACTCACCAGGAAATAGCACCTCCATGGTCATAACCTAGATTCTGCCATTACTAATAACTACTGCTTTGCTCCCATCCCAAGTTCAATCTTCTGATTTCTGACTAACACCTCCTGATTCTACTCAAACCCTTTAGAATTCTGACTCTAACAGTTACTCAGTCCTATAAGAACCCACAATCCATTTGGTCCTACCCCCTTTCCATTGTCTCTTGCCCCTCTCATAATCTCCCTTTTCAGTTCATTACCCAGCTTAGGTTTCATGGTCTATCCTTATAATCACTCCCTTATGTATGCCCTTTTTACCCTTGCCTCTTTCTCTTTCCACCTTTATAACCTACAAGCTCCTACCTTGGTTAAATCTAAAACTGTTTACATCACATCAAAGTATATGGCAGAATGTGGCTGGAGAAAAAGATAATTACGTTGCCTGGTAGCATTTTAAATTGATGTCAAATAAATGCTAGTAACCCCTTAGTGCTACCCAGCAAGGGTACTACATTTCCTTAATCCATTCTTCACCCACCCTTCTACACAATTATTTCCCAAGTTCTCTCTTCTCAAACCTCTAATACGACCACACTTTCAGCCAACAGTGGCACTATCAGAAGGCAATGTCCACATGTTCCCACCACATTTGCCAAACTCCTTGTCTCTGCACCCATACATTATGCCAATCCTCCTATTACTTGCACGAACTACCTGTGCTCTGAAGGCCAACTCCTCACATTTACACTATGTTACACAACCTCTCACTCAAGAATATCAATTCAAAAATCTACAATGTCAGTTTTTCCATCTCTACTGGAGCATTCTTATGAGCAAACATGCTATAATATCTCCATTTGAAAAATCTCCATCAAACCTCCATTTCTCACCAGCTGCCACCCTAATGTCTGCTCTCTTTTATAGAAAAACTCCTTGAAAGAATTGTCTAAAATTACTGTTTCTACTTTCTCTCATCTGGGTCTCTCAATTCTATCCAAATCAGACTTTAGTGTCTACCACTCTTCTGAAATTGCTTGCCAAAGTCATCAAAGATCTTCCTATGGCTAGTCCAAATAGTTCAAGTCTTGATTCTATTACTCGACCTATCAGCAACACTGACCTAGTTTATCCTTCTTGAAATGTTTTCTTCACTTGGCTTCCAGGACATCACTCTCCCTTGGTCTACTCCCACCTCACCAGCCATTCTTTAGTCTCCTTTGCCGGTTCCGCTTCATCTCACTGTCCCATAAATACTGGAGTGCCCTCAAGTCAGACCCCAGGCTTCTTCTCTTCTCTAACTACATTCACTCTGTTGAAAATTGTTTTTAAATTTTTATTTTATTTTTATTATTTCTTTTTTGAGATAAGGTCTTGCTCTGCCACTCAGGTGGTAGTGCAGTGGCACAGTCATAGCTGACTGTAGCCTCAAACGCCTGGGCTCAAGCAATCCTCCTACCTCAGCCTCCAAAGTGCTAGAATTTCAGGTGTGAGCCACTGCACCAGGCCTACATTCACTCTTTAGATGATCTCATTCTACAGATGGTTTTAAAGCCATCCGGTCTCATGGCTTTAAAGAGTATCAATATCCTGACTATTCCTAAACTTTTTTTTTTTTTTTTTTTTTAAAGAGGCAGGGTCTTGTTCTGTTGCTCAGGCTGGAGTGCATGGCATGATCACAGCTTACTACAGCCTCGAACCCCTGGACTCAAGTGGTCCTCCCGCCTCAGCCTCCCAAGTAACTGGGCCTACAGGCATGAGCCACTGCATGTGGCTATTTTTTTTTTTAAATAAAAATAGTATCTCACTTTGTTGCTTAATCTGCATCTTGAACTCCTGGCTTTGAGCCATCCTCCTGCCTTAGCCTCCTAAAGTTCTGGGATTACATACATGAACCACTACTCTCAGCCCAATTCCTGAATTTTTAATTCCTGCCCAGACACCTTCCCTAAACCCTAACTGCCTGTTCAACATATCCAACTTGGATATTTAGTAGGCACCTTTACACCTAACATGTACAAAACTAAATTCTTGATTTCCCTAAAATCTGTTCTGGCAATCTATCTATTCCATCTCACTGACAGCAACTCAAACCTTCTAGTAGTTGGCTCAAACCCAAAGCCCTGGAATCATCATTGATTCCTCATTTGTCTATCATATCTGCTCCATCAAGAAATCCTGTTTGCTAGACTTAAAAAATACCATGGAATTTAATTACTGCCAGTCTCCTCCACTGTGACTACCCCGCTTTGAGCCACCCTCACCTTATGCCTAGATTACTGCAACAGTCTCCTACCTGCCCTCTCTGCTTCTGCCTTGTCCCCCAACACCTGTGCTCTGCACATTACAGCAATTGCTGCGCAATCACTTCTTGGCCCTCTGTATTCTCCCTACTATGCTTACTGCTCTTACCGCCAATTGGCATATATGTTTAATTATTCACTTGTTTACTGTTTGTCTTCCCTCATTAGAATGTAGGCTCCATGCAGCAGAAGCTCTGTTTCATTCACTGTTGTATGTTCGGCACAGGGTATGGCATAGCAGGCACTCAATACATATTTACTGGAGGAGGAGAGGAAGGAATGATGGAGCCTAGATTTGAAACCAAATGTGTCTGGCTCCCAAACCTCTGTCTTTTGCTGACACAAGATTGTTCTTAGTCTCAGTAACAATGCTGAACATTAAAAAGGGCCTCTTCATTCTGATATAGTTTATACCAAGACTTATGTATCCTAAGTCCTTTGTACACATCATCTACTATTTTTGTCTCCTATCTTCTGTACCATTATTTTCTTATCATTTTTGTTAAAAGGACTAACCTTTTAAACTAAAATATATGTATCTTACGATTTTATATCACTATTCTAACTGAAAAATACTTGCCATAATAATTAGGTTATAACTAGTAAAATACAAAACCATTCATCCATATACCACCTAAGTTCATGCTGTGAACGATTTCTTTTATGAATATCATATAAGATATCTAGGAAAACCTAGAAAACTTTACCAGAAGAAATTTCTCATTAAGAAATAAATCAAGGCTGGGCACAGTGGCTCACGCATGTAATCCCAGCATTTTGGGAGGCTGAGGCAGAAGGATTGCTTGAGGCCAGGAGTTTGAGATCAGCCTGGGCAATATAACAAAACCTCATCTCTACAAAAAAAATTTTAAAATTAGCCAAGCATGGTGGTAGTGGTGGCTATGCAGGAGGTGATGTGGAAGGATCACTTGGATCCAAGAGTTTGAGGCTACAGTGAGCCACTTCACTCCAGCTTGGGTGCAAAAGTGAGACCCTGTTTTGAAAGAAAGGAAAGAAGAAAGAAAAAAGGGGGGAAAAAGAGAAAGGAAAAGAAAAGAAAGAAATCAAGAAATTCTTAACAAGATCTTAAGTGTGGAAGAGGTCACACAAAGCTACAAATGTGGTAAAACTGCACAGAACTCAATATGCACACACATACACACAAATGAATGTGTATAAAACTAACGAATTCTGAATTAAGTTGGATGACTGTATCAGTATCAATTTCTTGGTTGTGATATTGTACTACAGTTATGCAAGATATTACCACTGGGAGAACTGGGTGGGGAATGTAAGAGCACTCTTTGTATTTATTATTTCTGACGACTATGTGTGGCTACAATTATCTCAAAGTAAAAAGTGTTTAAGATATAACAAACAAAACCACAGGTCTTCCCTAGGCTTAGAAATACACCTTTCTACTGGCATCACATCTCAAGACAACTCAGGACAATGTGATTAAGGGCTGGCTGCAGTGCCTCACGCCTGTAGCACTTTGAGAGGCTGAGGCAGGCAGATCACTTGAGGCCAGGAGTTTGCGACCAGCCTGGCCAACATAGTAAAACCCCATCTCTACTAAAAATACAAAAATTAGCAGGGCATGGTGATGCACACCTGTAATCCCAGCTACTCAGGAGGCTGAGGCACAAGAATTGCTTGAACCCAGGAGGCAGACATTGCAGTGGGCCAAGACTGTACCACTGCACTCCAGCCTGGGCGACAGACCGAGACTGTCTCAAAACAAAGAAAAGAAAATGTGATTAAGTTCATAACCTAAGAATAATTTATATAATAACTAGTAACAAGAAGAATGGTGTTTTAATAAATGTTCATACATGGTTGTTATTGGTAGTAGAAAGGGAGAATATCCTAAGCCTGGGTAACAGAAATAAAGACAAGGAAAAAGACTGCTTTCAGTCCAGTGGAGGTGTTGATAAGAACTGAAACACAACTGCAACTGAGGTGCCCAAAGGTTGGAAAACCAAGGATGAAAGCAGAAATGGCCAGAGGTAAGTAGAGAGATAATTTGGTGCCAGGTTTCTTCATGGTTTTGAATATCATGAAAAGAAATTTAAATTTATCCCATCGGCAAGGAAAAACAATAGAAGATTTTCAAGCAGGGGAGTGACAGTAGGCCTGTTTTACAAAGATATAAAGATATAGTTTGTGTCATTATAGCAGATGGAATTGTGAAAGAAATCACATGCAAACAAGCAGCTACTTAACATTTCAGATATGAAGAGATCTACAAAGAAGGTAAAATTAGAGGCAGCTTTTTGTTTCCCAAGTTGAAAAGTTAATAAAAATATATTATTATTACCAGTTCATAGTCAAGATTTAAAGACAAGAATATAAATAAGCTTACTTAAAAGTCATTAGAGAGCTGAGGGATTTTTGAGAAGCATTTACATAGAAAGGAATGAAAACCTGTTCTCAAATTTAAAAAAAAAAAAGGTCCAAGAGAAAGTAGTGTTACAAAAGTCTAATGCAAATTGAGGTTTTAATGACATTAAATGCTGCATGTATCATCAGATAGGCAAACAATTTAAAAGACTGATTACATGCACTGTTGGTAAAAAATAAAAACAAAGGGACAATTTAAAATCATACTACAGGCTGGGTGTGGTGGCTCACGCCTGTAATCCCAGCAGTTTGGGAGGCTGAGGTGGGCTGATCACTTGAGATCAAAGAGTTTGAGACCAGCCTGGCCAACATGGTGAAACTCCATCTCTACTAAAAATACAAAAATTAGCCAGGTGTGGTGGCGTACACCTGTAATCCCAGTTGCTCGGGAGGCTGAGGCATGAGAATCACTTGAACCTGGGAGGTGGAGGTTGCAGTGAGCCAAGATCATGCCACCACACTCCAGCCTGGGTGATGGAGTGAGAAGTGTCTCAAAAAACAAAGTCATACTAGAAAAAATTAAATATATTTATACAGTTTATGGGGAACAACTTCCAATATTAATATTTTAGGGCCAGTCTAGTAGTGATGAATTCCCTAACCTTTTGCTTGTCTGGGAAAGAATTTACTTCTCCTTCATTTATGAAGGATAATTTTGCTGAATACAGTACCCTTGGTTGGTAGTTTTTTTTTTCTTTCAGTACTTTGAATATATCATACCATTCTCTCTTGGCCTGTAAAGGTTTCTGCTGAGAAATCTGCTAGTAGTCTCATAGCAGTTCCTTGACAGGTTACTGCATGCTTTTTTTCTTGCTGTTTTTTGAATTCTCTCTTTGTCTTTGATGTTAGATAGTTTGACTATAATGTACCATGGAGAATGCCTTTTTGCATTTCATCTGCCTGGGGGGGTCTCAGAGCCTCCAGTATCTGGATGTCTAAATCTCGTTAGACTTGGGAAGTTTTTGTCTATTATTTCATCAAATAGATTTTTCTAACCTTCCCTTCCCTCTTTGCCATCTGGGAAACCAATAATATGTGTATTTGGTCACTTTATGTTGTCCCATATATCACAAAGGCTTTGTTAATTCTTTCTTATTTTTCTTCTTTTTGACTGCTTGGGTTATTTCATAGGACCTGTCTTCAAGTTTTGAGATCTTCTCTTTTGCTTGATCTAGTCTATTGTTGAAGCTTTCAAATGTATTTTGTATTTCATTCAATGAATTCTTCCATTACAGAATTTCTGTTTGGTTCTTTTTTATATCTCTCTTTGGTAAATTTCTCATTCATATCCTGAATTGTTTTTCTGATTTCTCTGTACTGTTTTTCAGAATTTTCTTGTATCTCATTGAGCTTCTTTAATATCAACATTTTGAATTCTTTTTCCAGGATTTTGTAAATTTGTTTTTTATTGGGATCTGTTACTAGAGAATTATGTTATTCCTTTGGAGTTATATTTCCTTGCTTTTTCATGTTTCCTACATTGATAACTGCACATCTGATGTGATAGTCACTTCTTCCAGTTTTTTGAATTTGCTTCTGTAGGGAATGTTTTCCTGAAGATAGATCTATGGTGTTGTTTGGTAGGGCCCTTTGGCCTTGATTCTGGGTGCTTGCAGTGGTACGGTATCTGTACGATTTCTTTGGCTATGAACAGTGTCAGTGGTGTTTGTAATTTATTCAGTGGTTTCAGGTGCAGTTATTAGTGGGGCCTGTGGTAAAGTTTTGCTGAGGACTGGGGCACCAGGTAGGCCAGTCTTTGAGCCCCAGTAGAGGCAGTGGTGAGTTGGCACTAGTAGTCCAGGTGGGCCAATTCTTGGCCTTCAGGTGGCTTACTCAGATGCTGGTAGTGGCAGCAGTGAGCTGGGTGGGTGGGCAGATTCTTGGGCCTCTGGGCAGCTGGCATAAAACAGCAGTGGCAGTGATGGGATAATCTTCTGGGTCTTGAGCAGTGTATGCTGGTGTTGGTGGTGGCTGTGAGGGGGTGGGCAGCTCAGTCTCCAAGCCTGCAGGTGCCATGTGCAGGTAGGTGTCAGCTGTGATTGTAGTGGCAGGGGTGGGTAGAACCAACCTCAGGCCCCCTAGAGGAGTATTCAGGTGCCAATGGTGGTAGAATGTGCTGGGCAATCTCCTGGACCCTAGCCTGTGTGCTCTGGCATGGAGTAGGGATATGAAGTCAGGCTGGGGTGGCTTGCCCTCAGGCTCTCAACAATATGTGCAGGTGCCAGCCATGGTAGGCAGGGGCAGGCTGATCCCTAGGCCACTGGCAGAATGCTCAGGTGGGAGGCAGTAGTGGCTGCACTGCTGCCCTGCCACTGGAAAAGGGAGGGCTACCTTCTGAGCTGGAAGCCTAGGCTAGCAGGTGGGGAACATGTGCACCACCTAGGCTAGCAGGTGGGGAATACTTGCCCCAGCACCACTCGCTCCCCAGCAGCACTTACACTGCTAACCTAACAGTGTTAACCCACAGCTTGGCCCCAAGGGCAGCAGCTCACACTTCTCTTGTGGTTTAGCCCTAGTGATGCTGGACCCCAGGACAGTGCACAGTCTGTTGGGGGCAGGGCTCTAAAATAGTGCCTTGCTGCAGTTGCTTAGTTCTCAGAGCGTGTGTGGGACCCAGCATGAGCTCCCTTCTTGGTGTAGTGCCATCACACAATCTCCTGGCAGCTCCCTATCTTAGTTTCAAGGCCCAGGAAGGTTGAAGGGCTCTTCCATGGCCAGCACTACAGAAGTCTACAGTGGGAATGTGGACCAATGGGGGTCTCTCTTGGCTCCTGACTAATCCCACCTGAACAGGCTACCTTGTTTCCCTTTCCTTTTTAACTTTAGGTATTTCCTGTCACTTTTCTGTTGAATTCCAGTGTTCTCTTGGATGATCTAGTCAACATGTGATTATTCACTCACTAGTTTGGTTCTTCTTAGTGGAGGAGGTACGAAGTGCCCCTAGTCAGCCACCTTGAAGACCCTCCCTCCAATATCAACATTTTAAATATATAAACCCTTTGATCCAGCATTTCTCCCTCTAAGAATTTACCCTACAGATACACTTTCAGTGTACAAAAATATACTTATGTTCATACAGAACTTATTCACTGCATTATTTGAAATACTAATAAACTAAATAACTACAAATAGGGATGTGGATAACAAAAGTATAGTTCATCAATACTATGGCACTAAAGCAGGCATTAAAAAGAATGAGGGACCAGAACATACTGACATGAAGGGATTTCTAAAATAGACTCCTTAAGTGTGTGGGCGGGGAGCAAGGGTGTTACAGACTGCATGTATATAATAATTGCAGTTCTGTTAGAAACAACAAAACTATGTATGCCCATGTGTGAATCACACAGAAAAAAATGTGAAA
Organism: Homo sapiens; assembly: GCF_000001405.40. NCBI lineage: Eukaryota > Metazoa > Chordata > Mammalia > Primates > Hominidae > Homo > Homo sapiens. The sequence continues at coordinate 73,012,367 of NC_000011.10, forward strand.
GAAAAGACCACACACTTGTAATAGCAATTACCCTAGGGGAGCAGAAATGTGAATGGAAGATGCTTGGGAAATGATATTCTTTATACTCCTGTACTGTTTACCTACTTGATAAAAAACATGTATTACTTGGATAAGAATTTAAAACTACCAATGCAAATATAAATACGAAAAAGTTAAATGGAAAATTTTAAATAACAAAACTAAAATAAGCTCCAAATAAACAAAAACACTGGCAATTGTTCTCAGCCTCAATCCTGATCTTTCTATTGTCTTTTTCACAATAGCACCACCATCCTCTCAGTTGCCTAAATGAAAACACCTGGGAGTCATTGTATAATTCTTCATCTCTCTCCCCCTGCTTCATTCATTCAGTCAGTAAATATTTATCAAGTGCTTTCAATGTTGCAAGAGCTATTTTAAATATGAAGAAAACTGTTTATATATGTAATTTGTCTCAGAACAAATTTGACAAACACAAAAAACAAAACTCTGCCAAATCATTTGCAAGTCCTCTGGCTTAAGTCTTCTAAATATCTCTGAAATCTTCCCTACAACTTGATTTCTGCTACAATTTCCTTGGTTCAAATATGAGATGATGAGGAATTAAATTCCTGCCATTCTATCCTTTCTGAAGTCTTCCTCACACCCCTCGAATCCACCTTTACACTATCATTAAAGTAAAGATGATAATATGATTCCTCTCATGGAAACATTTCAACACCTCCATTACGTTCTGAATAAAAAAGCAAACTCTATACTGTGATATGTAAAGTCCTTTTATGATGCCTACCTATGATGTATCCTTAATCTCCACCACTCCAGTTAACCTCTAACCCACATACTTCACAGCAACCCTACTGAACTGTTACCTAACAGTCACATTTTCTCATGCTCCATGCCTGGAAGGGGTTATTTTCACTTAGAATTTCTTTTACCAAACTGTCTGCCTGGAAAACTCCTGCACATTCTTTAAGACCTGGCTCTACAAGCCCAGGTTTTCTTCTATGGCTCCAGTGCCCCTCTCCTACTACCCAATTCTGCAACTATTTATAGTGGCTATCTCCTGTATGCTTACAAAGGACAGACAACATATCTTCTAGCCTCTCTAATCCTAAGGTCTACTTTAACCGCTGACATGTAGTAGGTATTTCATATGTATCCTATGAATAAGAAAGAAAGAATAAATGTGTGTTTAAATAGCTATCTGACCTTGAGTAAGACATATAACCTGAGACCTGGTTTCCTATAGTATAAAATGAGAATTATTATATCTACCTCACAGAGCTGTTCTGATAATCATGGGAAATGAGTTCTTAGCACAGTGTCTGCCACATAGTAAATATTTTGTATATCTTGGCTTGCAATACTTTTTTAAATTAGGGTTTATAAGCTAGCCTAGGAGCATAGCTTTTTAATCCTTATTTCTTTGGTAACCTGAATCCTGAATTTTAAATAAACTTGGAATATAACTCCTGGCCTCAAGCAATCCTCCCATCTTAGCCTCCTAAAGCACTGGGATTGCAGGCATGAGCCACCATGCCCAGCCTAACTATCTATAAGTTGGATCCTTCTTTACTGCAAGCAATCTTCTTCTTAGGCTGATTTCCTTATACCAGCAACACTGAACATCCCATGCTCACTGTCACCTCAAGGTTTTGTTCTACTTGCCTCTCTTGCCTAGAATTTCATCTCTCCTCTCTTCCTCCTTAGCTGAATTTTGCAGATACAGAAAATCCTTAAGAAAATCTGTGTGGTTTCTTTTTTTTTTTTTTTTTTTTTTTGGGAGACAGAGTCTCACTCTGTCACCCAGGCTGGAGGGTAGTGGTGCATTCATAGCTCACTGCAGCCTTCAACTCCTGGGCTCAAGCGATCGTCCTGCCTTAGCCTCCTGAGTAGCTGGGACTACATGCACGTACCACCACACCCAGCTAATGTATTTTTTTGTAGAGATGGAGTATCACTATACTGCCCAGTCTAGTCTTGAACTACTTGCCTCAAGTGATCCTTCCACCTCGGCCTCCCAAAGTGCTAGGATTACAGGCATGAAGAAAATCTATTAATATTTTTATTTCCTGTTTTGCTTTAATATGCTCTATTGCAATCATACTGTTCTATTATTTATTGCTCTCAAGACACCTTCCATGATATCAGTAGGCCACTGTGAAGAATTATTAGGGCTTCTTATCATATATCCTTCAGTTTTCTAGCTTCATTGCCACATTCTTAAGAAATCATCTGATGTCAATCATCACTGACAATTCAACAGCTTGATTTCGTATTCAGACTCTAAACCATGCGCTTCAATACTAAGTTCTCAATTACCCTGGATTCTCTGCTATTGTTTGAAGGGTATTTGGTCATAATCCTAACCAGACTGCAAGCTCTGAGGTCACTGACTTCTGGGTCCTTCAACACAAAGGACAACTCCTGAGCGTAAAAGATAATAAATACTTCCAAATTGACCTCAAAAAAGAAATCAAATTCTTTTTTTTTTTGAGCTGGAGTCTCACTCTGTCGCCCAGGCTGGAGTGCAGTGACATGATTTCGGCTCAATGCAACCTCTGCCTCCCAGGTTCAAGCAATCCTCCTGCCTCAGCCTCCTAAGTAGCTGCGATTACAGGTGCCCGCCACCACACCTGGCTAATTTTTATATTTTTAGTAGAGACAGGGTTTCACCATGTTGGTCAGGCTGGTCTTGAACTCCTGATCTCAGGTGATCCACCTGCCTTGGCCTCCCCAAGTGCTGGGATTACAGGCGTAAGCCACTGCCCCTGGCCAAAAGAAACCAAATTCTAAACAAACATATACTTTTAAGATATCAGTAGGTCACTGAGGACACAATCTGTATTCCATTCTCATCCACCTTCATTACAATTCGTATGTGGGATATTAACTAGCCACGTCTAAATCTTTTGTTTATATTCAAAAATACAAACACATATATTTTTCTAAAATAAGTATTATGCTAAAAAGAAGCTCCTTTCCTTACAATACATTAGAAAGTTTCCCCCCTAGTCTCACAAAAACCCCATCTTTCCATATTTAGAATTTATTTCAAAAGTATCAGTGAAGATGGCAGAACATATACAATCTTGTTTCATCACCGTCACAATAATGTGTTTCATCATAGGTCACTCAGCAATTTGTGTTCCATTGTCACCTGCCTTCTTTAAGTTTCAATTGGGGGTATAATTAATTATATAAAATATAATCTTGGCTTATATAAGACATGAAAATGATCTATTTTATATAGATTACAATCTATTTTAGATTATTTAATGTTATAAAACATTAAAATTTTGATAATTTTGAAATTATATCCGAAAACACAGCAGAGGAAAGAAGTAATTCTTTTAAAAACTAGAGTGTTACATTATCTATATGTAACATAGCTTTAAGTAAAACCGTTTCTAAAGAAAATAGGCAAAAACTACTAATTTACCTGTAATCATTCCGATCATCAGCTTTTACTCCAGGCCAATCTCTCTTCAGGTATTGACTAGCCAACTTCTGCATACCCTGTTAAAAAATACATATTTTTTCTAAAATAAATATTATGCCATAAAGGAAGCTCTTTTCCTTAAAATACATGACTTAGAAAATCTCATTTTTCCAAATGTAAATTTAATTCAGAAGTGAAAAAAAACAATGATAGGCTGCACGTGGTGGCTTACACCTATAATCCTGGCACTTTGGGAGGCCAAGGTAGACAGATCACTTGAGGTCAGGAGTTTGAGACCAGCTTGGCCAACATGGTGAAAATCTATCTCTACCAAAAATACAAAAATTAGCCGGGTGTGGTAGCATGCGCCTGTAGTCCCAGCTACTTGGGAGGCTGAGGCAGGAGAATCACTTGAATCCAGGAGGCGGAGGCTGCAGTGAGCCGAGACTGGGCCTCAGCACTCCAGCCTGGGTGACAGAGTGAGGCTCTGTCTCAAAAAAAAAAAAAAACAAAACCCAATTAACCAACCAACCAACCAACCAAACAAACAAAAAACAATGATAAATGGTAGAACACTACAACCTTTTTTCATTATTGTCCAGTCCTCTCTTGTCTCCATTTTTAGGAAAAGGGTGAGTATAAGGATAAGAAAGTTGAAACTTCATTGATATGCCTTTCACTTTTAACTATTTGACTAGCCATAAAAACAAACCACCTCTGGCATGTCACAGGGAACACAGCTGTCCATCTCCATAGAACTCTGATCACACAGCTTTCTAAATCTCGGCAGCCAAACTCTCAAATACCAGGAAAGAGAAAAACAAATTCAATTTGAAGTAGACAGATATATACTGGCATGTAAAATTAATGAACAAATTTTGGTGCTGTTCCATATTATTAATTCTCAAGACAGATTTTAAGGGTCTTTTCTTTTTAAATGATACCATGACACAAGTCACTTCAAACAACAAAATAAACTGTTTTACAAAGAAATTTGCCCACTTACTATTATCTACACAACACAAATCTGGATAAAACAGAATGTTTATCTATAACAGGTGTCAGGGAGAGGTACAGGGATTTGAATTGAGAAGACCATTTTGTTAAGAATTGATTTTAAACTGCTCATTCCAATTATACAATGTATTATGTTTGTTTTTTTGCTTGTTTGTTTTCGTTCGTTTGTTTGTTTGAGACAAGGCCTCATTCCAATGCCCAGGCTGGAGTGCAGTGGCGCGATCATGGCTCAATGCAGCCTCAACTTCCTGGGCTCAAACAATCCTCCCAACTCAGCCTCCCAAGTACCTGGGACTACAGGCACATGCCACTGAGCCCAGCTAACTTTTTGTATTTTTAGTAGACACAGTGTTTCGCCATGTTGCCCATGGCTCAACTCCTGGGCTCAAGCAAGCCACCTCCCTTGTCCTCCCAAAGTTCTGGGATTACAAGTATGAGTCACCAAACCTGGCCAACGTATTACTTTTGGATAGGAATATATGTGGTCCCCTAACACTATAACAGGGCCTAATGTAATGGTTATAGAAATCATTAACATTGAGATACTTATTTCTATACACGTAACTAAAAAGAACACAATGCTGAAATGAAGAACAATCACATCTATTAATCAACTACCTGCTTGAGGCAAAAATTACTCAAGTAAAATCAACACTACACTCTACATGGTACCTTTCTATTAAGGTCTGCTGTCAAATTAGCTTCAATCTCAAGTTCCTCCCGAACTTGGCAACAATTTGGTTTCACTATTTCTAAGTATTGTGTATTCTGAGAACTTGTATAGAACTACATATCCGTAACAGTTCCACTTAACATATCTTGTACTTTGGGAGCTCCAAATACTAAGTCTTCCCTAAATATGTACGGTAGTTTTTCACCTCTGCACCTTGTTCATAATGCTCCCATTGCATGAAAATATCTTCTAACCACTCCTATTCCTACTTGCTAAATTCTCACCCCTCCCTTTTAATCTGATACTTAAATTTCCTAACGTAAACAATCACAAATATATATAGGAAAATGTGAAAAGCGTCATTGCCTAGGTACTTATTTTCATTTCATTAAAGTATAATAGCTATTCTTTCTATATTTATTAGCTATAATTCTATAAAGAATTATCCCTCATGAACTATCTGGTTATATTGAGATACAGTTCTTGGAGGAAAGACAGGATAAATATTTGAATGTCCAATATTTGGGTCCAAAGATGAACAATGAATTTTTAAAGTAACATTATGAACTCATGTATTTTAAATAATAGATGCATTCCAATTAATTAAAGTTGCTTTCTTCTGATGCTCAAATTGTCACATCTGTGGTCTGTCAGAGCCCCTCCAAGTTGGCTCCCATATCATGATCCCAAATAGACTCTGAATGCATCTTTGTTGTTGTTGTTGCTGTTATTGTTGTTTTACAGTTCCTGGCCCAGACTTGAAATAAGCTAGTTCTCCAAGGAATCCTGATTGTTTTCAGGGAGAAACCAGAGACCACAATCTAGGCAAGTTCTCATTCTTTGGGTCTTACTATTTGTGTCTTTTTCTAAAACGCCTTTTCTAATCACTGTATGCAAAGTATCTTCGCCTCTGGCCCTCTCACATAACTCTATTTATGCATAATCATCATACACTGTTACTGTCTGGTTTAAATATTTGTCTGTTTACTCTATAAGCTCCATCAGGTACAGATCTTGTCTTTTTTTTTTTTTTTTAATCATTATATCCCCGGCTATAGCAGATCACCTAGAATTTAGTTGATACCGATAAGATCCACTGATTGCATGGATAAATGCCACCTACATTACTCTGTTTCTAATGTATAGTGCCCATCTCCATTTATGTTTTTGCCATTCTGTGTTAGAAGTCTTTGAATAAAAACTTCTCTGGTTCCTAATTTTCATGTACTCAAATTTTTTAATAACTGTATCAGATTTCTGAGATTATGACCAGGTGGCTTTAATATAATAAATTCCTTGGTAAAATTACAGTCAAATTTGACCATCTTCACTATTTTAAGAGAAATATGTGTGGGTATTCCAAAGCAGTTTTTAAAAATAATAGAAGTTTATTCCATACCTAGAAAGCACTACACATTAATTTTTATGAGGGTTCAATTAAGTCAAGATCTCAGAATTCAAATAACTCATTATCTGTAGAGAAGAATAACAAGTATACAACATAATATGCCAGGCAACATATGGGTTACTGCCAAACAAGTGGCAAAATGTGATATAAGTACCCAAATGAGGAAAAGATCATCTGGTATTTTCTCAAATCACATCTAAATGACATGATAGTGACTTTTTCAGTTTAATCACTGTTAAAGTGTTTACAGAACACATCACACAGAACATAGAATATGAGATGAGCCTCAGTTCATGAGCAGGATTAAGACAGAAAGCAGAATGACAGCACTCTAAATTTATGTAGGAACAAATGAACTTAAGCACTTTCACATGTTTATTTCTCTTAACTCTATGTTAGGCTTTGTTATCACCACAGAGAAATTGGACATTAAAAGCATAAATACTTTACTTCAAATCATACAGTTCGTAACTAGTTAGGTGTGAGCTAGAATCCAAAGTTACCATGTCTTTGTAAAAGAAATCATTTTAGAGTGGACTTTATCTATTTTTTTAAATTATGAAATTAATTTGTTAACTTTGTGCATTATAAATTACAATAGCAATTTCTAGAGCTCTAAACCACAAAGCTAAACTGTATTAAACTGAATGAGCCCTTCAGAGATGAGATGAGGGATTCATGAAATAGACAAACAATGAGATCTTTAGATGAAAGACTTTATTCAAGTTAGTTCACAGAGGCAGGAATCATGACTTCTGTGTACTCCATGCAGCTGTTCAAGATCTAATCTGCATGGATGCTCAGACATACTCTGGGGCTATTACAGTAAAGGTCCTAAATAATATTGCACATTTCTGAAAGCATTCTATGCTTAAATTAACTGGTTTCCTCTATACTTTATATTTAAAGCTACATTTGATGAATAAAAGGTTTACTTACATAGAAAACAAAATCCAGCCTAATTAATTTGCTAAGGAAAATAAACCTATGTCTTGCAATTTTTTAAAGTTTTTAAAAAAATTTTTTTCAAATCATTCTCCAAGCCCACAGCACTACTATCTAAAATTGGTCCACTAAACATAATATTTATTTATATTTACCTAAGCATCACTGATGCATAATGCTGATTTGATTTGCAATTCAGTTCACTTTAGAGCAGTGGCTTCCATAAAGATGTACTATCAATATACTCTTTGAAACATGCAATAACATCCGATTCCAACTTTTAAAAAGCCATCAGTGTCTGATGTTAGGCTTGCTTTGTTTTACCTCTCAATAACACTTGCTGTATTGCTTTAACAAGTGAAGAAACACAAAGAGAGCCACTGTTGAGTAGACACTAGGAAATGGACTGATGGCTTAACCTTTGGCCAATTTATTACAGCAAGCTGAGTAGAAGGGTGCTCTATGGCTCTAGCACAGGTAATTCTGTATCCATTTCATCCCTCAGCATACAGAGAAACTAATATTTAAATTTTACTAAGGGTTTGCCATTAGATGGCTCTTTAAAATTTTTGGAAACCATATTCTTTATATACTATACCATTTTGTCATGAAATTCCCGGCATTATGCAAGTGATCTTTTAACAATGAACAAGTTCACTGCATAAGCTGGATATTTCTTAAACTAATGCAAATTATGCAATTATTACCTTTACTATATTCTTAAATCACTTTAAAAGTAATATAGAATTTCACTCCCATCCTAAAGGAAAGTTTTAAAATATTCTTCATTGTTCTGTGTGGTATATGATTATGTAAGATTAAAAAAACAGTATATTATTTTAAATTACATAATAAATTGTCTTTATTTACTTTTCCATAATTTCATGACGAAATGAAATATTAATCTCATATAATAATATGTTCTATATATTAAAAACTAAAGGTATCTTTTAGCCTTTTCCCATTTATAAAAATAAAGATTAATTTTATTTAAATTAAGTATATATAAGAAATAAGATCTATTGACATTTTATTTACATTGAGACAGGGCCTTGCTCTGTCACCCAGGCTGGAAGGCAGTGGCATGATCATAGCTCACTGAAGTCTTGAACTCCTGGGCTCAAGTGATCCTCCTGCCTCTCAGCCTCCAGAGTAGCTGGGACTGCAGGTGCATGCCACTGCGACCAGCTAAGTTTTAAAATTTTTTGTAGAGATGGGGTCTCGCTATGTTGCCCAGGTTGATCTGAACTCCTGGCCTCAAGTAATGCTCCCACCTCTGCCTCCCAAAGGGCTGGGATTAAAGGTGCAGGCCACTGTGTCTGGCCTATCTACTGACATTATAAATGACCCATCCTATTTGATTTAAAGATCAAACATAGAATAAAAAAAAAAAAAAACAGGCACACATACGTTCACTGCAGCCCCATTAGCAATAGCAAAGACATGGAATCGACCTAAATGGCCATCAATGGTAAAGTGGATAAAGAAAATTTGGTATGTATACACCATGGAATACTATGCAGCCATAAAAAACAATGAGATCATGTCCTTTGCAGGGGCGTGGATGGCGCTGGAGGCTATTAACCTTAGCAAACTAATGCAAGAACAGAAAACTAAATAATATATGTTCTCACTTATAAATGGGAGCTAAATGATGAGAACACATGAACACATAGAGGAGAACAACAGACACTGGGGCCTTTTGGAGGATGGAAGCTAGAAGGAAGGAGAGGATCAGGAAAAATAATTAATGGGTACTAGGCTTAATACCTGGGTAACGAAATAATCTGTACAACAAACCCCTGTGACATGAGTTTACCTATGTAACAAACCTGTACATGTTACCCAAATTTAAAATAAAACTTAAAAAAAAAGCTCATTCATGACAGAATTCTAAAAAAACTAGATGCAGAAGAATACGTCCTTAACCTAATAACGGATATATACAAAAAACTGGCTGGGCGTGGTGGCTCACACCTGTAATCCCAACACTTTGGGAGGTGGAGTCATGAGGATCACTTGAGCCCAGGCAACACAAGGAGACCCCTGTCTCTGTAAATAATAAAAAAAATTTTCCAGGCCTGGTGGTGCACACCTGTGGTCTTAGCTACTTTTGTGTATGGCAGGAGAGGGAGAGGAGAATGAGATGGGAGGATCACTTGAGCCCAGGATGTCAAGGCTGCAGTGAGCCATGACTGCACCACTGCACTCCAGTCTGGGCAACAGAGTGATTCTGTGTCTCAACAAAGAAAAAAAGCAAAAAATAAAAACCAAAACTAAACGACACACATAAAACTAAAGTTAACACCATACTTTTAATGGTGAGTGAATGCTTTTCCCTTAAGATAGAGATAAGGCAAAGATTTTCTCTGTTACACTTCTTTTCAACATTGTACTGGAAGCCCTACTTAGTACAATAAGGCAAGAAAAAGAAATAAAAGGCATACAGATAGGAAAGGAAGAAATAAAGCTATCTTTATTCATAGATGACATGATTGTCTATGTAAGAAACCCTGAAGAATCTACCAAAAAACCTCATGGAACTAATAACTGAGTTTAGCAAAGTTGCACAATACAACGTCAATATTCCAAAGTTAATTGCTCTCCTACATACATGCAATGAACAACTGGAATTTGAAATTTTATTAAATGAAGTACTTAGGTATAAATCCCACAAAATGTTTGCAGGATCTGTATGTGGAAAAGTCCATAATACTAATGAAAGAAAGAAAAGAATAAAAGAATCTAAATGGATGGAGAGACATTCCATGTTAATGACTTGGGACTTCATATTGTTAAGGTCTTATTTGTTCCCAATATGATCTATACATTCAAGGCAATCTCAATCAATAGTCCAGAAAGATAAAGGTATTAGAATAGCCAAAATTCAGAAAAATAAGAACAAAATCAGAGCACTCTCATTACCTGACTTCAAGGTATACCTTGAAGGCTGCAGGAATCAAGATAGCATGATGTTGGCAAAAGAATGGACAGATAGATCAGTGGAACAAAAGAGAGATCCCAGAAATAGACCCATACAAATATAGTAAACTGATTTTTCACAAAGGGGCAATGACAATTCAATGGAGACAGGATAGTCTCAATCAACAAGTGATGCTAGAACAATTGAATGACCATAAACAACAACAAAACAACAAAAACCCTTGACACATACCTCACGAGTTACACAAAAATTGGCTCAAAATGATTCATACACCTCAATATAAAGCATAAAACTATGAAACATTTAGAAGAACAGAGAAGAAAATCTCCTTGACCTTTGGTGAAAAGTTTTAACATATAACACCAGAACCAAGACACATGAAAGAAAAATGATAAATTGGACCTTATCAGAATTAAACTCTTTCTTCTGGAAAAGACACTACAAAGAGAATAAAAAGACAAGCTGCAGATTAGGAAAAAATACTTGCAAATCATGTATCTGATAAAGGAAGTCCAAATATATAAAGAATTCCTAAAATTCAACAGTAAGAAAAAAATCAACACATTTTTAAAATGGGCAAAGGATCTGAAAAGATACTTCATCAAAGAAGATATAAGAATGGCAAACAAGCATATGAAAAGAAGTTCAGCATCACTTGTCATTACGGAAATGCAAACTAAAATAATGTGGTACCACTACACATGTATTAGAATGCTAAATCCAAAAAATTAACAGCAAGAAATGCTAGTGAGGACGCAGAGTTACAGAGTACTCCTTCAACGGTGGTGGGAATGCAAAATAGTATGGCCACTTTGAAAGACAGTTTTGAAATTTCTTATGAACAGAGACTTCCACAATCATGTTCTAGGTATTTGGCCAACTGATTTGAAAACTTAGGTTCACAAAAAAACCTGAGCACAAATGCTTCTGGCAGCTTTATTGATAAACTTGGCAACAAAGATGTCCTTCAGTAGGTGAATGGATAAACAAACTGTGGTACATAATTATAATGGAATAGTACTTAGCAATTAAAAGAAACAAACTATTAATTCACATAACTTGGATGAATCTTAAAATGCATTTTGTTAAGTCAAAGAAGCCAAATTAAAAAGGTTACACACTGTATTATTCCATTCATATGACATTCTGGGAAAGACCAATTGATAGAGAAAACAGATCAGTGATTTTGAGGGGTTTGGGGAGAAGGAAGTGTTTGCTAGGGGAAGAATTTTAAGGGTGGTGAACTAATATACATAGTATTGTAGTAGTGGATCTGCAACACTATACATTTGTCAAAACCCAAAGAACTTTGACAATACCCACAGAACTTTGACAAGAGACAAAGAATGACTCTTAATATACGTAAATTAAAAAAAATCTACCAGTGGTTGGGGGAACCGAAGATAGAATGCAGACTGTGACAAATCCAATTGTATTACAAAATGTGAGACATAACCTCATAAATGGGTATGGGGAATGAAGGGGCAAATTTTATAATTCTGTAAAATAATGTGTTTATAAATGGATTCAAGAAACTCTGGAAAAAAGTATTTTAGCTAGAAACTGTACGACTAAAGACAAAAAACTGTATATAAACATTGTACACTAGTTGATAAAGTTGTTTCTCACTAGGCACAGGTAAAAAATTCTGAAAAGTGGTACACATATACTGGGATTAAACAAACATGTAAACAGATGGCAGAGGGTAAAAGCTCAGTGTTGGAGTGGGACTTAGAAATAAGAAGGGGAAATGAGAATGAATTACATGGGGGTAAATTAGAGTCACAGACATCAAGTTCAATATATATTTTGTTGCAATTGCAACAAAATCAAGCATTGACAAATGGGATCTAATTAAACTGAAGAGCTTCTGCACATCAAAAGAAACTATCAACAGAGTAAACAGACACCCTACCGAATGGGAGAAAATACTGCAAACTACGCATCCCACAAAGGTCTAATATCCAGCATCTATAAGGAAATTAAACAAGTTTACAGGGAAAAAAACAACAATCCCATTAAGAAATGGGCAAAGGACATGAACAGACGCTTTTCAAAAACAGACATACATGCAGCCAACAATCAAATGAAAAAAAGCTCAATATCACTGATCATTAGAAAAATGCAAATCAAAATCACAATGAGATACTATCTAACACCAGTCCAAATGGCTATTATTAAAAAGTCAAAAAATAACAGAAGTTGGCAAGGTCGTGGAGAAAAAGAACGCTTATACACTGTTTATGGAAGTGTAAATTAGCTCAGGCATTGTGGAAGACTGTCATGATTCCTCAAAGAACTAAAGACAGAAATACCATTCAAGCCATCAATCCCATTACTGGGTACATACCCAAAGGAATATAAATCATTCTATTATAAAGATACATGCACACATATGTTCACTGCAACACTATTCACAGTAGAAAAGACATGGAATCAACCTAAACGCCCATCAGTGATAGACTGGATAAAGAAAATGTGGTATATATATACCATGGAGTACTATGCAGCCACAAAGAAAGAATGAGATAATGTCTTCTGCAGGAACATGGATGGAGCTGGAGGCCATTATCCTTTGCAAACGAATGCAGGAAAAGAAAACCAAATACCACATATTCTCACTTATAAGTGGAAGCTAAATGATGAGAACACATGCACACATAGAGGGGAACAACAGGCACTGAGGCCTTTTGGAGGGTGGAGGGTGGGAGGAGGGAGATAATGAGAAAAAAATAACTAATGGGTACTAGGCTTAATACCTGGGTGATGCAATAATCTGTACCACAACCCCCGATGACACAAGTTTAACTATGTAACAAACCTGCACTTGTACCCCTGAACTTAAAATAAAAGTTTAAAAATTAAATAAATAGAATTTTAAAAATTTTTTAAATCTCCTTGGAATTAGTTTGTAGAATTATAATCTGTATACTTGTGACTAAACTATATCTCTAAATTGGTATATCCTTATGACTAAGAATTTTTTTAAAGCTATATAGTATTTCAGTCAAAAACCAAATCTTAATGTGTTATGCTGTATGATGTACCAACTCAGTAACATCCTTCTGGTCTCCCGTAACCATCCACATATACCAGTAGGTATGTGTGGTATATATACCTACTGATATGCTCCACGTTTTGACTAAAAAACACAGATATGCTCCATGTTTTGACTAAAGAATTATAGAGATTCATTTTATGTATGTATGTATGTATGTATGTATGTATGTATGTATGTATGTATTTTGACATAGAGTCTCACTCTGTTCCCAGGCTCAATTGATCCTCCCATCTCAGACTCTAGAGTAGTTGGGACTACAGGTGTGTGCCACTGCACCCAGCTCATTTTTTTATTTTGTTTTTGATACAGATGAGGTTTCACCATGTTGACCAGGATGGTCTCAAATTCCTGGGCTCAAGCAGTCCACCTACCTTGGGCTCCCAAGTGCTAGGGTTACAGGCATAAGCCACCGTACCCAGCCTATACAGATAAATGAAATATTCTGTATGAGGACTATAGTTCATAGTATACTGGATTCAGGATTTTGCTAAATGAATAATTACAGTTGCTCTTGCCACTGGGAGCAAAATGACTGACTGAGACAATGGATGCTAATTTGTTCCACTATAGTGACCATTTTACATCATATCTTATAACATCATATCATATACCTTAAATATATGCAATAAAATTTATTTTAAAATAAAAGAAACCGAGTATAAAAATAATGTAGAATATATAAAACAGATATACAGTGCTCTAAAAAACTTTAAAGATAGGGGGAGGTGGTTTGTATATTCAAATAGACTTAATTGAGAACTACATATGATTAAAGATCAGAAGGACAAATGAGAGTTAACTGTCTAAGGGAAGTGATATGGTTTGGCTCTGTATCCCCACCCAAATCTCATCTTGAATTGTAATCCCCATGTGTCAGAGGAGGGACCTGCTAGGAGGTGATTGGATCACAGGGGCAGATTTCCCCATGCTGTTCTCATGACAGCAAGTGAGTTCTCATGAGATCTAATGGTTTAAAAGTTTGGCACTTCCCCCTTTGCTCGCTCTCTCTCCTGCGACCATGTAAGACATGCCTTGCTTTCCCTTTGCCTTCTACCATGATTTTAAGTTTCCTGAAGGCTCCCCAACCATGCAGACCTGTGAGTCAATTAAACCTCTTCCTTGATAAATTACCCAGTCTCAGCTAGTTCTTTATAGCAGTGTGGAAATGGAGTAATACAGAAAATTGGTACCGAGAGACATGGCGTATTTCTATAAAAATACCTGAAAATGTGGAAGTGACCTTGGAACTGGGTAGCAGGCAGAGGTTGGAACAGTTTGGAGGGCTCAGAAGAAGAGAGGAGGATGTCGGAAAGTTTGGAACTTCCTAGAGACCTGTTGAATGGTTTTGACCAAAACCATTGATCACTGATAGTGATATGGGCAATGAAATCCAGGCTGAGTAGGTCTCAGAGGGAGAAGAGGAACTTATTGAGAACTAGAGCAAAGGTCACTCTTGCTATGCTTTAACAGAGAGACTGGCAGCATTTTGCCCCTGCCCTAGAGATCTCTGGAACTTTGAACTTGAGAGAGATGATTTAGGGTATCTGGCAGAAGAAATTTCTAAGCAGCAAAGCATTCAAAATGTAACCTGGCTTTTTCTGAAAGCATACAGTCATATCCAGTCATAAAGAGATGGTCTAAAATTGGAACTTATGTTTAAAAGGGAAGTAGAGTGTAAAAGTTTGAAAAATTTGCAGCCTGACCATGAGGTAGAAAAGAAAAACCAATTTTCTGAAGAGAAATTCAAGCTGGCTGCAGAAATTTGCATGAGTAAAAAGAAGCCAAATGTTAATAGCCAAAACAATGAAGAAAATGTCTCCAGGGCATTTCAGAGATGTTCGCTGCACTCCCCGCCATCACAGGCCCAGGAGGCCTAGGAAGGAAAAATGGTTTTGTAGCCCAGGACCAGGGCTGTGCTGCTCTGTGCAGCCTTGGGACACGGTGCCCTGCACCCCAGCTGCTCCAGCTCCAGCCGTGGCTAAAAGGGGCCAAGGTACAGCTCGAGCTGTTGCTTCAGAGGGTGCAAGCCCCAAACCTTGGTGGCTTCCACATGGTATTGGGCCTGTAGTTGTGCAGAAGATAAGAACTGATGTTTGGAAACCTCTGCCTAGATTTCAGAGAATGTATGGAAACACCTGGATGTCCAGGCAGAAGTCTGCTGCAGGGGCAGAGCCCTCATGGAGAACCTCTTCTAGGGCACTACAGAGGGGAAATGTGGGGTTGGAGCCCCCACACAGAATGCTCACAGGGGCACTGCCTACTGGAGGGGTGAGAAGAGAGCCACCATCCTCCAGATCCCAGAAAACCTCACACCATGTACCTGGAAAAGCCGCAGGCACTCAATGGCAGCCTGTGAAAGTAGCTGCAGGTGCTGTACCCTGCAGAGCCACAAGGACAGAGATGCTTAAGGCCTTGGGAGCCCACATCTTGCAACAGCGTGCCCTGGATGTGAGACATGGAGTCAAAGGAGATTATTTTGGAGCTTTTACTATTTAATAACTGCCCTGTTACGTTTCAGACTTGCATGGGGCCTGTAGCCCCATTGTTTTGGCCAATTTCCCCCATTTTGAATGGCAGCATTTATCAAATGCCTGTACCCCCATTGTATCTTGGAAGTAACTAACTTGCTTTTGATTTTACAGGCTCACAGGCAGAAGGGACTTCCTTGTCTCAGATGAGACTTTGGCCTTGGACTTTTGGGATAATGTTGGCATGAGTTAAGACTTTGGTGGACTGTTGAGACGGCATGATTGTGTTTTGAAATGTGAGAAGGACATGAGATTTGGGTGGGCCAGGGGTGGAATGATATGGTTTGGCTCTGTGTCCCCACCCAATTCTCAACTGGAATTGTAATCCCCATGTGTCAGGGGAAAAACCTGGTGGGAGGAGATTGGATCATGAGGGCAGATTTTCCTCATGCTGGTCTCATGATAGTGAGTTCTCATGAGAGCTGATGGTTTAAAAGTTTAGCACTTCCCCTTTCGTTCTCTCCGTCTCTCCTGCCACCATGTAAGAGATGCCTTGCTTCCCCTTTGCCTTCTGCCATAAGTTTCCTGAAGGCTCCCAAGCCACGTGAAACTGTGAGTCCATGAAACCTCTTTTCTTTATAAATTACCCAGTCTCAGGTAGTTCTTCATAGCAGTGTGAAAACGGACTAACACAGGAAGCATGACATACAGCAATGAAAGTAGAAAGTTAGTCAAGAGACAAACTATGAAGACCAGAAAGGGCACCATAAATATAATGGTGTAGTACACTAAAAACGATAAAATGCCATTGAAAACCTTTTAAATAAGGAGATAAAAATCAATTTGCATTTTTAAAAGGTCATTTTCACAGCTATGTAGGAAACAACTTTGGGGGAAAACAAAAGATACGGAAACCACTTACAAGACTATTGTAGGAGCAAATTCTGAGAATAAGGCAGAGCAGAAAGGACCAGGAATCTTGTCTCCCAACCTAGACAACAATCACACTGCGGCAAGATCGGTTTGATGCAATTATTTTAGAATTCTAGAAGCCACTGTGGACTTGCAACTCCCAGAGAAAGATTTGGAGAGTAAATTACAGTTAATTTAGGTCAATTTCAGCTCTTAGCTCAGCTGTGGCTACCCATCTTTATCCCTGGCCCATTGGCAGGCAGCCATGCATATGTTCCTGGAACAACTCCTATGCTCCTTATGGGAGCCAGGATGGGCAAATGGGACCCTATCTTGTGCTATGATCACTGACTGCTGCTTATGATTGTGGAGGTGCAGACACAGAGGTAGGAAGTCATTGCAGCACCCTTTCCCTATTGCTACAAGCCCTTCCCCCTTAGGCTGAAGTGACTTCCGGGGAACTTAAAGGGACAGCGTCCTTTTTCCCTGTCTTCATTTTCCCACCTTTTGAGAACCACACATTGAAAATTAGGACATTGAAGGGCAATTGCATATTTGAGAGAAATTAGTAAGTCACCACAATATACAGAGAAAGGCACAGGCTCAGAAAATTCCTGAGAAGACCTTAAGTTTACATCTCAGGCTGATCCTCAGCATGGAGACTACTTATGTTAATCAAAAACAAAAGAAAAACAAAAACAAAAACAAACTAGCAAAACCTCAGAAAGAGGGAGAATCTGATGTCCAGAGTCACCACCTTATTAGATTCAAATGGCCAGTTTTTAACAACAACAACAACAACAACAAAAATCACAAAGCATACAAAGAAATAGGTAAGAAATACCCAAGGGAATGCCATTAGTTTGAAAATATTTTTGCCTACAGTTATAAAACTGCTACATGATAGCAGTACCCCCACAACCCCACATAACCCACAACTGATTGCTTAGTTCCTATGTATATGTATGCGTGTGTGGGTAATCACAGTATCTTGTCCAAAAGTCAAGACACTTATCGGAAGATGTGCACTTCTGCTAGGTACTAGCATAGATTCTAGAAGTATGTATAAGAGAAAGTTCCTGTCTTGTTCTTCAAGAGATGATGCAATAGAGAGATTATACTAAATAAAAAAAACAAAAGGAGATATTTTCACAACTGAATATACAAAACTCAATTTACCATACATAAATGTATCCAAGTGAGTATATAGTTTTTACGCCAACCAGGAAAGGCAATAGGGATGGATTGTATATGTCTCCAGAGCCCTAAACACAGAGTAACATTCAAGAATACTGTTACGGCTTCCTGGGCATTGTATAAGGTCTCTTACCTGATGACCTTAACTTTGTAAAGATGGTGGTGGTCAATACTTTAATCTATTTAAAAACCTCATTGGAGCTACAAATCAATCCACAAAACCAACAAAGAAAAATATATTAATAGTACTGACATTTAAAAAATACTGTATATATTTAAGACGTACAACATGAAATTTTGCTATACATATTGATAGTGAAATGGTTACCACAGTCAAGCAAATTTAATATATCCATCATTTCACATTGTTATCCCTTTTTGTGTATGTGTGCCTAGAGCACCTAAAGCCTACTCTTTCAGCAAAAAATCCTGAATACAATATTATTAACTATAGTCCTCATGATACACATTATATCTCTATACTTGCGCGTCCTGAATTTCTGCTATTTTTTATCCTTTGACCTAAGAAACTGTAGTATACACATACACATACACACACACATTGACGCACACCTCCAGAAATACTATTCAGCCTTAAAAAAAAGGGAGATCCTGCTATTTGTCACAACATGTATGAATCTGGATGGGTTCATCCAGAATATGTTAAGTGAAATAAGCCAGATAGAAAGAAGACGACTACTATTTGATCTGTTATATATGGAATCTAAAAAAATAAAAAAACTTGAATAAATAGAGAATAAAGGCCGGGCACGGTGGCTCACATCTGTAATTCTAGCACTTTAGGAGGCTGAGGCAGGTGGATTGCTAGAGCCAAGTTTGAGACCAGCCTGGGCAACATAACGAAACCCTGTCTCTATCAAAAATTATAAAAATTAGCCTGGTGTGGTGGTGTGTGCCTGTAGTCCCAGCTACTCGGGAGGCTGAGGTGGGAGGATCACTTGAGGGCGGGAGGTGGAGGCTGCATTGAGTTGTGACTACTGCACTCCAGCCTGGGTGACAGAACAAGACCCTGTCTCCGAAAAAAAAAGAGAGACAGAGAGAGAATAAAGCAGTGGTTACCAGGAACGGGGAGGGAGACAGTAATGCCAACATTTGTACTGGGTGTTACACTTACAAAGTATTTGTATATGCATTATGTTGTTCGATCTTCACTTAAACTGAATGTAGTAAGTATCCTATTAGAATCTGACCAACAAAGGACCATATTAACCAACACTGCTTATACCCAGGAATCCAACCCAAGCCTTCTGACTCCAAGGCCAGTCCACACTCCCGTTATTCTATTTCTCACCATTGATATGAACTGATACATTACAGGTAACCAACACAAATCAGGTAAGAGCTGGCACAGCAGCCTTTTCGCCTGGAAAAGGCATATGCATTGCTTAACAAGTTTTATTAAGTGCTTTCTATAGGGAAGGCACTGTATTAGATGCTGGGGGAATAGCAATAAACATTATGGGTATTATCAATGTTCTTCTGGTATGTATATTCTGCCAGGGATTAATTTAAAAAATTAATATCCACCAAGAGGAACTATTAACTAAATTATGGTCATCAGTATGCTGCAATGTTACACAATTATTAAAGAGAATGTGCTATATAGTCTCAAATATTTAATAAAAATATATAAGCTGCAGAAAAATGAATAGCACGGTCCTATTTTAATTTAAAAAACATGTAAGCATATATACTCTAGAATACATATGAACTTGGAAATGAGGTTCAAAAGTAAGAGCTTTTAGTTTTTATTCTTTATACCACTGGATTGTTCAATGTTTTTTTATTTTAAGAGATGGGGTCTCACTCTGTTGCCCGGGCTGGAGTACAACAGCACAATCATTGTTCACTGCAGCCTCAAATACCTGGGCTTAAGCGATCTTCCCACCTCGGCTTCCCAAGAAACTAATATTACAGGTGTGCATTGCCTGGTTAATTTTTTTAATTTTTTTATAGAGACAGGGTCTCACTTTATTGCCAAGGTTGGTCTCAAACTCCTGGCCTTAAGTGATTCTCCCGACTTGGCATCCCAAGGTGCTAGGATTACAGGTGTGAGCCACCATGCTTGGCCTATTTCTATCACTTAATTGCTCAGTATTTTTAAAGCAAATGTTTATTACCTTCCTAACTGAAAAAAAAAAAGCACAACAAAGAGGAAAAACTCAAGAAGTCACCATTTGGTGTAGGTATTACAACAGGAAAGTATATGGGAACATAAAGCAGAGAGATCGAGTCAGGGAAGGCTTCCCCAAAGGAAATGAAAATTGACATCTAAAAAAAAAGAGCCTGTAACGAGAGGTGGGGTGCAAGTGGGAACATAGCCCCTTCAAGAAACTTCATACAAGCTGGCATGGAGCTTGTAAAAGGGAGAATGGCTTAAAGGTGAGACTGAATAAGTAAGGGCTATATCACACAAGGATTTATGTTTGGACTACCTTAAGACAACAGGAAATCAAGCTTGCGAGCAGTGCAGTGCCATTATCAGACTAAAATGTGATTTAAAAATCATTCTAGCTGCAGTGTGGGAAACATGGATTAAGAGTACTTAGATTGGCCGGGTGCGGTGGCTCACACCTGTAATCCCAGCACTTTGGGGGGCTGAGGCATGCGGATCATGAGGTCAGGAGATCGAGACCATCCTGGCTAACATGGTGAAACCCCGTCTCTACTAAAAATATAAAAAATTAGCTGGGCATGGTGGCGGGCACCTGTAGTTCCAGCTACTCGGGAGGCTGAGGCAGGAGAATGGCATAAACCCGGGAGGCGGAGGTTGCAGTGAGCTGAGATCGCGCCACTGCACTCCAGCCTGGGCAACAGAGCGAGATTCCGACTCAAAAAAAAAAAAAAAGTAGTTAGACTACAGTCAGGGAGACCCATAGGAGGCTACCACTCTAGTCCTGTCCAAAGATGATATGCACAGTATGGAGGCAAAGAGATGTAAATGGGACAAGTTTTAGTGCAAAGAATTTTAGAATTATGAACAGAAGAGACAGAAACAGGTAATCTCTAAGGTCTCCGCTTATAAACATACTCTGACCCCTCACATTTTAGATCTACTAGATGTAGCACAGAAATGGAGGAATTATAGGGCGCTACACAAGACATCTTCCACAAGAATATTCCTCTAACATTAAAAGATATGAAGCAACTACAAGCATATCCACACTCCCAAACCAGGATAAAACTATGTTAATTAA
This sequence comes from Homo sapiens, assembly GCF_000001405.40. Taxonomy (NCBI): domain Eukaryota; kingdom Metazoa; phylum Chordata; class Mammalia; order Primates; family Hominidae; genus Homo; species Homo sapiens. Next base: position 73,033,652 of record NC_000011.10, read on the forward strand.
ATACTCAAACTATGGAATTCTATACAAATTTATATAATTTATGGTTATTGGCAATAGTAAAAAGACCAGGACTTTGAAGTCAACACTTGAGTTTGAGTACTGTACTGCCTTTGCTGTGAATTAGTTATGAGTATTCTTGGATAAGACACCAAGCTAACTAGGTTAAGTAGGTTTTTTCCCACATCCCAGTTAACAACTAGTATACTGTATTTACCTATTTGATGACGTGACTTGAAGTTGAAACATGATGGTAAACAACGCTTATGACACAGAAACATTCAATAATGTTGTTTTAAAGAAATTTTATTTATCATGTTATTACGAATAGAAATCATGAAAATATAATAGACAATTTTAATACCGATAGCAAATATATCATCTTTTTTTAAGAGTTGCTTTTTTCTTTCTAAAGTTTTTCTTTTTTAAAAAATTATTTTTATTATACTTTAAGTTCTGGGATACATGTGCAGAATGTGGAGGTTTGTTACATATGTATACATGTGCCGTGGTGGTTTGCTGCACCCATCCACCCATCATCTAGGTTTTAAGCCCTACATGCATTAGGTATTTGTCCTAATGCTCTCCCTCCCCTTTAAGGTTTTTCTTTAAATATATTTACAGATACGTTAAAGTGGAATTTTTTAAAAGCCTTTTAAGACCAAGTGCTCACACCTACTTCAAAACATGAAGCTAGAAATTCTCATGTAGCCTGTCTGATTTGACTTTGGTAGCACACAAACATGCAAAAACGTTCCTCTTCCTGAAAGAAGCAATTTCCAGCTGTCTAACCTAAAACACAAATGATTACACACCAGAAACTGTTACTAATGTTAAAATTCGGTACCAGAGGCTGAGCCTGTACCAAGGAAATAGAGATCAAAGTTTCCACTCTTGTGAAAACATCTCAAGTTAGGAACCACATCAATAAAACACAATACTCAGAACTCAGCAAATTTATACTCATAGTAAAGAAAAAGTCAGTCAAAGTAAGCTTTAACTCTTGATACTACATCGCCTACATTGTTGAAGTTTCCCAATTTTTTTCAACTTCAATAAACTTATTTGCACAAAATGACCTGCAAATTTTAAAGTAAAAGTAAATAGAGCATTGCAATTTACTTATTAAGGATCAGGTGAATTTTGACCAGAACTTCGAAGCAGCAAAAGAAAATAAATTATAGAAGGACTAAAAGTCAAAAGAACCAAGACTGTCAATCTGTCTGTCAACAACACAACTGAAAATCCTCTGGGTGCAAAGTAGTACCTTTAAAAAGGTCACTCCACAGGCAGCTAAAGTACTATAGGATAAATGTCACCTGCTGAGTCAGACTCTAGAGGTGGGGCTGAGACACTGATAGTTTAACAAACTTCACAGGTGATTCTGATATGCAGCCACTATTGGGAACAACTAGTATACTGGTTAAGAGCACAGACACACATTCTCAGGTTTAACTCCTGGACCTTGACAAGTTATTTAACTTGTTTTTAGTTTTTATTTTTATGTATGTATGTATGTATGTATGTATGTATGTATGTATGTATGTATGTATGTACGTACTAAGACAAGGTCTCGCTCTGTCACCCAGGTTGGAGCGCAGTGGCGCGATCTTGGCTCACTTGCAACCTCCACACCCACCAGGCTCAAGAGAGTAGCTGGCACTACAGGCACGCACCACTACTCCTGGCTTGTATTTTTTGTAGAGACGGGGGTCTCATCATGTTGCCCGGCTGTTCTCGAACTCCTAAGCTCAAGCAATCCACCCACCTTTGGCCTCCCGAAGTGCTGGGATTACAGGCATGAGCCACTGCGCCTGGCCATTAACTTGTTTTTATCTTGGATGTCCTCATCTCAGAAATAAAGATAGTTATAGTACCTACTTCATTGTTGCTAAGCAAATGAGTCAGTGTTTATAAAGCACTTGGCCCAATGTATGGCATACATTAAGTGCTTAATACCTTCATCTATTCAATAAGTACTTACTGAGAATTTTCTACAATATGCCAAATGCTATTTTAAGTACTGAACAGTACTGAAATGTTCAGTTTTTATTTATTTATTTATTTATTTATTTATTTATTTATTTATTTGAGATGGAGTCTCGCTCTGTCACCAGGCTGGAGTACAGTGGCGCGATCTTGGCTCACTGCAACCTCTGCCTCCCAGATTCAAGCAATTCTCCTGCCTCAGCCTCCCGAGTAGCTGAGACTACAGGCGTGCACCACCACACCCAGCTAATTTTTGTATTTTTAATAGAGACAGGGTTTCACCATGTTGGCCAAGATGGTCTCAATCTCTTGACCTTGTGATCCGCCTACCTCAGCCTCCCAAAGTGCTGGGATTACAAGCGTGAGCCACCACTCCTCGCCCAGTTTTTATTAATGTTGTTAAAACAAGAATGATCAAATATTTAAGCAAACTTCTTACTTTTAGTTGAAAAAACTAAAGGCTAAGAGTAGACTGGCTTGGACAGGGCTCAAAGTGAACCAGTAGTAAAACTGGGATTAGAACATGGGTCATTTGACTTCCAAGCTTCCCAGTGGAGTTGACCTGTGGGCAGGTTTTAAAGGAAGAAAAATATACAATTAGAAACATTAAAGTATTGGAGCCAACATAATAATTTTGAAATGTGTGAAGGGTAAGAAACAACCAAAGAAGTATAGGAAATAAAAGACAAAAAAAAAAAACCCAAGCTTCATAATCACTATTTTGTACAATATTTCACAACGTTATATCGGTCTTTGGAGTCAAATAAATGTGGGTTCAAATCCAAGCTCTACTATTTATTTATAAATTGACACTGAAAATAATTTCATTAGTCACTTTGAGCTTTAGTTTCCTCAACTGTAAAATGGGCATAATAATGAAACCTAAATTTAATGATGAGTACAATGACTAGCATACTGCAAGTCCCTGATAAATTATAATCATGATTACTGTGATTAAAAACTTTCAATGTCATTATTAAATGTAGAATCAAGTCTATAAATTTTAGTTCTACTTTGGGTATCTTACTGAGTCCAATGAGTAATAGGTAATTTTATTTGTGTATTTATTCATCCGTGTAACAAAGCCTAACTTCTACTATATACAAGGTACTAACATTTCAACCCTCAAGAAGTCTTCCTCCACAAATATTGTGTTCACTCATAATTTTTTCCTCAAACTTTTTATTGATAAAATTTTAAAAACTGAGTACAATTTTCTGTAATACACATATTCTGCTTAATTGAAATTCAAAGTTAGTGTTCCCTACCATCAAAATCCATTACAAACGTTCATCTGTTAACGCGGATCTGTAATTAGATTTTAAATATTTCATCTTTGCAAATGTCTTCACACAGATAGGGACTGCCAAATACTGATATCAATTCAAGAGCATATGACTTTGAGCATATTCATCACCTGGAAGATATTTATAGAATTCTATTATATTCTTCTCTTGATACTCACATTTTTTAAAAATTACAGACTTCATATTTTTTAGAACAGTTTTAGGTTCATGGCAAAATTGAGAGAAAGGTACAGAGAGTTCCCATGTATCACTTGCCCCCACACATGCATAGCCTCCCCATTAACAACATCCCCCACCACAGTGGTACATTTACAATGGATGAACCTACACTGACACATAACACAGTCATCTGAAGTCCATGGTTTACACTAGGATTCTTAGTGCTGTACAGTCTATGTGTCTGGACAAACATATAGTGACATATCCATCATTACAGTATCATAGGGAGTTATTTTCACTGCCCTAAAAATCCCCTGTGCTCTGCTATTTGTCCCTTCCCCTTCATCCTCAACTTCTGGCAACTACTGATCTTTTTACTATCTCATAATTATGCCCAAAATTATTTTTTGCCTCTGAGTTTTTGATAGCAGCCTTTCTCTGGTATAGAATGCATTCTTTCTCCATATCCACACAATATTCTTGTCGTCTTTAGATATTCTAATCCCACTTACCATGTTTTCCTAAAAACTTAGGGCCCATACTGATTATGTTATGAATGTGGCCATTTAATCATATAAGTCAGATATAGCCCTATTGATAGTATATATTTGTAACTTTTATGCATACCTATCTTACTTTGTCAAATGGGTTTTACATTCTGAATATAGGAGTCCTCATTACCTTGTAACCCTCCAAAAGCAATCACACTTGTTATGCATAGAGCAGAACCTCAAACATAGTGGACAACTTTAGGAAAAGAAGAAGGCAGTTCTCTGGGATATCCAGAGCATAACCTTTTATATCCAATCCCTCACCAATTTCACACTAAAGAGTGGGAAACTTATTTTATTTTTATATGAAATATGTGAAACATAGGGATTACTCTGATGAAAAGATTCACCAAGTCAAGCTTTTTCCACAAACAAGTCTTCTGCTAGATGCTAAAATAGTTTTCCAGCTGAAATATTAAAAACAAAACCATCTATCACTAAAAAATTCTTATGACGAGGTGGGAAGATTGCTTGAGGCCAGGAGTTCAAGCCAAGCCTAGGCAACAAGGAGATCTGTCTCTATTAAAAAATTTAAAAATTAACTGGGCGTGGTAGTGCATGCCTCTAGTCTCAACTACTCAGGAGGCTGAAATGGGAAGATCGCTTGAGCCCAGGAGTTTGAAGCTGCAGTGAGCTATGATTGTGCCACTGCACTCCAGCCTGGGTGACAGAGTAAGACCCTGTCTCTTTAAGAAAAAAAAAAAAAAAGGAAAAGAAATTCTGATGACTGATTGATTCTTAAAGGGACCTTATAATTTATCCAGTCGAATCCTCTCAGATCAAGAAAAATGGGCAGTGACTCAAGATCACTCACCACTGATGGGCACCTGTGGTACATATACAGCGTGGATACTATGCAGCCATGAAAAGAATGAAATCTTGTCCTTTGTAGCAACATGAATGTAGCTGGCAACGATTATCCTAAGCAAACTAACACAGAAACAGAAAACCAAATACCACATGTTCTCATATCTAAGTGGGAGCTAAACATTGAATACAAATGGACATAAACATGGGAATAATAAACACTAGGGAATCCAAGAGCAGGGAGTGAGGCAGGGGCAAGGGTTGAAAAAATAATTAGGCATGCTCACTACCTGGGTGATAGATTCATTCATACTCCAAACCTCGGCATCATGCAATATATTTTTGTAACAAACCTGTACATGTATTCCCCTGATTCTAAAATAAAAGTTGAAAAAAAAGATCTGTCACCAAGTAATAAGGCCAATATCCATATAAATTATGACATGCCTCCCACTTTAGTGTTCTTTTTCCAGTACATTTTTTTGGCTTGACTTCTGTAATGACCCCCAGCCTAGTATTCATAATCTTCTATCAAGTTGTATCAACTTAGTATCTTCCAAGTGTATCTCCTTACTTCTTTCTAATATTACTTAAGTCTCCATAATAATTGCAGAATCACTGTTTATTTTTATCTGCAACCAGTTTCAAACTGGAATATCCGTGTATTCCAAATCCTATCTATTCCTAAGAGTCTAGTTCAAGACTGTCTCACTGGGAGTAAGCAATTCCTTTAGGATTCCTCATAAACCTACCTCCATAACAGAACCTAACTTTCTGCAGGGTGCAGTGCTCACACCTGTAAGCCCAGCACTTTGGGAAGCAGAGGTGGGCGGATCACTTGAGGTCAGGAGTTGGAGACCAGCCTAGACAAAATGGTGAAATCCCATCTCTACTAAAAATACGAAAATTAGCTGGGCATGGTGGGGCGTGCCTGTAGTCCTAGCTACTCCAGAGGCAGAGGTGAGAGACTCGCTTGAACCCGGGAGATGGAGGTAGCAGTGAGCCGAGACATGCCAATGCATTCCAGCCTGGGCAACAGAGAGAGACTCCGTCTCCAAAAAAAAAAAGAAAGAAAGAAAAGAAATATTAATATGTCACATGTAAGTTTGTCACAGGTGAATTTTAAAAATGTGTAAGTATGTATTCATTATAGGTTAAATGTAGCTGATTAATAAAATTACTCAACACAGCAATATATGCATTATTAGGACAAAAACTTCCTAAATTCACAGGTGAGTCACTGGATTCATTATCAAGGATAACGAATGATGCAGGACTTGTTCTTACATCAAGATCTTAGATGTGTCTTCTTTTTTGATGACTTTAAGTGTTTAATTATTCCACATAAGTAAAACAGACTGCTAGAAAAAGACAACAATTAATTTATAATTTATAGAATAACGAATGCAAATCATTTTGAAGTTTCTTTTTAAATTTTCATATCCCTAATTAATATTCATGAGGATATCACAAAAGCAGTTATAAAACTATACCAAAGATGATATGGAAATACATAGTTGTGCCAGTGGAAAAAGAAGAAAATTTTTCTCCCAGCAAAATGGAGGACTTACGTTGAACACAATGTTTCCTAAATAATAGTTTCATATTATTTTAACCAAATTATCCATTACTCAGAAATAACACTGTGGATAACCAGATAATGTTACACAAAGGCTGAGTTCATTTGTTTTGGACAGGTGGCCAGTCTGCAGCTCTGTGTCAGCAGCCCAAACCCACCCACAATGGCCCCAAAGACGATTATGCAAATGCCAACCAACCCAGCTCTTTTCCCAGGAACAGGAGAAGCCCTCCTACTAGAAGCTGTAATTGTTTCGCAGTCATGTGGAAAAACAAAAAGAGGGGTGTTTTGTTTTTTGTTTTTTGCCAGAGGCAGAGTGTTTTCATTAAGGGCACTATTACAATACATGTGAGATGTATAAACACATACACACAGATACACATTTGTATGTGTCTGGTGTATATTTCTCAAACACCATACAGTTTATTCCATCCTCCTTCCCAAGTCTTGTTGAGCAGATCTACCTCTTATCAATATCAAGTCCATTCTGTTGGTGATACCTTCCCTTGTCAATAAGATATATAAAGAAATGAACAAACTTTCGGTTTTACAATTTTTTGTTACATAATAATTGTACACATTTAAGGGGCACACATGATATTTTGATACACATATTCAATATGTAATGATCAAATCAAGGTATTTAGGATATTTATCATCTCAAACATTTATCATTTCTTCATGTTGGAAATATTTCAAATCATGTATTCTAATTATTTTGAAAGACATATTGTTGTTGATTACACTAATCCGACTGTGCTATAAAATACTAAAACGTATTCCTTCTATTTAACTGTATATTTGTACCCATTAACCAATCTTCCCTTCAACCTTCCCACAAACTGCTCCCCCCCCTCTTTGGTAACTATCATTCTACTCTCAATCTCCATGACAGCAACTTTTTTAGCTCCCACATATCAGTGAGTGAGAACATGTGATATTTGTCTTTCTGTGCCTGGCTTATTTCGCTTAACATAATGACCTCCAGTTCCATCCATGTTGCTATAAATGACAGAATTTCATTCTTTTTTATGGCTAAATAGTATTCCATTGTGTATATAAACCATATTTTCTTTATCCATTCATCTGTTGATGGACACGTAGGTTGATTCCATAACTTGGCTACTATGAATAGTGCTGCAACAAACTTGGGGGTGCAGATATCCCTTCGATATACTGATTTCCTTTCTTTGGATAAATATCCAGTAATGAGATTGCTGGATCATACGGTAGTTCTATTTTTAGTTTTTTGAGAAACTTCCATACTGTTTTCCATAGTAGCTATACTAATTTACATTCCTACCAACAATGTATAAGAGTTACCTTTTATCTGCATCCTTGCCAACAGTTTTTTGTTGTTGTTCTTTTTAATAATCACCATTCTGACTGAGGTAAGATGATATCTCATTGTGGTTTTGATTTTCATTTCCCTGATGATTAGTGATGCTGAGCATTTTTTCATATACCTACTGGCCATGTATATGTCTTTTTTTGAGAAATGTCTATTCATATCCTTTCCCAACTTGTTAATGGGATAATTTATGGAGTTTTTTTGTTTGTTTGTTTGCTACTGAGTTGAGTTTCTTATATATTCTGGATATTAGTCCTTTATTAAACGAATACTTGCAAATACCTTCTCCCATTCTACAGGTTGTCTCTTCACTATGTTGACTGTTTCTTTGATGTGCAGAAGCTTTTTAATTTAATATAGTCCTATTTTTCAATTTTGTGTTTTGGTTTGTTCACAGTTTTGTGTTTGGTTTGTGAGGTTTTAGCCATAAAATTTTTGCCTAGGCCAATGTCCTGGAGTATTTCCTCTATGTTTTATGTCAGTAGTTTTATAGTTTTGGGTCCTAGGTTTAAGTCTAATCCACTTTGAGATTATTATTATTTATTTATGTTTTTGAGACAGAGTCTCACTCGTCACCCAGGTTGGAGTGCAGTGGCGCGATCTCAGCTCACTGCAACCTCTGCTTCCTGGGTTCAAGTGATTCTCCTGCCTTGACCTCCCAAGTAGCTGGGATTACAGGTGCCCACCATCACACCCAGCTAATTTTTTTATTTTTAGTAGAGACAGGGTTTCACTGTGTTGGCCAGGCTGGTCTTCAACTCCTGACTTCAGGTGATCCACCCACCTCAGCCTCCCAGTGTTGGGACTACAGGCATGCGCCACTGCACCCGGCTGAGATTATTTTTAAACTCTGGTGAAAGACAGGGGTCATTCTTCCGCATATGGATATTCAGCTTTCCCAGTAGCATTTATTAAAGATGGTATCCTTTCCCCAATATAAGTTATTGGCACCTTTGTCAAAAATCAGTTGGCAGTAAAATATGTGAGTTTATTTCTAGGTTACTTAATCCATCCCATTGTTCTATGTGTCTGTATTTATATCAATACCATGCTGTTTTGGTTACAATAGCTTTGTAGAATATTTTGAAGTCAGGTACTGTGACGATTCCAGCTTTGTTCCTTTTGCTCAGGATTGCTTTGGCTATTGAGGTCTTCTGCGGTTCCATACAATTTTTAGAATTGTTTTTTCTATTTCTATGAAGAATGTCACTAGTATCTTGATAGAGACTGCATTGAATCTGTTGATTGCTTTGGGTAGAATGGTCATGTTAACAATGTTCATTCTTCCAGTCCATAAGCATGAGATACCTTTCCATTTTGTGTGTTCTCTTTAATTTTTTTCATCAGTGTTTTGCGGTTTTTTGTTGTAGGTCTTTCATCTCCTTGGTTAAATTTATTCCTAGGAATTTTACTTTTTTCTAGCTATTATAAATTTGAGGCTTTCTTGATTTCTTTTTCTGCTAGTTCATTATTGGTATATAGAAATGCTACTGATTTTTGTATGGTGATTTTGTATCCTGCAATTCTACTGAATTCATTTTTCAGTTCAAAGAGTTTTTTGTTGGAATCTTTAGGCTTTTCTATATATGAGGTCATGTCATCTGCAAAGAAGGACAATTTGACTTTCTCTTTTCCTATTTAGATGCCTTGAATTTCTTTCTCTTGACTGATGCTCTGGCTAGAACTTCTGCCACAACGCTGAATAGGAGTGGTGAAAGTGGGCATCCTTGTCTTACTCCACTTCTTAAAGGAAAGGCTTTCAGCCTTTCCCTATTCAGTATGATGTTAGCTGTGCGTCTGTCATACATAGCCTTTATTTTGCTGAGGTATGTTCTTTCTATGCCCAGTCTGTTGAGAGATTTTATCATGAAGGAATTTTTACTTCTCTTCATCACAGATTAAATCACTAAAAGGCTCGGTCAAGTAGTGAAGATAAATATTATCAGTTTCCATAAGCAAGTATTTATCATCCTATCCACTTTTCTGGGCAACCTGTCAAGTAATGTATAATTTAAATTTTCTATTTGCTTAATTGTTCTTTTCCATTTTGGTAAGCAGATCCACCAACTATTTGTGTAATTAAAGGAATTAATCAGTTAAATTACATACAACTTTTATTGTTGTCTTTAAAAACTGACCCAATGTACACAGTATAGATAAAATATATTCAGATTTAGAAACCCATTTTGGTACTTTTAAATTAAATATATGTCAGAGATAGCTTGCTTTACCAGTATCCCCATTCTCCTCTTTTCCAAGGCATATACATAGAAGAAATTTTCCAGCCTCCTTTAAAATTAGATGTGACTATGTGACTGAGTTTTGGCCAAGGAAATATTAAGAGATATGATATGTGTTACATTCAGTTCTGATCCACCATAACCTCCACGTACCATCTTTTTTTTCCTTCCTCTCTGCTAGCTAGATGTAGAGGATCCATTGAGGACTTGAGGCCCTAAAGGATCTAGAAATCTCAAGATCAAAGGAGCCTGGACTAAAGGATCTAGGAACCTCAAGATTAAAGGAGCCTGGATCATTGAATCATCATCCCTTGGAAGGCCATTCACCAATTTTGGCAACAAACTATTAGGTGAGTGAGAAATAAATTTCTTTTTATAAGCCTCAGTGATTTGGGAGTTGTTGGTTAAACAATTAGCCTATCCAAATGAACACAGTATATTTACCAGTGAGATCCTATATTTACAACGGATTCCAAATTTGTTACCACTGATACATCCAAGGCCTGCTACTATATGTCACCTTTGTATAAATCAAACAAAGAGACCATTTTAATAGATACATTTTACTCTTAAACTGAACTGTAAAATTCTATGATTATTGCCTCACTTATTAACGCTGAATTCCTCAATTAAAAAAAAACTTATGAATATTTCCAAAGTCAGAGGCTGAGTGTGGTGTCTTATATCTGTAATCCCAATGCTTTGGGAAGCCAAGGTAGGAGTATCGCTTGAGCCCAGGAGTTTGAGACCAGCCTGGGCAACACAGTGAGGCCCTCTATCTCTACACAAAATTTAAAAATTAGATGGGCATGGTGGCACACACCTATAGTCCTAGCTACTCAGGAGGCTGAAGTGAGATCACTTGTGCCCAGGAGTTTGAGGCTGCAGCGAGCTATGATCATGCCATTGCACTCCAGCCTGGGTGACAGAGTGAGACCCCAGTCCCTTAAAAAAGTCACTCATAAATCTTAATTCTATTAATCTACAATAATAGAATTCAAACTCTGTCCTTAAGAGATTAAGCATACATGTGCTAGATACAACATTAAAATTAGGCAAATGCTGGGTAAATACTATATAGAAAACAGTGCACATAGTACATGCAATAATTTAACATTCTAGCATGTTATATAAAAATCATCTAACACTAAGGATGGGGCTGGGCACAGTGGCTCACGCCTGTAATCCCAGTACTTTGGGAGGCCGAGGCAGGTGGATCACGAGGTCAGGAGATCGAGACCATCCTGACTAACACAGTGAAACCCCATCTCTACTAAAAATACAAAAAATTAGCCGGGTGTGGTGACACGTGCCTGTAATCCTGGTTACTCAGCAGGCTGAGGCAAGAGAATCACTTGAACCTGGGAGGCGGAGGTTGCAGTGAGCCGAGATCGCTCCACTGCACTCCAGCCTGGGCGACAGAGCAAGACTCCATCTCAAAAAAAAAAAAAAAGAATGGGGTAAAAGTGGGCAAAGGTCATGAACAGACACTTCTCAAAAGAAGACATTTATGCAGCCAAAAAACACATGAAAAAATGCTCATCATCACTGGCCATCAGAGAAATGCAAATTAAAACCACAATGAGATACCATCTCACACCAGTTAGAATGGCGATCATTAAAAAGTCAGGAAACAACAGGTGCTGGAGAGGATGTGGAGAAATAGGAACACTTTTACACTGTTGGTGGGACTGTAAACTAGTTCAACCATTGTGGAAGTCAGTGTGGCGATTCCTCAGGGATCTAGAACTAGAAATACCATTTGACCCAGCCATCCCATTACTGGGTATATACCCAAAGGACTATAAATCATGCTGCTATAAAGACACATGCACACGTATGTTTATTGTGGCACTATTCACCATAGCAGAGACTTGGAACCAACCCAGATGTCCAACAATGATAGAATGGATTAAGAAAATGTGGCACATATACACCATGGAATACTATGCAGCCATAAAAAATGATGAGTTCATGTCCTTTGTAGGGACATGGATGAAATTGGAAATCATCATTCTCAGTAAACTATCGCAAGAACAAAAAACCAAACACCGCATATTCTCACTCATAGGTGGGAACTGAACAATGAGATCACATGGACACAGGAAGGGGAACATCACACTCTGGGGACTGTTGTGGGGTGGGGGGAGCGGGGAGGGATAGCATTGGGAGATATACCTAATGCTAGATGATGAGTTAGTGGGTGCAGCCACCAGCATGGCACATGTATACATATGTAACTAACCTGCACAATGTGCACATGTACCCTAAAACTTAAAGTATAATAATAAAAGAAAAAAAAATGGAAGGAAAGCAAAAAACATCTCTTGCTTATATTTCTACAATAATTTCAGTAATTTTTTTTTTTTTTTTTTTAGAGACAGGGTCTCATTTTGTCACCTAGGCTGAAGTGCAGTGGCAGGATCATAGCTCACTGCCACTTCGAATTACTGGACTCAAGGGATACTGTGGCCTCAGCCTCTGAAGTAGCTGGGACTAAAGACACACACCATGATGCCATGCTGATTTTTTAATGTTTTGTAAAGACAGGGGTCTTGCCATCTTGCCCAGGCTACAATCGAATTCCTGTGCTCAAGCAATTCTCCCACCTTGGCCTCCCAAAGCACTGGGATTACAGGTGCAAGCCACCATCCCCAGCCTCTGTAAGAATTTTTGAAAAGCCTTATGAACTGATTTTAAAAAGAAAACAATTAATAATAAAAAAGATATGAATGGCCAATACAGCAAGAATGCATTGTAAATAGCTACAAACATTGGAATATGTCTGAATACCAATTTTCATAGAAAGGAAACAAAATTAGATATCATTTTTGGCCCAGGATGGCAAAAATTTAATGACTGGCAGCATCCACTCCTGGTAAGATAGGATGCACCACATTACTATAAATTATTGGTAGAAATATAAATTGGTGTAGCATTTTAAATTTTTATTAGTAATCAAGTTTTTAAAAATGTTTTTACCTACTAATATCTATTAAAATTTTAAATATAGATAGACTTCGCTTACAAGGAAGCCATTTTCAGAACTGCTAAAATAAAAGCACAAGTATAACAAGATAAATAAGTACATTTATTGTAGTATGTGTATTTGTTTGTTTATTGATTGATTGATTAAGACAGGGATTTCACCATGTTGCCCAGGCTGGTCTTGAACTCCTGGCCAAAAACGATCCTCCTACCTCTGCCTCCCAAAATCTTGAGATTACAATCGTAAGCTACCATGCCCAGTCACAGTATTGCTTTAAACAACTTAAATCAATAGGATGTAGATCAAAATATGTGGATGTTAAATAATTTATATCCACAATACGAACTATGATGCTGTCAATAAAATGAGGTCTTTCTGTATTCACTTTGGGAAAATATCAATGATATTTTTATCAATGATAAAAAATACTATTAAATATAAAAGACAAGATGCAGAATAAATGTGAATATAATTCTACTTTTTTATAAAGGAAAAACTACATATTAAATGAGTACACATAAAAGGAAAAGATTTATACCAAACATGACTGTAAATTTGAAAAAAAAAGGCAAATATTTCATGTACCACCCATATTATTTGAATTGTTAAAACTACCATTTTTTTTTTAATTAAAGAAAAAGATTCTTATGAAACAGGATGTCAAAATATCTGGTAGAAGCTACATACCTAAATGATAGGGAAGAAAAGTGGTCAGCTTCACTGTTTTTACTGCATCTTATTCAAGGTTATAAGAAAAAAATATGATCCCCTATAATACTCAAAAGCATGATTTGTACTTGGGATTATATTTTGAAAAAATTAACTGAGAGAAAAACAGAGCACAAGCAATTCTATCCTTTGTTTTGGATTCACATCCCCAGATAGAACAAAAAATACTGGTCATTGACAGTACCTAGCCACTGCCAAGGATAATGCAAAAAGAAATCCTGAAATAAAGTATTAACCTATCAAATAACATAAAACACATCTAAAAACTGTTCCATGATTTCTAACGGCAAATATTTATGCTCTTTCTTTCAGAAATGGGATTAGAACCCCCTTCTCTTTTCCTTTCATTTGGCATCAATGTGACCCCAACAAGTACTTTCTAGGTCTAGGACTATCAAAATGCTATAAAATGTATTGACTTTTTTATAATGTGCAAAGCACTGTATCCCTCAGAATTTACTCAGTAAATATTTGCTAATGACTGTATATACAAATGATGGTGAGCTAATGACTTTGTTATCTCATTTAAGCTTAGCAACAACTGTGAGTTATTTATTAATCCCAATATGCAGAGGGGGAAATGGCTTAAGTAATTTATGTAGAGTGATTATGTTAACAAATGGTGGAGCCATAATTAGAACTCTAATGGTCTTATTCTATATTGTTTCTTTAAGTAGTACATACTGTGAAAACATGAGTTATTTCTAAAAAGGCAGGAAGTTAAAAAAAAAATACAGGAGGAACAAGAAAACAGAACAGAAAGTAATAGAAAAACTTGACAATGTTAGCATATCAAACTGCAAAAAGTAAAAATCTGACCCAAAGCATTTGAGGCATAGCTAGAGCAGCAGGATATTTCTGTATATCCTGTTTAGCCAACTGTAGTTCCTTTCTTCAGCGGCATCCCTCAGCTCATGCCATGTACCGACACACATATGGGACCCAAAAGTTACCTCTGATCTCCCTTAAGCCAAGGTTCATGATAGTCTAGTACTGGCTTGTTATTTACAGGTACTAGGCATTTCAGAGATAATTCCTGCAAAACAGAATGGCTTGGTTAGCTGTGTATGGACCAGCTATTGCTGAATCAATACTCTGTAACAACTCAAAAAGTGGAAATGGATTAAAACAATAAATGCTAACTTCTGCTCATGAATCTGCAGGTTGGCTAGAGCATCTCTGCTTCAGGTTGCAGGGTCAAGTTCAGGTATCCTTCACATATCTTTCATTCTGGGACCCCATCTGAAGTAGTTACCTGGGGCAAGTTCTTCTTACAGTAAGTGCCGGAAGTACGAAAAAGCTGGAAATAACTTGCCATGCCTCTTAAAGCCTCATTTTAGAAATGGCTTTACAGTCAATTCCATCTCCATTCTACTAGTCCAAGCAAGCCGTATGACCAAGTCTAAAATCAGTAAGACAGGGATGTATGTATAGTTCACCTCAAGAGAAAGGGTGGGGAATGAATATTTGCTGAGCAATAATTCAATCTACCATAAACTCTAAGAAAAATTCCCAGAACAATTTCACTTGGATTCAATAACGACCACACAAACATAGCAAGATGTTGATCGAGTAACTCATTGCTATCAAATTCTCACATGACAAAGAGCTATGAAGAACAGTAAATATTTAAATAACAGAATCAAGATGCTAAAACTTCTCAACATACTGACACAGTGGAATAAACCTAATACAATAGAATCTCAAAGGAGTAAAAAGTCCTGCCATGGGTTCAGCGTAGGATGGTGAAGATCTGATTTAATAGCAAGATATGTAAAAAGACGTAGTGGTTTTTGAGTTTGAGCTCATTAAGAACCTTTAATGTGATATCACTGTTTAAAAAATAATGCCACTTAGCACATATTTAAAGTAATAATAACACAGTTGAGTGCCCAGTATATATGAAGTACATAGTAAAACTTTAAGGAAAAAATTAAAACATGACAGAAACTGTCTCATACCCACAACAATATTAAATTTGGTTCTGATTTCTGTATCAATGGCTTAAGAATAATGACAAGAAACAAGATAGGTAAAAGGTTTAAAACAGTTTCATAGGACGTTCAAGTGTGAACTAAATAAACTACAAATTTTTATGATTGGAAAGACTGGGAATGGGATGTAGACTACTAGAAAGAGATAAGAAGTATAAAAATTGTTTTTATCACACTCTGGGGACTGTGGTGGGGTCGGGGGAGGGGGGAGGGATAGCATTGGGAGATATACCTAATGCTAGATGACACGTTAGTGGGTGCAGCGCACCAGCATGGCACATGTATACATATGTAACTAACCTGCACAATGTGCACATGTACCCTAAAACTTAGAGTATAATAAAAAAAAAAAAAAAAAGAAAAAGGGGGAAAGAGAGACACCTGAAGAGTTGGATAATTCTTTTATACTATGTAAGGCATATTTTAAAGGGCTACCATTTTTAGAGGGTACGTTCTTACCAACTTTTTAAGGAGAGGATAAAATTTTGTGAAATCAATATTATGGTTATTAAAAGCACAAAAGGACCATAAAAAAAAAATTGTTTTCAAATTCCTAAAAGTCTATCATGTGTACAAGGAAGGTTTCTTAAAAAAGTTTTGCTCAAGATAAATAGAAACTAACTATAAGCTGAATGCTTTGAGAGAGAGTGAAATACTGTCACTGAATGAATTCAGGTAGAAGTTGCCAGGCCTCTCTATATAAGAAGTCAGTAAACTTTTCTGTAAAAGGCCAGAGAGTAAATATTTTTGGCTCTGCAGGCCATAAGATCTCCAGGGCAACTACCCTAATATACTATTGTAGTGAGAAAGCAGCCATAGACAATATGTAAACAAATAGGTATGTCCGTGGTCTAACAAAACTTTACTTACAAAAACAGGTGTCAGACCAGACAGCCCTAGTTTGCCAGCCTCTATATTAAAAAGAGGGCTGGACCATATGACCTTCACACCACTTCTAGCTCCAAGTTTCCATAAAAAGTCATTAAGCAATTCAACAATATGTAGAAATAAGTGAAAAAGACGTATTTAGATTGATATAGAGACATATCATATGCAGACATATATGTACATTTATAAACCATATAGAAAGAATATTACTATAAACATATATGGGACGGGTCACCTTTATCACAATGGATTTGAGCTATAGCTGCTGAATATATAAGGCTCTTAAATAGTTCCTTTCGTGGGACAACATTGGAGTAATCAGAAAATAGACATAGGAACCCAGGCCCCCACAATGGTTTTTCAGTAACAGGTGAACAAATAAGACATAAACTAAGACTGCTGTCCTTAAACAAGCCTTTCCATATCCACATGGGGAGATAATGGGAACATCTGCAAATTGCCTGCTTAAAGTCCCTTTATATTGGTTGAACGTTATGTCTCCATTCACTAACATGAGGAAAAAACCGTCTCACTGAATCTCAAATACAGCAAATGAAAACTATAATTAAGTTTTACCAAAGGCCGAGAATATCTACTCTAAGAAAAATAATATAAGACTCAGAACACCCCTTCTTGCTACAATGGCCTTCTATTAGTCTCTAGATTAGAACAAAGGTCCTCCAACTGTTTGTTACTGATACATAACAGGCAAGTACAGAAATTGAGAGTAAGCATTTAGAAAGTTTTAAGCAATTTGACATCAGTTAGTTTGTTATCTATAATGGAAATATTTTAAAAATCTTGCTGGGCACAGTGGCTCATGCCTGTAATCCCAACATTTTGGGAGGCCAAGGTGGGAGGATCGCTTGAATCCAAGAGTTCAAGACTAGTCTGGGCTAACAAAGTGAGACCCTGTCTCTACCAAACTTTAAAAATTAGCAGGACGTGGTGTCACACATGGTGCTGCCAGTGGTGTTGCATGCTGAGGAGGGAAAATCAGTTGAACCCAGGGGATTGAGGCTACGGTGAGCCAAGATTGCATTATTGCACTTCAGATTGGGTGACAGAGTAAGACTCTAGCTCTAAAAAATAAAAAAATAAAAAATTTAAATCTGAGAAAATGTAAGCATATTTTCATAATCTGTCATTGTGTCATTTAAATTTTAATCAGCCTATAATTTATAATTTAATATTTTTAGCTAAATTAAGGAAGTAAATAGGTATTTTTACACCTAATTTACAAACAGAAAAAGTTTAATGGGCTTTCCTTGGCAAAAAAAGATAAAATGTCTCTGAATGAGGCAGAGGTAGTAAACCAAACAACAATGAAAGTAATTTCAAAGAAATAAAGACCAACGACTTTATACTATTTTACACAAAAGTATGACTGACAGCAAAGTTTAAAACCACTATGGGTTATCTGCAGAGATGTACTGGCTATGCAACAATAAAACCCTCAAAACCTAAGTAGTATTTATGCAAAAACCATATAGACATTCAAAACAACAAAAAAAATTTGAAATAAATAGTAGTGAATTGCAAAGCCAACAGAAGCAAATGTCTGCTATTTCAAATAAGTATTAGTGTTTTCAGGCTTTTTATATAATAGACCTTCAGGATGCTAACACGGTATATAAACACACACACACACACACACACACACACACACACACACACACACACACCCCACACACACTGACATCAGGGAAAAATTCCACCAAAGATGTTTGCTTGGAAATATTCAGTGAATCTGCAATAAAGAACCAATTTCCAATGACACCATAGTCTGATGAATTCAGGAACTGGTTAATGACATGGAAGACCAATTCACAGAACAAAGAAATTTAGTGACATGTTTTTAATTGAAACTTAATAAATGCAAAGATAGTATGGCATTTCCTTTGGTATATATGTGATCTGAACATGATGGTGCTGTGAAGGAAGAATTATTTTTCTGCTTCACTGCCAAACATAACGATTTCTAAACTGTACAAATCTATGAAAAATTATAAGTCAATAAACATGATTTGAGTTTAAATTTTGTGTAACGGTATATTCTGATGGTGCAATTGTAATGACAAGAAAGTATTCTGGAGCAGTTATCCAGATTAAGCCGTTTACTCCAGAGTGTAAATCAATGCATTGTTTCCATCATTGAGAAACTCTTGGTATAATTTTTTTTTTAAAAAAAGACACCTGTCTAAACAGTACGTTTAGTGACAATTAATAGTGTAATTGTGAATTACTTAAAGGCTAATGCAGTGTATTAGAGAGTACTCTCTTCACTGAGAGAGGATATGAAAACTAATTGTACACTACTGTTACTACATACTGAAGTTCCATGGTTGTCAAGGAGAAACACTGTCGAAAATAAACAATGAAACAAATTCTTAGTGTTTCTGCAAGATAAAAAAGTTTGGTCCTAATGTTTTAAAGGTGTGAATTGGACAATTGGATTTATTCATCTTATATATTCGGTATTTTTAATAATCTTCATACTTGTAAGAAAGGGATACAAGTATTTCTCAATGACCAATAAGATCAAAGGGCAAAAAAAGATGCTAATAGCATGAAAAGATCAGTTTCTACAGATATTTAGGACATATTCCATAATTTTCTCTTTTTTTCTTTTTGAGATGGAGTCTCACTCTGTTGCCCAGACTGGAGAGCAGTGGTGTGGTGTCAGCTCACTGCAACCACCGCCTCCTAGGTTCAGGTGATTCTCCTGCCTCAGCCTCCCAAGTAGCTGGGATTACAGATGCCCGCCACCACACCTAGCTAATTTTTGTATTTTTAGTAAGATGGGGTTTCACCATGTTGGCCAGACTAGTCTCAAACTCCTGGCCTCAAGTGATCTGCCCACCTCAGCCTCCCAAAGTGCTGGGATTACAGGAGTGAGCCACTGCACCCAGCCTTTTTTTTTTTTTTTTTTTTTGGTCCATAATTTTCAATGAAGTAGGTATAATCAGGTATGGTATATTTGTTGAAAAATTATCACTAACCTTACAAATTTGATAAAAACATTTTCAAATTTTTTCCACCAAAAGAAGATTCATACAAAAGAAATGTGTGGATCTACAACCTATTCATTGAGAGATAATTTAAATTTAACTGTAATTCCACAGGATAAATTATTGGAATTGACTACTAATGAAAGATAGAAAATGAATTCTGAAAAAAATCACTTGCTTCACCTTGGAAAAAAGTTAGACATGAATATCCTGAGCTTGCTAAAATTTCTTTTAAATCTAAATGTCTTCAGTTCACAGCAACATATTTTTAAATCTGGTTTCTCTAAACTGAGTGTTGTTAAAACAAAATATAGGAGTAGTATACAAATACGTTATCTCTTGTGAGTAGTACTGTCGTCAATCCAACCTAGATTAGATAAACTAATAGCAAAAAGCAAATCTATGTCATATTAAAATTGTTAAATATCCATATATACAATGTTTGTTTACAGTATGGGCATTTAATAAATGGAGAGCTGCAATTTTGCTTGGCTTTGTGTTTAGTTAGTATTACAGAATGACAAAAAAGTTATGACTATAGCAGCGATTCTCTATATTAATAGAAGATATCTTCAAGTAACAACATTTATGGTTCTTCTAATTGTTTTCTTTTTCCCTATGTATGACCATTTAAATTATAGATTGAAATGTAACTTGTTGTCTGTAATCTAAAAATTTTAACCATGTATTTTTTACTCATCCAATAATTCACTTTTATTGTATTTTACAAAAATGTCCATCTACAAATTTTAAGGGAAAAGGGGGGAAGAGTCCTCACAACAGATAGTTTGAGTGCACAGGTTGGCAAATTCTAGCCTGCTGTCTGTTTCACTAAATAAAGTTTGACTGGAAGACAGTCACATCCATTTGTTTGCCAATTGTCTATGGCTGCTTACACTCTACAACAGCAATGTTGGGAAATTTGACAGAGACCATATGGCCCTCAAAGCATAAAATATTTACTATCTGGTCCTTTGCAGAAAAAAAAAAAAAAGTTTGCCAATCTCTGCTCTGGATGGTTGAACATAACCCACTGGAATTACTTCTCTATTTTCCTTCCCAATCATTCAGTAAGCAAAGACAGGACTGCCCAGACCCTTAAAACGATTAAACATTCCAACACGCAGACAGGGGGCTAGAAAAAAAAAAGAAATTTAAATACCATTTAGGTATTTCCTGTGATAGGGAATGATGGGCATGTAAACCCTTCAATGTAGTCTCTGTCTCTTGGTATCCTAAAATTCCTGTCTATTTTGGATTTAAAAAGAATCGAAGTATAGTCTGATCCAGATAGGGGAAGAAGCACTAAATCTGGAAGACCCTAAAGAATCCCAGACACATAACAAGTATTCCAACTACAGGAGGGGAGGGAGGGATGGAGGTGGGGGAAACAAACAGAGGGGGTGGAGGAAAGAGAGAAAGGACCTTTTCCTGTTATAATTTTTTTTTTCAGACAGAGTCTTGGCTTTGTCACCCAGGCTGAAGTGCAGTGGCACAATCATGGCTCACTGCAGCCTTGACCTCCTGGTCTTAAGTGATCCCCCCCACCTCGGCCTCTAGAGTAGCTAGGACTACAGACATGTGGGCCTGGTGGCATGTGCCTGTAATCTCAGCTACTGGGGAGGCAGAGGTGGGAGGACTGCTTGAGACCAAGAGGTTGAAGCTCCAGTGGGCTGTTGTATTAGTCCATTCTCACGCTGCTAAATAAAGACATACTTGAGACTGGGTAGTTTATAAAAAGAGGTTTAATGGACTGTGGTTCCACGTGGCTGGGGAGGCCTCAAAATCATGGGGGAAGGCAAAAGGAGGAACAAAGGCTCATCCTACCTGGCGGTAGGCAAGAGAATGAGTGCCAGGAGGGAAAATGCCAGGCACTTATAAAAACCATCAGATCTCGAAAGAACTCACTATCATGAGAACAACAGGGGGAAAACCACCCCCATGATTCAATTACCTCCCACAGGGTGCCTCCTACAACATGTGTGGGGATTATGGGAGCTACAATTCAAGATGAGATTTGGGTGGGGACACAGCCAAACCGTATTAGCCATGATCACCCCACTGGACTCCAGCCTGGGCAACAGAGTGAGACCCTGTCTCGAAAAAAAAAAAAAATTCTGATAAAGAAACACTGAAGTAAATACTAATAATTCAAATACAAACAAATGGCAGAGCTGCCACTTTCTACCCATACAGAGCTCTTTATCAGGAGAAGTATACAATGACCATCCAATAAAATCTGATAAGAAATAAGACAAAGTTTTAAACCTTGAGATACAAGCTAATGATAGCAGAAAGTCATCAAAAGATACTGATATTTCAAAATAATATTTATTTCATTAAGATTTTATGCATATTTTATAATGTATACAATATATTAGTACAGAGTACATGTATGTTACAAATATATATATCACTTAAATTTTTTAATAGATAAAACATACCATCAAAAGATATTTGAAAACCATTATTTAAACAGACAATCTGTAGAGTAGAAAAGCAGAAATATCCTTTAAGAATACTGAAGTCCAAAAGGACAAACATCGTGATTCCATTTATATGAAGTATCTAGACTAGGCAAATTTATAGAAACAGAAAGTAGATTCAGGGGCTGTGGGAGGAGACAAAGGGGAATTACTGCTTAATGATTACAGAATATCTATTTGGGTTGATGAAAATGTTCTGGAAATAGTGGTGATAGTTGCACAACACTGTGAATGCCAATGAATTTTACCCTTAAAAATAGTTAAAATGATAAATTTTATGTTATGTATATTTTACCACAATAAAAAAAATCTGATCACAAGCCCCACCCCATAAAAAAAACTAAACTCATTCTCTCAGTTCAAATTAAATGCTTACTATCTTTGACCTACAACCTTGCTTCCCTAAGTGTCTTACTTATCTGGACCAGCAGATGTCCATTATACATTAATAGGTTAAGCGTCTTGTTAGTTTTATCAGGACATGTCTTCTGGGTAAACTGAAATTGAGTTTCTGGGCTTACGAGCCAAGGTAGGGGTCCTGTGCAACTGTGCCTAAAGTAAAGAGATGGTCTCCATCTTTAAAATCTCTTTGATGCAAACAAATTGCTAATTGATGTACAGGAGTTATTTTTTACTGCTAGGGAATACCGGTATTAGTAAAGAACACTGCTCATACCCCCAAAATGTAATCTTTTTAAAAATTATTTTTTGTCTCCCTAGATTCTAAAAGTCATACATGTTCACAATGAAAAAGGACTGTTTAGGTACATTTGTCTCTTCAACTTTGCTAAAATGAATCAATTTAATCTTTCAAATGGGGTAAATTTCACCTAAGGATTTATTATCATTCTCAGAACTTGAAACTATATTTCCTCATTCATTCATTCATTAAATAAACATTCACCATGCATTTAACACATACCAGAGACTATGCAAAATAGGTAGAGAAGAGAGCATAACAGAACAATAAGTCATATGACAGAAACAAAAGGTACTACAGGAGAGCACATGAGAGCCATCAAATTCAGACTGAGCAGCAACAGATGAGGGAATAAAATCCATAGATTGACAAGGCCGGGCGCGGTGGCTCACGCCTGTAATCCCAGCACTTTGGGAGGCCAAGGTGGGTGGATCACAGGGTCAGGAGATTGAGACCATCCTGGCTAACACAGTGAAACCCCATCTCTACTAAAAATACAAAAAAATTAGCCGGGCATGGTGGCAGGCGCCTGTAGTCCCAGCTACTTGGGAAACTGAGGCAGGAGAATGGCGTGAACCCAGGAGGCGGAGCTTGCAGTGAGCCGAGATCACACCACTGCACTCTAGCCTGGGCGACAGAGCAAGACTCCGACTCAAAAACTAAAAAATAAAATAAAATAAATAAATAAAATCCATAGGTTGACAATTGATTTGCATCGTGAAGTACATAAGGAAACAACCTAGGAAAATGCAGAAGGACCTTTGTAGTAAACAAATGAATACCCCACAATTAAAGATTAAATGAAATCATGTCTTTAAGTGACCGGCATAGTACCTAGGACACAGTACACAGGTTCGAAGCATGGGCACTGAGGCCACTAGGAGAAGCAAAACAGAAGCTAAAGAATCACAAGGAAGAAAAAAAACAGCCAGGTAATCTCCTTCAGAAGAGAAACTTAAAGCATTCCACCAGGATTTCCTTACTGTGGTAATTATGGGGGTTCCCAGCTTACTTGTCTGCTTCCTGCCCTCACAGCCAACAGAGGTAGGCCTTCTCCAGAAAACTATATTAAAAAGGATATAGGTGAATGGAAAGGACAGAAGGGAAGAAGAGAGGAAGGGAGGGAGGGAGGAGAAAACATCTATATAAGGAATATTCTACCTCCTTCTAGGTGGCCATCAGGACTATTCCATTAGGCTCCATTTCCCTTTCAACATCAGTCACCACGAGATATGCCAAGACTCCCAGTTTATTCATCATCAACAAAACCCTTATTCTCAAAGTGTTCTGTACATCTATTAATCAAGCTCAGTCCCTAACCCTTTAAATCAGAGCTTCCCAAACAATGTATTGCGCCCCACAGCTATACAGGGAATGAGTTCCCCTCAGTTCTTGAGGGATCTAAGAGGAGCCTGGGACACATAAGCCTCCAGGACTGCCAATTCGGTATTCTTTTTTTTTTTTTTTTTGAGACAGAGTCTCGCTCTGTCGCCCAGGCTGGAGTGCAGTGGCACGATCTTGGCTCACTGCAAGCTCCGCCTCCCGGGTTCACGCCATCCTCCTGCCTCAGCTTCCCGAGTAGCTGGGACTACAGGCGCCCACGACCACGCCTGGCTAATTTTTTGTATTTTTAGTAGAGACAGGGTTTCACCGTGTTAGCCAGGATGGTCTCGATCTCCTGACCTCGTGCTCCGCCTGCCTCAGCCTCCCAAAGTGCTGGGATTACAGGCGTGAGCCACTGTGCCTGGCCAATTCTGTATTCTTTAAAGGTATTGGACCATTATTGTTTTATGTCATAAAATCAGCCAGGCTGATGCTACAGCAACCTGGCATTAACACTTGAGGTTATTACAGCACAGAGAGCTATGAAAA
Source organism: Homo sapiens (assembly GCF_000001405.40). Lineage (NCBI taxonomy): Eukaryota > Metazoa > Chordata > Mammalia > Primates > Hominidae > Homo > Homo sapiens. The sequence continues at coordinate 73,058,301 of NC_000011.10, forward strand.
TCAGACATTAAATGGTATAGTATATATACCAATATTCTAACAACAAAGGACAATTCCAGTTGTAACATACTCAGTGTGACATGGTATGGCTAGATGTCATCACAATTTGCCCATCAATTATCTAAACAACAAACTGACTAACTTCTTGATTTGAATACTACTAGTATAACACATGATAGAAAGATACATAGTTAAATTAGGGAAAGGCTTCAAGATCTTTATTTTTAACAAAACTTCTTGGCTATATAATCATTCTCTGATAATGATTACTTGTTTTTTAGGTTTATTTCATTTTCCTTTTTTTTTTTTTTTTAAGACAGAGTCTTGCTCTGTCGCCCAGGCTGGAGTTCAGTGGTGTGATCTCAGCTCACTGCAACCTCTGCCTCCCAGGTTCAAGCAATTCTCCTGCCTCAGCCTCCCGAGTACCTGGCTAATTTTTGAATTTTTAGTCGAGATGGGGTTTTACCATGTTGGCCAGGCTGGTCTTGAACTTCTGACCTCAGGTGATCCGCCTGCCTCAGCATCCCAAAGTGCTGGGATTACACGTGTGAGCCATCCCACCTAGACTTTCATTTTCTAACGGGATAAATAATCTTTTACATCTTTTTTGGATCACTTACCAACCAGAAATATAATTGCATATGAGTTTCCACAGTCCTTACATTGATAGGCTAGCCTCTATAACATAAGGTGAAATAGACTCAATGAATCATCCCATTTTAGTTTTTAAGCTAAGCTAAGAAATACCATTGTTGAACTGTACTCAATTCAACAAACATGGATATAAATGTAAACAAGAAAATGAGACTACTTTCAGTGAGAATGCACACTATAATTCATAAGGTAAGTCTAGCTCAAATACTGAAAAGTCAACCATTTGGGATGAAAGCAAAATGATTTCAAAATACAGAGTCTATTGACAATGGCTGAAGACTTTACATTACACTGTGTGAACTACGGTTTATTTACCCTCCGTGGGTTTTTTTTTTAACCCCCATACCAGAAAAGGATTTTTACACTATAAAGTTGTTTCCTTTTTAAAAAAGGAATTTTAAAAATTAATTTCTAGGTTTTCTAGGATTAAGAAGTTGTAGGACGGGCTAAAGAAAACATTGTGTCAGATAAGTGTTAGCCATCAGACTGCACTTCAAAGAGTTCATAAATCATAAACATAAATGTCAGATGTGACTATCCCTAAAAACGAGGAATGCTCCCTACCCTTCACTCTAACTTCTTCTGCCTTGTACTAAGTTTATTTTGCTGAAGGTCAACCAATACTTCTAATCTTCTTTCCATGGTAAGAGGAAAAGCAAAATTAGTCTATGAAAATTCAAGTTTTATGTATCCTGGTACCAAATGAAGTCCTGAGAAACCGGCTAATAATGAATTTTACTAAAAATTTTCTGTGAGGTTTTCTTTCTTTTTTTTTCTTTTTTTCCCCTAGCTGTGAACACTTCCAGAATTCTGGCAATCTGAAAGCATGGATTCTCATCCCAAGACAATGAAAACCCACGGTTAAGGAACAGACAACAGTTTTAGCATACTCTCAAACAATCCTTGACTAATAGAAGACTTGATAAATTAACCATTTGTTGTACCAAAACTTTGCTTATATCTGCAGAAATTCTACCCTAAACTGTACCTTGTTTACATGGTCATCAGTACATTCTCAGGTATTCCTGTTACAAACAAAGCAAATTATATATTCCTCTAACGTATACCTCCTATCCTTACTAAAATGTTCTTTTTAAAAGCAGGTAGGATACACTGCTATCAGAGATGACTAACACCTCTAGAAGCCTAGCCTTAACCTCTGTGACTCTGTTACTGTATAAGGAGTTAGTCACCCAATAGATTCATTGAATGAATGCAAATGCAGCCACTAATTTAAAGTTAAACCTCAGGAAAGTAACACCCATTCAAGGAAGTTTAAACAAATGTCTAATTGTACCATATTTTGGCATTTAGGAAATTGAAGCATTATTCATATCTTCATTTCTACCTATTTATTATTATTATCTGTCACCAGCAAATTCAAACATAATTTCCCAAGAACTCATAATTTATCTGAAGACATTTTGTATAATTTCATTTCAAACATTCTAATACCAGGAGCCTGGAAAAATACCAGGATAAAAAAAAAGTTTTATTTGTCTTGTGCTCCTTCTCACAGGCAATGAAGGAACACATTACAGTGAGAAAGTTTTCCAGGGGAAATAATCAATAGTATATCATACAATGTCAGAGCCAGAAGGAGCCATAAAGGCTATCTAAGAAAGACTTTGCATGAAGACCATGTAATTATTTCATGCTTTGATGGATTGTCCACTCATCCCACTGAAAACACTTATGAATGAGAGATTTAAAAAATAAAAAGGAAAAAACTATAAGACAAAAATGGGCATGAAAATAAGATAACTATTTCCCCTGGGCCAGAAAAGCAAAGCTGTGGGCAAGATTGAAGTTAGAAATACACAAAACTCTAGGTTAAGAAGAAGGCAATGGAGAGTTTGGCTCCTGCAAAGTAAAGGAAACTAAAAGGGCTCACAGTGGGACAGGGATCAGGAGCCAGGTTCATAGCTTGAAACCAGGCACTATAGTGAGATTCCCGTGTTCATGAAGGAAGGCTGAAAAAATGCTACCAACAGCTGCCAGGAACAAGAACTTATATAGAACTGTTGATAAATAGAAGCAAAAGAAAACAGGCAAGGATTGCTGGCAAGATGGCCAAATAGGAACAGCTCTGGTCTGCAGCTCCCAGCAAGATCCTCGCAGAAGGCAGATGATTTCTGCATGTCCAACTGAGGTACCTGGTTCATCTCATTGGGACTGGTTGGACAGTGGGTGCAGCCCATGGAAGGCGAGCCGAAGCAGGGTGGGGGGTCACCTCACCTGGGAAGCACAAAGGGTCAGGGAATGTTTCCCCCTACCCAGGGGAAGCCATGAGGGACTGAGCCTGAAGAACTCTGGAACAGATACTGTGCTTGTCGCATGGTTTTCGCAAACTGCAGACCAGGAGATTCCCTCCAGTGCCTACCCCACCAGAGCCCTGGGTTTCAAGTACAAACCTGGGTGGCCATTTGGGCAAACACCAAACTAGCTGCAGGAATTCTTTTTTTCCATACCCCAGTGGCACCGGGAATACCAGTGAGACAGAACGATTCACTTCCCCTGGAAAGGGGTGCTGAAGCCAGGGAGCCAAGTGGTATGGGTCTGCGGGTCCCACCCCCACGGAGCCCAGCAAACTAAGATCCACTGGCTTGAAATTCTCACTGCCAGCACAGCAGCAGTCTGAGATCGACCTGGGACGCTCGAGCTTGGTGTGGGGAGAGACGTCCGCCATTGCTGAGGCTTGAGTAGGGTGGTTTTATGCTCACAGTATAAACAAAGCCTCTGGGAAGTTCGAACTGGGTGGAGCCCACTGCAGCTCAGCAAGGCTGCTGTGGCCAGACTGCCAGATTTCCCTTCTCTGGACAGGGTATCTCTGAAAAAAAGGCAGCAGCCCCAGTCAGGGGCTTACAGATAAAACCCCCATCTCCCTGGGACAGAGCACTTGGGGAAAGGGGCAGCTGTGGGCACAGCTTCAGCAGACTTAAACATCCCTGCCTGGTGGCTCTGAAGAGAGTAGTGGACCTCCCAGCACTGTGTTCGAGCTCTGTGAAGGGTCAGACTGCCTCCTCAAGTGGGTCCCTGACCCCTGTTCCTCCTGACTGGGAGACACCTCCCAGTAGGGGCCAACAGACACCTCATACAGGAGAGCTCTGACTGGCATCTGGCAGGTGCCTGTCTGGGACGAAGCTTTCAGAGGAAAGATCGGCAGCAATCTTTGATGTTCTGCAGCCTCTGCTGATGATACCCAGGCAAACAGGGTCAGGAGTGGACCTCCAGCAAACTTCAGCAGACCTGCAGCAGAGGGGCCTGTCAGAAGGAAAACTAACAAACAGAAAGGAATAGCATGTGCACTCAAACACACCAATGGAAGGTCACCAACATCAAAGACCAAAGGTACACAAATCCACAAAGATGGGGAGAAAGCAGTGCAAAAAGGCTGAAAATTCCAAAAGCCAAAATGCCTCTTCTCCTCCAAAGGATCACAATTCCTCACCAGCAAGGGAACAAAACTGGATGGAGAACGAGTTTGACAAATTGACAGAAATAGGCTTCAGAAGGTGGGTAATAACCAACACCTCCAAGCTAAAGGAGCATGTTCTAACCCAATGCAAGGAAGCTAAGAACCTTGAAAAAACGTTAGACGAATTGCTAACTAGAATAACCAGTGTAGAGGAGAACATAAATGACCCGATGGAGCTGAAATACACAGCACGAGAACTTCATGAAGCATACACCGTTTCAATAGCCAAATCGATCAAGAGGAAGAAAGGATACCAGTGATTGAAGATAAACTTAATGAAATAAAGAAAGAAGACAAGATTACAGAAAAAAGAATAAAAAGGACGAACAAAGCTTCCAAGAAATATGAGACTATGTGAAAAGACCAAATCTACATCTGATTGGTGTATCTGAAAGGGACAAGGAGAATGGAACCCAGTTGGAAAACACACTTCAGCGTATTATCCAGGAGAACTTCCCCAACCTAGCAAGACAGGCCAATATTCAAATTCAGGAAATACATAGAACACCACAAAGATACTCCTCAAGAAGAGCAACCCTAAGACACATAATCGTCAGATTCACCAAGGCTGAAATGAAGGAAAAAATGTTAAGGGTAGCCAGAGAGAAAGGTCAGGTTACCCACAAAGGGAAGCCCATCAGACTAACAGTGGATGTCTCGGCAGAAACCCTACAAGCCAGAAGAGAGTGGGGGCCAATAGTCAACATTCTTAAAGAAAAGAATTTTCAACCCAGAATTTCATATCCAGCCTAACTAAGCTTCATAAGCAAAGGAGAAATAAAATCCTTTACAGACAAGCAAATGCTGAGGGATTTTGTCACCACCAGGCCTGCCTTTGAAGGGCTCCTGAAGGAAGCACTAAACATGGAAAGGAACAACCGGTACCAGCCACTGCAAAAACATGCCAAATTGTAAAGAACATCAACACTATGAAGAAACTGCATCAACTAATGGTCAAAACAACCAGCTAGCATCATAATGACAGGATCAAATTCACACATAACAATATTAACCTTAAATGTAAATGGGCTAAATGCCCCAATTAAAAGACACAGACTGGCAAATTGGATAAAGAGTCAAGACCCATCAGTGTGCTGTATTCAGGAGACCCATCTCATGTGCAAAGACACACATAGGTTCAAAATAAAGGGATGGAGGAATATTTACCAAGCAAATGGAAAGCAAAAAAAAAGCAGGAGTTGCAATCCTAATCTCTGATAAAACAGACTTTAAACCAACAAAGATTGAAAGAGACAAAGAACGGTATTACATATTGGTAAAGTGATCAATGCAGCAAGAAGAGCTAACTATCCTAAATATACATGCACCCAATACAGGAGCATCCAGATTCATAAAGCAAGTTCTTAGAGACTTACAAAGAGACTTAGACTCCCACACAATAATAATGGGAGACTTTAACACCCCACTGTCAATATTAAACAGATTAATGAGACAGAAAATTAACAAGGATATTCAGGACCTAAACTCAGCTCTGGGCCAAGCAGACCTAATAGGCACCTACAGAACTCTCCACCCCAAAACAACAGAATATACACTCTTCTTAGCACCACATCACACTTATTCTAAAATTGACCACATAATTGAAAGTAAAACACTCCTCAGCAAATGCAAAAGAATGGAAATCATAACAGTCTCTCAGGCCACAGTGCAATCAAACTAGAACTCAGGATTAAGACACTCACTCAAAACCACACAACTACATGGAAATTGAACAACCTGTTCCTAAATGACTACCGGGTATATAATGAAATGAAGACAGAAATAAAGATGTTCTTTGAAACCAATGAGAACAAAGACACAACGTGCCAGAATCTCTGGGACACATTTAAAGTAGTCTGTAGAGGGAAATTTATAGCACTAAATGCCCACAAAAGAAAGCAGGAAAGATCTAAAATTGATACCCTAACATCAAAATTAGAAGAACTAGAGAAGCAACAGCAAACAAATTCAAAATCTAGCAGAAGACAAGAAATAACTAAGATCAGAGCAGAACTGAAGGAGATAGAAACAAGAAAAACCCTTCAAAAAAAAAAATCAATGAATCCAGGAGCAGTTTTTTTGAGAAGATCAACAAAATAGACTGCTTGCCAGACTAATAAAGAAGAAAAGAGAGAAGAATCAAACAGACGCAATAAAAAATGATATAAGGGATATCACTGATTCTGTGGGATCAGTGGTGATATCCTTATATCAGTGGTGATATCCTGTGGGATATTCTTATATCACCACTGATCCCATAGAAATACAAACTACCACCAGAGAATACTTTAAGCACCTGCATGCAAATAAACTAGAAAATCTAGAAGAAATGGATAAATTCCTTGACACATACACCCTCCGAAGTCTAAACCAGAAAGAAGTCGAATCCTTGAATAAACCAATAACAAGTTCTGAAATTGAGGCAGTAATTAATAGCCTACCAACTAAAAAAAGTCCAGGACCAGACCGATTCACAGCCAAATTCTACCAGAGGTACAAAGGGGAGTTGGTACCATTCCTTCTGAAACTATTCCAAACAATAGAAAAAGAGGGAATCCTCCCTAACTCCTTTCATGAGGCCAGCATCATCCTGATACCAAAGCCTGACAGAGACACAACAAAAAAAGAAAATTTAAGGCCAATATCCCTGAGGAACATCAATGCGAAAATCCTCAATAAAACACTGGCAAACCAAATCCAGCAGCACATCAAAAAGCTTATCCACCATGATCAAATCAGCTTCATACCTGGGATGTAAGGCTGGATCAACATATGCAAATCGATAAATGTAATCTATCACGTAAACAGAATCAATCACAAAAAAACACGATTATCTCAATAGATGCAGAAAAGGCCTTTGACAAAATTAAACAGCGCTTCATGCTAAAAACTCTCAATAAACTGGGTATCAATGGAATGTATCTCAAAATAATAAGAGCTATTTATGACAAACCCACAGCCAATATCATACTGAATGGGCAAAAACTGGAAACATTCCCTTTGAAAACCGGCACAAGACAAGGATGCCCTCTCTCATCCCTCCTATTCAACATAGTATTGGAAGTTCTGGCCAGAGCAATCAAGAAAGAGAAAGAAATAAAAGGTATTCAAATAGGAAGAGAGGAAGTCAAATTGTCTCTGTTTGCAGATGACATGATTGCATATTTAGAAAACCCCATCGTCTCAGTCCAAAATCTCCTTAAGCTGATAAGCAACTTCAGCAAAGTCTCAGGATCCAAAAAATCAATGTGCAAAAATCATAAGCATTCCTATACATCAATAACAGACAGAGAAAAATCATGAGTGAACTCCCATTCACAATCGCTACAAAGATAATAAAATACCTAGGAATCCAACTTACAAGGGATGTGAAGGACCTCTTCAAGGAGCACTACAAACCACTGCTCAAGGAAATAAGAGAGGACACAAACAAATGGAAAAATATTCCATGCTTACGGCTAGGAAGAATCAATATCATGAAAATGGCCATACCACCCAAAGTAATTTATAGATTCAATGCTATCCCCATCAAGCTACCACTGACTTTCTTCACAGAATTGGAAAAAAACTACTTTAAAGTTCATATGGAACCAAAAAAGAGCCTGCATTGCCAAAACAATCCTGGGCAAGAAGAACAAAGCTGGAGGCATCACGCTACCTGACTTCAAACTAGGGCTACAGTAACCAAAACAGCATGGTACTGGTACCAAAACAGATACATAGACCAATGGAACAGAACAGAAGCCTCAGAAATAACACCACACACCTACAACCAACTGATCTTTGACAAACCTGACACAAACAAGCAATGGGGAAAAGATTACCTATTTAATAAATGTTGTTGGGAAAACTGGCTAGCCATATGCAGAAAATTGAAACCGGATCCCTTCCTTACACCTTATACAAAAATCAGCTCGAGATGGATCAAAGACTTAAACATAAGACCTAGGACCATAAAAATCCTAGAAGAAAACCTAGGCAATACCATTCAGGACATAGGCATGGGCAAAGACTTCATGTCTAAAACACCAAAAGCAATGGCAACAAAAGCCAAAACTAATGGGATCTAATTAAACTAAAGAGCTTTTGCACAGCAAAAGAAACTATCATCAGAGTGAACAGGCAACCTACAGAATGGGAGAAAATTTTTGCAATCTATCTGACAAAGGGCTAATATCCAGAATCTACAAAGAACTTAAACAAATTTACAAGAAAAAAAAAACCATCAAAAAGTAGGCAAAGGATATGAACAGACAGTTCTCAAAAGAAGACATTTATGTAGCCAACAGACATGAAAAAATGCTCATCATCATTGGTCATTAAAGAAATGCAAATCAAAACCACAATGAGATATTATCTCACGCCAGTTAGAATGGCGATCATTAAAAAGTCAGGAAACAACAGATGCTGGAGAGGATGTGGAGAAATAGGAACGCTCTTACACTGTTGGTGGGAGTGTAAATTACTTCAACCATTGTGGAAGACAGTGTAGCGATTCCTCAAGGATCCAGAACCAGAAATATCATTTGACCCAGAGATCCCCTTTACCAGGTATATACCCAAAGGATTATAAATCATTCTACTATAAAGACACATGCACACGTATGTTTATTCCGGCACTATTCACAATAGCAAAGACTTGGAACCAACCCAAATGTCTATCAATTATAGACTGGATAAAGAAAATGTGGCACATATACACCATGGAATACCATGCAGCCATAAAAAAGGATGAGTTCATGTCCTTTGCAGGGACATGGATGAAGCTGGAAACCATCATTCTCAGCAAACTATCACAACAGAAAACGAAACACTGCATGTTCTCACTCATAAGTGGGAGTTGAACAATGAGAACTCATGGACATAGGGAGGGGAATATCACACACCAGGGCCTGTTGGGGGTTGGGGGCTAGAGGGTGGATAACATTAGGAGAAATACCTAACATAGGTGACGGGTTGTTGGGTGCAACAAACCACCATGGCACATTACACCTATGTAACAAAACTGCGCGTTCTGCACATGTATCCCAGAACTTAAAGTATAATAAAAAAAAAAGAAAGAAAGAAAATAGATATGCTCTTAAATTGAATAAAAAACAATTTGAACTTCCCCTCTGGTTCAGTGGTAGGTCTGCCATATCCCCAATATCATCATGTTCAAGATCCCTGAAGCATTTATAAGACCTGGTTCTACATTAAAGACTTAGGAGCTGAAAAGGAACAAGTGCAAAATCATCAGACAGAGAAGGATAAGCACAGAGAAAATGAGCGGAATGAAAAAAAACAAAAACCCCTACCTCTCAAAATGAGGCTTTAAACCAATATTCCAGCAATTGAAATACAAAATCATTTCACATGAAATCATTGAGAACAGTCTTACAAGGACCTTTATGAGGTACCTGCATTAGTCCATTTTCACACTGCTGATAAAGACATACTCAAGACTGGGTAATTTATAAAGAAAAAGAGGATTAATGGACTGATAGTTCCATGTGGCTTGGGAGGCCTCACAATCATGGCAGAAGGCTAAAGCCATGTCTTACATGGTGACAGACACGAGAGAATAAGAACCAAGTGAAAGGGGTTTCCCCTTATAAAACCATCAGATCTCGTGAGACTTATTCACTACCACGAGAACAGTATGGAAGAAACTGCCCCCATGATTCAGTTAACTCCCACCAGGTCCCTCGCACAACACATGGGAATTATGGGAACTACAATTCAAGATGAGATTTGGGTGGGGGCACAGGCAAACCATATCAGTACCCCAAATAAATGAAGAAATAATTTCTTCTTTAAAAATATGCCATTATGTGCATGTTCTCGCTTGTGAGTGGGAGCTGATCAATGAGAACACATGGTGGGGGAACAACACACACTGAACACCTGTGCGGTGGGTGGTGGAGGGAGGGTGGGGTAGGGTGGGGTTGGGGGGGCGGAGAGAGAGCATCAGGAAGAATAACTAATGGATGCTGAGCTTAATACCTGGATGATCTGTACAGTAAACCACCATGGCACACAAAATTTACCTATGTAACAAACCTGCACATCTTGCATATATACTCCTGAAGTTAAAAAAAAGTTGAGAAAAAAAAAGTTATTATGAAAACACAAGGTGAACTAAAATTAGATTCCTTTATATATTTTTGGTTTAAAGTTTTATCAGTTTTTATACAGTTAACAAAATTAACAATTGGAACACACATTTGGTACAGATGAAGTTAATTATACATAAAACTCTTTATAAAGACTTCAGGCCAGGTGCACTGGCTCATGTCTGTAATCCCAACACTTTGGGAGGCCGAGGCAAGAGGACTGCTTGAGCCCAGGAGTTCAAAACCAGCCTGGGCAACATAGTGAGACCTCATCTCTACAAAAAGTAAAAAAAAAAAAAAAAAAAGAAAAAGAAAAAAAAATTAAAAAAACAAAAAAATCAGCCAGGTGTGGTGGCATGTGCCTGTAGTCCCAGCTACTTGGGAGGCTGAGGTAGGAGGATGGCTTAAGTAAAGAAGGTCGAGGCTGCAGTGAGTCATGACTTCGCCACTGCACTCTAGCCTGATGACAGAGCAAAACCATCTCCAAAAAACAAAAAAAAAGGCCAGGAATGGTGGCTCATGCCTGTAATCCCAGAACTTTAGGAAGCCAAGGTGGGCTAATCACCTGAGGTCAGGAGTTTGAGACCAGTCTGGCCAAAATGGTGAAACCCCATCTCTACTAAAAGTACAAAAATTAGCCAGGCGTGGTGGCATGCACCTGTAGTCCCAGCCACTCGGGAGGCTGAGGCAGGAAAATCACTTGAACCATGGAGGCAGAGGTTGCTGTGAGCAGAGATCACACCACTGCACTCCAGCCTGGGTGACAGAGCAAAACTCTGTCTCAAAAAAAAAAAAAAAAAAAAAAGACTACAAAATAACTATCCAAAGAGAAATTTAAAAATCATTTCTAATTTTAAAAGAATAAGAAATTACAAAAACACACAGAACTGAAAAAAAACTGGTATAAGAACATATATACATACATACATATATACACACATCTCTAAAAAGAACCAAAAATCCTAGAAAGAATATGATCACTAACAAAGCAATGGATAAGATAAAACCCTCAAATAGACACAGTTAAATAGACAATTGGTGAGTTGGAAGTTCAAACTGGTTAATTCATCCAGAACATAGCACAAAGAGCAAAGAATTAAAAATATGTGAAAAAACCAAGAGACATGGAAAATAGATTAAGAGGATCCAAGATACAACAATTAAAACTTTAAAAAGAGATAGATACAAATAATGTTGAAGAAGCAATATTTACAGAAATGACTAAATTCTTTCCAGAATTGAAGAAAAGCAAGAGACCCAGGTTAACAAATAACAAATGACTCTGGGTACCAGCAAGGCAAATAAAACATCTAGATTCATAAATGATACATTGGTCTCATTCCACAAAGAATCTAAATCACTTATCAGATTATATATAAAACAATAACTAAATATGTAAAAAAACAGAGTCACAGAAAATTACATGAAGTAATAGATCAAGACCAGGTAGAAAGTTAGAATGCACATACATGGGCTTGAATTTTCAACTGAATTTCCAGGTGGCGAAAGTAAAAAGGGAAACTTATCAGTCACAAGAACTTCTGGCAAAAGTAAAAAAGGAAACTTATCAGTAACAAGAATTTCATTGTCCCAAGAAGAAAATATAGGGTAAACAAAGATGTTCCTAGCCTTCATATAATGGTCTATTAATGACATGGAAAGCAATCTCCAGAACAATATCCCTATAAGTGTAGTCTATTTCATAAGGCTATTTCTAACAAGCCTCTTATATGGCATAGGCCCTGTCTGCTCCTCAGCTTCATCTCATACCACTCTGTTTTACTGATAACATTCCAGCACTAAACAGCCTATATATCCCAACCTTCTCTTGACATCCCTAGAACCTAGCATCACGCCAGTCGTAAAGTAGATACTTGATAAATGTCAGGGTTTTTTATTTTTATTTTTATTTTTGAGATACAGTCTCGTTCTGTCGCCCAGGCTGGAGTGCAGTGGCACGACCTTGGCTCACTGCAACCTCCACCTCCCGGGTTCAAGCGATTCTCCTGCCTCAGCCTCCTGAGTAGCTGGTATTACAGGCGCCTGCCACCATGTCTGGCTAATTTTTTTGTATTTTTAGTAGAGATGGGGTTTCACCATGCTGGCCAGGCTGGTCTCGAACTCCTGGCCTCAAGTGATCTGCCCACCTTGGCCTCCCAAAGTGCTGGTATTACAGGCGTGAGCCACCATACCCGGCCTAAATGTCAAATTAAAAAAAAAAAAGAAATTGAACAAGTTATTAAGTGAATGGTGACCTTAGAGCGTCACCATTCACTTAATAACTAACCAACACCTCAGTGGTTAGTTAAGTGAGGTTTAAGCATACCTCAGTAAAAGCAGTCTGCTGGAAGTGAAATAATGTGGTCTGAAAACTAAGAATTTAGTTTGATTCAGAAGTAAAACCTAGAACAATTAAAGCAGAAGTTGCAAACTGGCATCCTTCAGATGGGAAGGGCCTTTACACATGTTTTATTTGTCCAATTCCACAAGCAATTGGAAACATTAAACAAAATCTTTTAAGGAGAAAAATGTTTTCCATAAATGCCTCCTACAATATTACTAAAAGATGGTCTACCAATTATTTTACAAGAACACTTTTGGAAGACACAGTCTCTTCCATTCTGGAGCTGCTCTAACTAGCTAATACCTTCTGTCATCCTGATCTCTCTACTCCCTCTTCCTAGTTTTGCACTTCAGAGTTACAAAAACTAGTCAAATTCAATTCACGTGCATACACATGAAATCTATAATGGAGGCTGTTGAAAATAATGCAGCTTCTTTGACCATTTTCCCAAAAAGCATGATTTCCAACCCCACCACCAACTTTGGTCATCTTTTGGATGCACCTCAGACTGCCAATGTCTCTCTTAAAATGTGTCCAGGACTGGGCGCAGTGGCTCACGCCTGTAATCCCAGCACCTTGAGAGGTCGAGGCGGGCAGATCACGAGGTCAGGAGATTGAGACCATCCTGGCCAACATGGTGAAACCCTGTTTCTACTAAAAATACAAAAAAAAAAAAAAAATTAGCTGGGCATGGTGGTGTGTGCCCGTAGTCCCAACTACTCGGGGGGCTGAGGCAGGAGAATCGCTTGAACCTGAGAGGCAGAGGCTGCAGTGAGCCGAGATCATGTCACTGCACTCCAGCCTGGCGACAGAATGAGACTCCATCTCAACAAAAAGACAAAAAAAAGTGTCCAGTAGTAGATTATTTGAAGGGAGGGAAATGGACAGAGTGAAACACAGGTTTCTTGTCTTGGTGTCCACAATTATAAAATGGGAATAACAGTAACTACTGTATCCCTCAAAGGTTATAGGGAAAACATAAATGAGTTAATCTATGTAAAGTGCTTAGAACAGTGCCTGACACATGATCTTAATATATGTTCTTTAACCCAAAATACAGAGAAAGAGTCCACAGCATAAACTGATATAGAGAGGTTAAGACAGAGGTGCCTATAAAAAATCTTATTTTTTGATCAGCGGTCAGGGCAGGGGACTCAAACTCAACCAGTGGGACCAGGTAAACAACAAATGAGTGAAGACATACGCAGACCACTATGTCCTGTATAAAAGGAGCCAAAATAAAAACGGGCATGTTCACACACAAAAGGTTCAAAATCACAGATCTAGTATGAATTCTCCCCTCTCTCCACTCTGTTTTATCCTGGCCTAACCACTAAATTAATTAATAGAAACAGAAGGTTTGGGGAGGAAAATAATGGGGATCAGCATCAACAATGATTTCCTCTCAACACCTTTACGAGATGTGCTACCGAATAGCCATGAAAAAGTGAAACTTACTAGCAAATCTATGTCCCCAAGAGTACTAACATTTAATTATAGCCACCATTTCTTTAATGAAGTTTAAAAACTTAATTAAATTTTTAATGAAGTTTTTTAAAACTTCCTTTAATGAAGTTTTTAAAAACTTAAAAATCAAACTGTACCAACTATTTCAGGAGAGGACTCCATCTGCTCTTCCTTCTATATGAATTTCTAAACACTGTTATAAGATAAGGAAAAATGAAATAAAAATAAACAGTAAGATTTTAAAAAGTAATTTACAAAACAGGACACAGAAAATAATACTCAATTTTGCCCTGGTGGACGTCCTATTGTGATAGTTATCCTGTCTCCTTATTTGTTCTATAGGACAAGATTGGCAGAAAGAAAAGCTCCAAATATATTCACCATTAATCTCTAATAGCATTAGACAGAAAAGTAACCACACACCGCTAAATTAAGCTACATTTTTAAGTTTCTATGCAGATGAAATTCACCAAAAAAGAACCCCCACCACATGCACATAACACTAACTTCTTGTATAGTATGCCCAAGTCTTCATAATTTTATTTCTTAAAAGAGTAAAAATAGCAAAAAATTTTAGGTGCAACAGTATAAATACCACAGGGTATTTGCCAACATGTCTGTGTTTACTCTGTGTTTGTCTTTAAGCAAGGAGCCGCCCTTAAAGTCCACAATGTTTTCCTGCTCCTTCTCTCCAGCCACAGTAACCTTCTGTATCCTTCCTTCACTAGCAGCATTCTGCCAAAGACTACAGGAAGTACTTTAATACACAGCACTTGCCTGTAGCAATTTCAGTTTGAGTACTGCAAATGATTTTACCAACACCTCAGTGGTTAGCTAATTGCAGTCAGAAGCTAGACTTGATTGTTCCCTAATATTTAATGTTGCTCAGTTATTCTTACATGACTTCTGTTTTCACAGATACATTTGTCATTTGTAGAAACAGATATGCAATACATCTGTTACTTCTGGAGAATTACAAAGTGAACTTCACAAACCATACTTAAAAATAAAACATTAATACTCTTGTAGGAAACTGAAACTACCAAGCAACTTGAAAAAGTTCACTGCTTGAATTCCTCCAATTATATAAGCAAGGTTTTGCAATATTATTTTCTTTCTTTCTTCTAACATCGCCCTAAAGAGGTAATACAAGTTTACTTTGCATGTGCTTGAGATAAAATTTTCCAAATTGCTGTCATACGATCAATCCCACTTGAATTAATTTCCTTCACAATATTTTTCTTTTAGGATGGCTCACCTGTATGCTCTGTAAACCTCACAAACGCTCAATCTTTTTAGTCAATCAATCCTTTGCACAGAGGATAACAATATACATTCCTCGTAATAATTCTATAAAATTATTCTTTTTCTATAAAAGTCATTCTTTTCCAGTTGGCCATAATGCCATATAAGTGGCTTTGAAGAGAAAGAAGTTAATATATTTAACTGGAAGACCACATAAAATCAAATAATAAAAACTGTACATGTGCAAGGATTTTTTTTTCTTTTTTGAGCATTGCTGTAATCACAGTACCTAGAAGACTTGTTAAGATATCAGTTCCCCCTAAATTGACTTAAAGATTCAAACCAAGTCCAATCAAAATATCAGGCAGCATATGGGAGAAATTAACAAACTGATTCTAAAATTTATAAGAAAATATAAAGGGCAATAATAGTATAAGATCTTAAACGAACAGATATCAAGATTTATTGTTATAAAGACAAAGTACTTAAAACAGTGTGATATCGGGAAAAAAATATTTCAAAGATAGGTCAGTTGACTAGAATAAAAAGTCCAGAAACAGACTTACATACACAGTTAACTAATGTGCCACAAAATATCACTTCAATACAGTGCTGGAGTGCAGTCAGGGGGAATAAACTTTTCAATCCATATAGAAAAATAAACTTTTCTATATGGATTTTCAGTTGAGGAAGCACAAAATATGCTTGCAAGACTACATAATATCATAGAATAAAACTCTGTATGTGCAAGGACTTATGTGTGCAAGTATAAAATATGTGCAAGCATATGTGCAAGCATAAAATATGCTTCAACTGAATATCCACATAGAAAATGAAATCCTCACCCCAATACAATATCACATACGAAAATTTACTTCAGAAAGACCATAGAACTAAATGTGAAATATTAAACAATAAAAATTCCAGAACATTGCATAACACACCTCAAGGTGGACTTTAGGATAGCAATATACCCTTAAGTAGGACATAAAGAGAGCACTGAATATAAAAGAAAAAAAATATATTTCCTTAAAATTAAAAACTTGTTTTCATCAAAAGAAACCATTAACAGATAAAAAGCTATCAAACAAAACATTTCCACATGAGATTACAGAGATATCTGTAATACATACATCTGACAAAGGAGTCAAATTTGGAACGTATAAAGAGATAGTAAAACTGGCCAGGCACAGTGGCTCATGCCTGTAATCCCAGCACTTTGGGAGGCTGAGGTAGGAGGATCACTTGAGCTCAGGAGTTCGAGGCTGTAGTGAACTAGGATCACGCCACTGCACTCCAGCCTAGGCGACAGAGTGAGACCCTGTCCCAAGGATGGACGGACAGACAGTGGGGAGGGAGGGAGGCAGGGAAAGAAAGACCATAAATCAATAAGAGAAAAGCCAACAAGAGACTTTAACAGGCACTTAATAACACAAAATATTTAGATGCCCAATCAAGATATGAAAAGTTCCTCTAATTCATTAATCATCAGGAAAGTGCAAATCAAACCCACAATTCTTTACCATCATATATTCACCAGAAAGGCTAAAATGAAAACCACAGACAAAACCAAGTATAGGTGAGGATTTAAAGCAATAACAACTCTCATTCACTGCTCACAGGATTGTAAATTGCAATAATCACCTGAGAAAACCATTTCATGATATTTCCTAAAGCTGAACAACACATAACCTATGACACAACAATTCCATTCCTTAGGTAAATACCCAATAGAACACATTCATATAGTCACCAAAAGATACATATAAGAATGTTCACAGTGGCACCATTCATAATGATTGATTATAGCCACTACAATTGTTATTATCAGAAACAACAGACAATGACAGGTATTTGCTAGGACATTACTAGAACTAGAACCTTCATGCATTGCAAAACGAGAATGCAAACACAATGCAAAGCAGAAATGCAAAATGATACAGTCAATTTGGAAAACAGTTTGATCATTTGTTAAAAAGTTAAACATGGTGGGAGGCCAAGGAGGACGGATCACTTGAGGTCAGGAGTTCGAGACCAGCCTGACCAACATAGCAAAACCCATCTCTACTAAAAATACAAAAATTAGCTGGGAGTGGTGGTGCGTGCCTGTAATCCCAGCTACTCAGGAGACTGACGCATGAGAATTTCTTGAACCCAGGGGGCAGAGTTTGCAGTGAGCCAAGATCATACCACTGACAAGACTGTCTCAAAAGAAAAAAAAAAATCAACAAAGAAAAAATCATTAAACACGGGGGCCAGGCATGGTGGCTCACGCCTGTAATCCCATCACAATGGGAGGCCAACGCAGTCGGATCGCTTGAGTCCAGGAGTTCGAGACCAGCCTGGGCAACGTGGCAAAACCTCATCTCTACTAAAAACACAAAAATTAGCCAGGCATGGTGGTGCACACCTGTAGTCCCAGCTACTTGGGAGTCTGACATAGGAGAATCACCTGAGCCCCCGGGAGGTCGAGGCTGCAGTGAGCCATGATCATACCACTTTATTCCAGCCTGGGCAACAGAGTGAGAACCCATCTCAAAAACAAACAAAAAAATGTTAAACATAAAATCACCAAATGATGTGAAAATTCTACTCTTAGTACATACCCAAGAAATATGAAAACATGTCTAAATAAAGACTAATATGGTTATTAGGCAGCATTATACCTAATAACCAAATTTGAAACATGGGAAAATGGGAAGCAATCTAATGTTCACCAGTTGGTGAATGGATAAACAAAATGTTATATATCTGTGCCAAGAAACACTACTCACCAATAAAAAGGAATAAATTAATGATGCATAGTAAAACATGTAAGAACCTCAAAAATATCTGCTAAGCGAAAGAAGACAGACAAGAAAGGAGACATACCATATGATTACATTTGTATGATACGTCCAGAAGAGGCAATTTTAGAGAGACATAAAGCTGATGGTTACTTTGGGCTCAGGATAAAAGTAGAGACTGACTTCAAACAGCCACAGGAGATGAACTGGAATAATGGCAATGTTCTAAAACTGAATTGTGCTGATTATGGCATAACTTTGTATGTTTGCTAAAAATCATTTAATTACATACTTAAGATTGATGAATCATTAATGGTATGTAAATTAAAAGTATACATAAAAGTATTTTTTAAAGTAACCAGCAAGGGATAGCAGGTGGGAAGCTATAAATGAACAAATTTTGTAATGTATTGATACTACTAGAAGCTGGGTGATAGCTAATAAGAGTTTGTTATGCTAGGCCCGGCGCAGTGCCTCACGCCTGTAATCCCAACACTTTGGGAGGCCAAGATGGGTGGATCACGAGGTCAGGAGATCGAGACCAACCTGGCTAACATGGTGAAACCCCGTCTCTACTAAAAATACAAAAAATTAGCCAGGCATGGTGGCGGGCACCTGTAGTCCCAGCTACTCAGGAGGCTGAGGCAGGAGAATGGCATGAACCCGGGAGGCGGAGCTTACAGTGAGACAAGATTATGCCATTGCACTCCAGCCTGAGACTCTGTCTCAAAAAAAAAAAAAAAAGAAAAAGAAAAAAAAGAAAAAAAAAAGTTTGTTACGCTCATTCGTTCTACTTTCACATATGTTTGAAAACTTTAATAATAATGTTTCTTTAAAAATTAAGAAACCAAACAACCCAATTTAAAAAAAAATCAATAAAATATTTGAACAAACACCTCACCACAGAATATATACAGATGGCAAATAAACACATGAAAATGATGCTTAGCATCATTAGATATTAGGTAAATACAAATTAAAACCACAATAAATACTACTACACATCTATCACAATATCAAAAATTAAGAAGACTATATCTAGTGTTGAGGAAGACATGTAGCACCTAGAACTCACATACACAGCTGGTGGGAACAATCTCCTTGGAATACAGTTTGGCAGTTATTTAAAAAGTTAAAAATGATTCAGCCATTCCATTCCACTTACCCAAGAGGAATGAAACCACTTATCCATACACAAATGTTTATAGCAACTTTATTTATAATACTCAAAAAACAGAAATAACTCACATGTCCATCAACAGGAAAATGGATAAACTGTGGTATATCCATACAATGGAATACTACACAGCAATAAAAAGAAATGAAATACTGATGCACACAACAACATAAACTACAAAATAGTTAATGCTAAATGAAGAAGCCAGCTGGGAGAGAGGGATTATAAGGACACACAGGAAAACTCTGGGGGCTTACAGATGTGTTCATTATCTTGCTTGTGATGCTAGTTTCACAGGTACATACTCATGCCAAAATTTATCAAATTATAAATTGTGTGGCTTATTGTGTATCAACTACATAACAATAAAGCTATTTTTTTAAGTCAGTATAGTAGATTCCTTGAGTAAGAGTGAGGGCAGTAATGGCAGGGAACAAGAGGAATTTCTGGGATGCTGTTAATGTGTTTCTTTACCTGGGTGCTAGTTATATGGATGTGTTTGCCTTGAAAATTCCTGAAGCTACATAATTATGACTTGTACTCTTCTCTGTACGTATATGTCAATTTTTCTAAAGCTTATTAAAAAGAAAATGAGATACTACTATATACTCACCAAAATGTCAGTCTTTTTAATTTTAGAGAATACTAAACTTTAGCAAAGATATGAAGCACCTGGAACTCTCATACATTGCTGGTGAGAATGTCAACTGGTACAGTCACTTTGGAAAACTGGCTGTATCTACTAAAGTAGAACATACCACATGCCCGATGCCCTAGCAGTTCTACCCCCAGACATATACCAAAGAAAGATATGTTCATATGTCCACTTAAAGACACGTATAAAACCTTTGTTTAGAAGCCCTAGTCAAAAGTCATACAAAACAAGAATAGGAATTTTCTCTATCAGTATAAATTGTGATATATTCATTCAGTGGACACAATAAAGAATGAACTACTACTACATGCAACAACATGCATGAAGCTTAAAAGCTGAATACTGAATGAAAGAAATCAGACACAGAAGGGTACATATTCTATGATGCCATTTAAGTTCAAAAATTAGAAATCCAAAAATAACAACTATTCTGATAAAAAAAAAAAAAGTACTGGTTGCCATTGAAAGGTATGAATATTAACTGCTTCTGGGGCCCTGATAATGTTCTTGGGGGATAGGGGATTGTTCTTTTTTAGAGACAAGGTCTCACTCTGTCACCAAGTCTGAAGCACAGTGGTGCGATCACAGCTCACTGCAGCCTTGAAATCCTGGACTCACGTGATTCTCCTGCTTCAGTCTCCAAGTAGTTACGACTAGAGGCATGCGTCACCTCGCCTGGCTAATTTTTTTTTATTTTTTATAGAGATGGGGCCTCATTATGTTGTCAGGCCGGTCTGAAACTCCTGATCTAAAGTGATCAATATGATCTGGCCTCACCAAGTGTTGGGATTACAGGCGTGCGCTACCGCACCTGGCCTGCTGGTAATGTTCTATACCTTAATCTGGATAATAGTTTACATGAGTGTGTTCACAAAAATTTATCAAACAGTGTACTAAGGACTTGTCCATCTTACTATAAATAGGCTATATTTCAACTTTTTAAAATGTATTCCCCAAAATTTCAAGTCTACACTAAGCCAAAAGAGTTAAGAGAAATAATTTTTTTTTTTTTTTTGAGACAGTCTTGCTCTGTTGCCCAGGCTGGAGTGTGGTGGCCTGATCTTGGCTCCCTGAAACCTCTGCCTTCTGGTTTCAAGTGATTCTCCTGCCTCAGCCTCCTGAGTAGCTGGGATTACAGGTACCCGCCACGACGCCTGGCTAATTTTTTTTGTATTTTTAGTAGAGACGGGGTTTCACCATGTTGGTCAGGCTGGTCTCGAACTCCTGATGTCGTGATCCGCCCGCTTCAGCCTCCCAAAGTGCTGGGATTACAGGCATGAGCCACTTTGCCTGGCCTAGAAGTAAATAATTTAAATAATGCAACTGTCCTCTCTGACCACATCCTGTCCCCATACAGGAAATGCAAATAAGCCTGAAATAATCAATGCATACTGGCAAAATCTATAGAAAGAATATGCTAATTATTTCAGAGGTTTCTCTACTATTGACAAGAAGTAAAAACAATGTTTACACAATCAAAAAGAGAGGATAGAAATATCTTTGTCTATATACTCAGAAAATAAGTTGAAAATTAATTGGGAGAACATTAAAGAGTAAGAAGAACTCAGAAGGATCATCTAAAGGGCAAATGTGATAAGTAACAGAAACAGGCAGTAAACTGGCTCTCTATAAATGGGCTCGATTTTCCCAAGCAGAGACACACTGGAGTATTTTAATTTCTGCATATGATTACTTTATAAAAATTTTAAAAATGCATTATTAGATACGTTACATAGTTTACATACATTATTATATAGGATTGTATAAACAAAACTAGTTATAATCTATTTGAGAGACATTTAAAGAAATTTTTCAGCCAGGCGCGGTAGCTCATGCCTCTAATCCCCAGTGCTTTGAGAGGCTGAGACAGGAGAATTACTTGAACCCAGGAGTTCGAGACCAGCCTGGGCAACATAGTAAGACCCTGTCCCTACAAAATAAAAATACTAGACGGGTATGGTGGCATGCACCTGTAGTCCCAGCCACTCAGTAGGCTGAGGCAGAAGGATCACATGATCCCAGGAGTTCAAGATTACACTAAGCTATGATTGTGCCACTGCAATCCAGTCTGGGTGATAGAGCAAGACCCTGTCTCAAAAAAAAAAAAAAAAAAAAAAAGAAAGAAAGAAAAGAAATTTTTCAAGGGTAAATTTGACTTTAACTTTGACCACTCTGTAAAATGTAATTCCACTGTACCTGCATACATTCATATTTACACACAGATACACAGCATAAATATCTATGTGCATATATGTATTTAACAAAAAAAAGACCAAGTTTAAATATATCATTTAGAGTTACAAAAGTAACAAAGGTACTAAAGTAGTGCCACAATTATATTGAAAAGAGTAGGCTGGAGAGGAATGGCTTAGTAAGTTTCTCATTTATTATAGGTAATCAAGTGATAATGTCTAGAATTGACAAAGAGTGAGTTATAAGCATATTATTTAAAGATATAGAGGCTGGGCATGGTGGCTCACACCTGTAATCTCAGCACTTTCGGAGGCTGAGGTGGGCGGATGATCTGAGGTCAGCAGTTCAAAACCAGCCTGGACAACATTGTGAAACCCCATCTCTACTAAAAAGACAAAAATTAGCCAGGTGTGATGGCAGGCACCTGTAATCCCAGCTACTCAGGAAGCTGAGGCAGGAGAATCACTTGAACCCAGGAGGCGGAAGTTGCAGTGAGCCAAGACTGTACTACTGCACTCTAGTTTTTCCTGGGTGACAGAGCAAGACTCTGTCTCAAAAAAACAACAAAAATAAAATAAAATAAAATAAAATAAAGAAATAGAAATAATCACCAGGAGAACCAAAGTAGACATCCACTTTTAATCTTTGTGGAAAAAGACTGGGATTGGAGCAGAGGACTCACTTTTCATAAAATTTAATGTAGTATTTTACATTTTAAATAATAAACATGTCCTATTTACTTGATTAAAACTTTAAATCGACCAGGCACTGTGGCTCATGCCTGAAATCCCAACACTTTGGGAGGCCGAGGCAGGTGGATCACAAGGTCAAGAGATCGAGATCATCTTGCCCACTATGGTGAAACCCCAACTCTACTAAAAATACAAAAATTAGAAGGGCATGGTGGCACGCACCTGTAGTCCCAGCTATTCGGGAGGATGAGGTAGGAGAATTGCTTGAACTTGGGAGGTGGAGGGTGCAGTGAGCCAAGATGGCGCCACTGGACTCCAGCCTGGGTGACAGAGTGAGACTCCATCTCAATTAAATAAATAAATAAATCTTGTTACAGAAGACTGTATCATATAAAAATTTTGATTTTGTATTAAAAATTTTTAAAGCATATCATAGACTTTTTTTCTATTTTTTTTTTAGACAGGGTTTCACTCCCATTGCCCAGGCTGGAGTCCAATGGCACTATCTGAGCTCACTGCAATCTCCGGCTCCAGGGATCAAGCAACTCTCCTGCCTCAGCCTCCCCACTAGCTGGGATTACAAGCATGTGCCACTGCACTTGGCTAAAATAGCGTATCACAGACTTTCATCTCAATTTTATAAATATATATGTAGTGTACATGTATGAAAGTGTATTTGTAAAGGGCATCATAACTGTTGCTATTTCACAGGTTTGAAAGGATCAAACCAGATAACATATATAAAATACTCAGAGCATGGTACAAAGTAAGGATTCAATAAATGTCAGCTATCATTACTAGTATTTATTATACAGGCATAGAAAAAGCATTCAAGATCGGGCGCGGTGACTCACGCCTGTAATCCCAGCACTTAGGGAGGCTGAGGTGGGCGGATCACCTAAGGTCAGCAGTTCGAGACCAGCCTGGCCAACATGGCAAAATCCCGTCTCTACTAAAAATACAAAAATCGGCTGGGCGCGGTGGCTCATGCCTGTAATCCCAGCACTTTGGGAGGCCGAGGTAGGCGGATCACGTGGTCAAGAGATTGAGACCATCCTGGCCAACAGGGTGAAACCCAGTCTCTACTAAAAATACAAAAAATTAGCTGGGCGTGATGGCGTGTGCCTGTCATCCCAGCTACTCAGGAGGCTGAGGCAGGAGAATCGCTTGAATCTGGGAGGTGGAAGTTGCAGTGAGCCGAGATCGCACCACTGCACTCTAGCCTGGATCACAGAGTGAGACTTGTCCCAAAAAAAAAAAAAAAAAAAAAAAAAAAGAAAAGAAAAAGCATTCAACAGAAATATTAAAACTGATGCTATTCATTATGTAAAGCACCTGATACACAATAAGCACTCAACAACTACTGATTGAACCAATGAATTAATTAGTTCTGTCTAGCTTTCAAGGAATAGGTGATTTTCTTCTAAGATTATCAAATCAAAAATAAAGGCAAACAGCTACAAAATTAACTATAATGAAATCAGAATTTCATTAAAAAATCTGACAAAGCCTAAAAGAGTCATGCCCCAATCTCTCATTATTTATAATGAGAATAAAAACAGTAGCAGCAATAGTGGTTACCATGTAGAAAATTTACTGTATGTTAATTTTTCCTTCTAACAATCTCCCATATTTTAAAATTTTTGCTACAAAGACAACTTTTACAATTTGCAGAAGGAAATAACAATTTTAGAATACTCCCCCACATATAAAGTAATTGCTTAAAGGGTCAAAATTTTCAAACTGTATCAAATTATCTTTGTACATGAAAGAATAGTTATTAATTCTTATACAACCATAAAATGATACATCAACATAATTTTTTCTTGTCACATTTTGTAATCTGGACTCCACTAAAGGTCTAAGTAAAATTAAAGAAGGAAATGCTTCAATTTCCCTAGGAAAAGCTCCATGTCATCCACTAAAAGCATTATTACTCTTTATCAACACAGTCATAATGAGAACTAAATGCGTGATGAAAAATTAACCTTTCATAAACTGCAGAGAATGGGGCATATAAAGAAGAATAAATCAACAAACTTGTAAAAAGTATTATTATTCATACTTGTAAATACTTTACAAATATAGTAAATAATGTCTCCTCCAGGTTTACAACCTTCTTTATAATGATTCAAAGGCAGCAAAGTGGGGGATCAAAATGAGACAGAAATAACAAGAAAAGGGCTGGGCACAGTGGCTCATGCCTGTAATCCCAACACTTTGGGAGGCCAAGGCGGACGGATCATAAGGTCAAGAGATCGAGACCATCCCGGCCAACATGGTGAAACCCTGTCTCTACTAAAAATACAAAAATTAGCTGGGTGTGGTGGCACACACCTGTAGTCCCAGCTACTCAGGAGGCTGACACAGGAGAATCGCTTGAACCTGAGAGGCGGAGGTTGCAGTGAGCCAAGATTGCGCCACTGTACTCCAGCCTCGCAACAAAGCGAGACTCCATCTCAGAAAAAAAGAAAAAAAAAAAAACAAGAAAGAAATAACAAGAAAAGGAAGGCATAGGGATAATATGGCTTCTCTCCAAAAACCATCTCTGTCCTTAAGCCACGGAAAAGAAGTATACCTAGAATGGGACCTCCAATTTCAAGCTTACCTGTGCATACTCTCTTTCAATAGCAGCCTTCTTCTGACTGAATGTCCTAAAAATACAAAGAAAAATTAATTACCAGAAGGATAACTTAATAATTTAATGTAAATCTATCAACACACCTTCAAATACTGCCTGGTTAAGATATGTGAGGGAAAGGACAATATTTTATTCATCTTTATGTGCTTAGGAATACTGCTAACAGCCTGGTCTCTACAGTCAGAGGATCTACATTCAAACCCCAGCTGTACCACTTACTAGCTGTATGACCTTGGCCAAGTCATTTGACTTCTCTCTTCCTCAGTTTCCTCCTTGCTAAAATGGGGATAATAACAGTACTCACCTCATAGGGATATTATAAAATTTAGTTACTTGAAATACATAAAGCACTCAAAATAGTGCCTACCACACAGTAAAACCTATATAAATGTTGGCTACTGTTATAAGAATAGCTACTATATATTAGGCACTAAAGATGTTTACTGGACTTAACCAATGTAAGAGGGAACTAATGAAAACAATGTGAAAATCAAATTTTGATTGGCTTCTGAATATGAAAAATGCTCAAAATGTTTCCTTCACTCCAGTTTTTTATAAGCATTACAAAACAATGTACAAGGCCACTACAAATTGTGGTATGATGAGAGCACACTTTCCATACATGTATTATATTTCAAAGATTCTAAGGTATACCCTTTTCTTTTCTTTTTTCTTTTTTTAGAGATAGGGTCTTGTTCTGTTGCCTAGGCTTGAGTGCGGCGGTGAGGTCCTAGCCCACTGCAGCCTTTAATTCCTGGGCTCAAGAGATCTTCCCACCTCAGCCTCCTAAGTAGCTGGGACTACAGGTGCACACCACCACATCTGGTTAATTTTTAAATACTTCTTGTAGAGATGGAGTCTTGATATGTTTCCCAGACTGGTCTCGAACTCCTGGCCTCAAAGCAATCCTCCTGCCTTGGCCTCCCAAAGCATTGGGATTACTGGCATGGGCCAACGTGCTTAGCCAGTACATCCTTCACCTGTATTAACATTTATGATACTGGAATGCATCTTTTAATGATGATTGGCAGTATTTTCCTCCATCTTAATGGTATATAAAATAACAGTGTACCTTACAAACATAGGCATTGTAGAGTCAACAAAATGTGGTACTACTGACAATTTACCTTGAATATCCTGAGTTTAAAGACTTTACCGTTATGTGCCAGGAATCGGTGCTCTTAAAATCACTGCACCAGTGCAAAGACCAAAGACATAAGAGTAAGAAGGAGGAAAAAAAAAAAAAAAGGAAAGCACTGAAATAAAGAAAAAGTCAAGAAACCAAAATTCTCATCTTAAAAATCATTTAAATTCACCAAATGACTTGATTTCTTATATAAAAATATAACTGTTTAAGATCTTACTATATTTGTTTTGAGTAAATAATTTCTTAATTTCAAAATAACAAACGGAAGAAGTTTCACCTTAAACCTAAAGACTCATGCTTATTCAAGAGTGCTTCAAATGGCCAATACAATAAAACGAAGACTAAGATTTTTTTTTAAATGTTTATTCAAAAAAAGTCTCCAGTGCATTCAAGGTTAAGCAATGAGAGAGGATTCTGGGAGATGGCAGCTTAGTAAACACCAGGAATCTGACTCCCAGGCTAGGTAACAATTGCACTGGCAGAATGAATCATGTAACCATTTTGGAACTAGGAGTCAACTGAAAGAGAGGGGATGACCACTGTTGTTGCACTTCCCTCAACATTGATGCAAGTTCCTCTCCTGACTGAAATGACTTTCGGAGGATTTAAAGAACTGATGCCTCTTCCTTCTCCCTTAATTTTTCTCTTTTTCCCCTTTTGAGAGCCAGATCTTGAAGAGTAAGACATTCTAACGCAACCACATTTAAGGGAGAAATTGAAAAGTCACCACACAAACCCACGGGAAGGTGCAGGTTCACAAAAGACTTCAGAAGACCTGATTTTAACACTTCAGGCACAGCTCAGTACAGACTACCTACAACATTTAAAAACTTTTTAACTATTAAAAAAAAAAATCCCTGGGCAAGGAGGGGAATCTGATTAGCAGAGTTACCACAAATCTGGTATTCTGGTTCAAGTTGATGTTTAAAAAAAAATGAGAGCAGAGTTACCACATTATTACATTCAAATCTCCAGTTTTCAACAAAAATCACAAGGCATGCTAAGAAGGGGAGAAGTATGGCCCATTCAAAGGGGAAAACAAGCCAATACAAATTGTCCCTGAAAAAGAATTGATGGCAGATCTACTAAACAAAGATACTAAAACAATGGTTTTAAAGATGTTCAAAGAATTAAAGGGCAAAATGGTAAAACTAAAGAAAACTATGTGCGGGCAAAATGTAAATATGAAAAGAAAGCAGTGCTACGGGGGAAATTTATAGCTTCAAATACTTACATTATTTTACAAGATGAGGCTGGGCTCAGTGGCTCACGCCTGTAATCCCAGCACTTTTGAGAGATAGAGGTGGGTGGATCACTTGAGGCCAGGAGTTTAAGACAGGCCTGGCCAACATGGCAAAACTCCGTCTCTACTAAAAATACAAAAATTAGCTGGGCGTGGTGGTGCGTGCCTGTGGTCCCAGCTACTCGGGAGGCTGAGGCAGGAGAATTGCTTGAACCCAGAGGTGGGGGTAGCAGTGAACCAAGATAGGACCACTGCACTCCAGCCTGGGAAAGAGAGTGAGACTCCATCTCAAAACAAACAAACAAACAAAAAACAAAAGATCAATCTCAAATCAACAGCCTAACTTTACAACTTAAGGAACTAGAAAAAGAACAAATTAAACCCAAAGTTAGCAGAAAGAAGGAAATATTAATAATAAAGATTAGAAAAGAGATAAACAAAGACAGTAGAAAAATAACACAGAAAATCAATGAAACCAAAAGTTGGTTCTTCAGAAAGATCAACAAAATTGACAAACTTTACCTAGGACTTAGGTGGACTTAGGAAAAAAGGGAAAACACTAATTACCAAAATCAGAAATGAAAGTGGTGAACACTACTACTGTTCTATAGAAGTAAAAAGACTGTACAGAGTATTATAAGCAACTGTACACCAGCAAATTAGATAAATTAAATGAAAACAGGAAATTAATCCAAGTGTCCCAGAAATGAATAGATAAATACAATGTGGTATATACAATGAAATATTATTCAGCTTTAAAAAGGAAGACAAATCTGATATATGCTACAATATGGATGAACCTTAAGAATATTATGCAAGGTGAAATAAGTCAATCAAAAACACACAAATATTGTATGATTCCAATTATATGAGGTCCTACAGCTAACTGTAAAACAGCCTCAGGCAGTTCCTTCAGGAGGTATACCAGAAAAAGGCATTGTATCATAGGAGATGACAGCTCCATGCATGTTACTGCCCCTGAAGACCTCCTATGGGACAAGAGGTGAAGGCAGAAGACAATAATATTGATGATTCTGACAGTGTGTAGGCCTAGGTTAATGTATGTGTGTCTTTGTTTTTGACAAAAAAATTTTAAAAGTACAAAAAAATAAAAATTTGTAAAAATAGTCAAAAGCTTATAAAGATATAAAGAAAATATTTTTATACAGTTGTACAATATGTGTTTTAAGCTAAATGCTATTTCAAAAGTCAAAAAAGTTTTTTTTTTAATTTACAAGTTTATAAAGTAAAAAAGTTACAGTGAGCTAAGGTTAATTTATTTATTACTGAAGAAAGAAAAGTTTTTGGGCCAGGTGTGGTGGCTCACCCTGTAATCCCAGCATTTTGGGAGGCCAAGGCAGGTGGATCACTTGAGGTCAGGAGTTTGAGACCAGTCTGCCAACATGGTGAAACCCCATCTCTACTAAACATACAAAAATTAGCCAGGCATGGTGGCGTGTGCCTGTAGTCCCAGCTACTCGGAAGGCTGAGGCAGGAGAATTGCTTGAACCCGGGAGGCAGAGGTTGCAGTGGGCCGAGATCACACCACTGCACTCCAGCCTGGGCAACAGAGCGAGGCTTTGTCTCAAAAAAAAAAAAAAAATTTTTAAAATAAATTTAGTGCAGCCTAAGTGTATAGTGTAATAAATAAACAGCCTACAGCAGTATACATTAGTTTCCTAGGCCTTTACATTCACATGGCACTCACTGACTCACCCAGAGCAACTTCCAGTCTCCTAAGCTCCATTCATGGCAAGTGCCCTACACAGTAATACCATTTTTCATCTTTTTCCGTCTGTCTCCCAAGCTGGAGTGCAGTGATGCAATCATAGCTTACTCTCAACTTTCAATTCCTGTACTCAAGTGATCCTCTCACCTCAGCCTCTTAAATAGCTAGGACTACAGGCACATGCCACCACATGTGGCTAATTATTGTTGTTGTTCCATTCCTTGCTATGTTCCCTAGGCTGGTCCTGAACTCCTGGCCTCAAGCAATCCTTCTGCCTTGCCCTCCCAGTGCTAGGATTACAGACATGAGCCACACTGCCCAGCCCATTTTTTAATCTTTCATACCATATTTTTGTTGTATCTTTCCTACATTTAGATATGTTTTGATATATAAATACCATCATGTTACAACTGCCTACAGTATTCAGTACAGTAACATGTTGTACAGGTTTGTAGCCTAGGAGCAATAGGCTATATCATATAGCTTAGGTGTGTAGTAGGCTATGGTTTGTGTAAGTGTACTCCATGATGTTCACACAATGACGAAATTGCCTAACAATGCACTTCTTAGAATGTATCCCCATCATTAAGCAATGCATGATTGTATACATACGTGTGTGTGTGTGCGTTTGTGTGTGTGTACTAAAATAGTAATGAAAGTTTTCTCTGGGTCATGGTATTATAGGCTTCCTTTACTTTCTTCTTTTGCTTTCCATAATTTCTGGTGTTTTAGTAAACATATAATGTTTGAAAAAAAAGTCCTTTTTAAAAAAAATGCACATTCATAAACATGTACACACACTTTTTTTACACTCATGTTGTTTTTCTAAAATTGGACTAAGAAATTATTATGACCAGCACTACCAAATGTTATCTCCCTACCCACTACAAATACCCAAGCAAAAGAGACTAACTAAAATGAACTAGTTCACACTTTCACCATTTAAAAACCTCTAAAAAGCCTATCTATATATTTTGTAGAAGGTTGGATTTTTTTATATTTCACAAAAGATAAAAGGAAATATTTAAATTATGTATTTTTTACCCTTTTAAGTTTATACATAACTCATTTTAAAATAAGGACATTCACGTGAAGTCCACAAGAAAAAGGAATAGCTTTTGTACCCTTGATGTGCATATCAACTAATTTAAATATTCTCAGTGGCATTTTTAGTTGTTAGTAAAAAGTTACTTGTCTACCAACTAATTTCCTGTTTTAAAGCAAAAGACAAATCTGGGATAACAACTACTCAAAATTCACATAATAAATATTTGGAAATCTATTCATTATAATGTATCATATATATATCAAGAGAGCACAGCAGAAGAAACCTGATAATCTCCATGTAAGATGAAAAGGCATTTGCTAAAATTCTGAATCAATGTCTCATAAAACTTTTAAATGATATTAATGGATGCTATAATAAAACAGACAGTAACAAGTATTGGTAAGTATGTGAAGAAATCAGAACTCTCATAGCGTTAGTGGAAA
Source organism: Homo sapiens (assembly GCF_000001405.40). Classification (NCBI taxonomy): domain Eukaryota; kingdom Metazoa; phylum Chordata; class Mammalia; order Primates; family Hominidae; genus Homo; species Homo sapiens. Next base: position 73,089,338 of record NC_000011.10, read on the forward strand.
AGTAAATGGTGCAGGTTCTGTGGAAAACAATCTGGGAATTCCCAAACTGGTTAAACACATCATTAGCATATGATCCAACAATTCTATTCCTAGGTGTATATCCATGAAAACTTAAAACACATGTCCACACAAAAACTGGTAAATGAATGTTCACAGCAGCATTATTCATAATATCCAAACAGTACAAACAACCCACATGTCCATCAACTGATGAATGTATAAACAAGATGTGGTATATTTATATAATGGAATGTTATTCAGCCATAAGAAAGAATGAAGTACTGATACATGCTACAATATGGATGAACCTCAATAACATTACGCTAAGTGAAAGAAAACGGATGCAAAAGGCCATATATTTTAGAATTTCATTTATACAAAGTGTCTAGAATAAGCAAGTCCAGAGAGACAAAAAGTAAATTAGTGGTTGCCAAGGCCTGGGAGATTGAGAAAAACTTTGCCATTAATCCAAAAGTACAGTATTTTTATTTAACTAGATAAGCATTTTCATACAGAAAAATGAACATGTAAAAATAGCCATAAAAATTCCGAGAAAGAGTAATATTTTTTTAAAAAGCCTACCCTTACCAGATGTTAAAAATTAATTTTAAAGTAACAGTAATTAAAATAGCTTGGTAATGGAACATAAGTAGACAGAGATAATAAAACAAAAGTTAGTAATCAGGAATATACCTAAATATATCTACAAATTTAGTAACTGAAAATTCTCAGGGAAAAAAGATGAATTATCAGTAAATTGTGTTGGGATAACTTGATAGGAAGATCTAATGTTAAGTAAACAAAAAATGTACAGAATAATGTAAACCATCTTTTCATATAAAAATGTTTACAAATATATATTTATGGTAATTACAATACTTCTTTTTTTTTTTTTTTTTTTTTTTTGAGACGGAGTCTCGCTCTGTCGCCCAGGCTGGAGTGCAGTGGCGGGATCTCGGCTCACTGCAAGCTCCACCTTCCGGGTTCACGCCATTCTCCTGCCTCAGCCTCCCAAGTAGCTGGGACTACAGACGCCCGCCACTACGCCCAGCTAATTTTTTGTATTTTTAGTAGAGACGGGGTTTCACCGTTTTAGCCGGGATGGTCTCGATCTGCTGACCTCGTGATCCGCCCGCCTCGGCCTCCCAAAGTGCTGGGATTACAGGCGTGAGCCACCGCGCGCGGCCTACAATACTTCTTAATTACAGCATTTCCTCACGTCAAAAACTGTCCTGTGCAAAAATGCCTACTCTGGTTCCCTTAGAAATCACTGTGACAGAACTCCCTAAAATATTACATGAGACTAGCCTAACAAGGGCTCCACATGGAGAAACTGGCAGTATTAGTAGAAGAAAGACCTTTTACTACATTCCTGTTTGTACTATTTGAATGTAAACTATGTGCATATATATAATGCATGTTTTTATTGAGATGAAATTCACATAATATACAATCAACTGTTTTAAAGTAAACAATTCAGTGACATTTAGTGCATTCACAAATGTTGTACAACCACCACCACCTCTAATTTCAAACTTTTTCATCACCCCAGAACACTCCAGACCCATTAAGTAATCACGCTTCATTCCCCTTTCTTCTCCTCCCCTGTCAACTACTAATCTAATTTTTTGTCTCTACAAATTTGCCTATTCTGGATATTTCATATGAAAAAAATTATATGTGACCTTTTGTGTCTGACTTCTTGCACTTAGCATACATTTGTAAGGTTTATCCAAGTTGTAGTATGTATCAATACTTCATTTGTTTTTATGGCTGAATAATGTTCCATTCTATGAGTATACCACAATTTGTTTATTCATTCATTTATTGATAGACATTTGGGTTTCCACATCCTGAGTATTATGGATAATGCTGCTATCCACATTCATGTATAAATCTGTATGTAAAGACACGTTTTAGACCAGGCATGGTGGCTCACGCCTGTAATCTCAGCACTTTGGGAGGCCAAGGCGGGCAGATCACTTGAGGTCAGGAGTTCGAGACCAGCCTGGCCAACATGGTGAAACCCCATCTCTACTAAAAATACAAACAACAAAAAAAATTAGCCAGGTGTGGTGGTGGGTGCCTGTAATCCCAGCTACATGGGAGGCTGAGGCAGGAGAATCACTTGAACCCGGGAGGCAGAGGTTGCAGTGAGCCGAGATCATGCCACTGCACTCCAGCCTGGGCCACAGAGTGAGACTCCATCTCAAAAAAAAGAAAAAAGAAAAGAAAGCAAATATCACTTCCAGACAGAATTATAGAATGTCAAACCACATTCACATGTTATGCCCCAGCTAAGTTTCTTAAAAGGACCAGTAGGCTCATGCTTTCATGTTCTAGCAAATGTGGTCTTTTCCACTTGGAATTTCCTCCCGTTATTTGGCCTAACTCTTCCTCATTCTTTAAAACCTAGCTGATGCTGGGCGTGGTGGCTCATGCCTGTAATCCCAGTACTTTGGGAGGCCGAGGCAGGTGGATGACTTGAGGTCAGAAGTTCGTGACTAGCCTGGCCAACATGGTGAAACCCCATCTCTACTAAAAATACAAAAAATTAGCTGGTAGCGTGCACCTGTAATCCCAGCTACTCAGGAGGCTGAGGCAGGAGAATTGTTTGTACCGGGGAGACAGAGGTTGCAGTGAGCTGAAATTGTGCCACTGCACTCCAGCCTGGGCGACAGAATGAGACTCACTCTCAAAAAAAAACAAAACCTAGCTGAAAGTATGATCTCATCTGAGAAGCCTTCCTGAATTCCTCTTGTGATTCAGATACACCTCCTCTGAGATCCTCCAGCATCTTCTTTTTTAGAGGTAGGGTCTTGCTCCATCACTAAGGCTGGAGTACATTGGTGCGATCATAGCTCACAGCAGTCTCTAACTCATGAGATGAAGTCATCCTCCCTCCTTAGCCTCCCAAGTAGCTGGGACTATAGGTGTACACCACCACACCCGGCTAATTTTTTAAGTTTTTGTTTTTTTTTTTGTAGAGATGGGGTCTTGCTATGTTGCTGAGGCTGATCTCAAACTCCTGGCTTCCAGTGATTCTTCCACCTCAGCCTCCCAAAGTGCTGGGATTACAGGCACAAGCCACCATACCTGGCCCGGCATCTTCTAACATAGCATCTGCTTTAAGTATTGTGACTGTCTATGAATTGACTATGGAGCTCCTTGAGAGCATTTAAGTATACTCTGTATCTTAGTATTTATATGTTTGGCACAGTGACTGAACATTGTAAAAAGTTCAAAAAATGTTTGCTGAATGAATGACTGAAACAATAGACAAAAACTACATAATCAGTTTTCAGACTCTTCATAAATTTGATTAATAGCTCAGTAGGTTAGCTCCTGAGACACACAGAACCAAGATCACAATCTACATCCACATGGACCAATCAAGTTTCTTGACTTTGGTCACATTATATCAGTTAAAACAAGCATTTTGTGTATATCAAATCAAGGAGGGCATCGGAGTATACAGTAAAGGATTAACCCTACCCAAAGACAGGTCTTACCTTTGTCTTTGGCTTCTGGGAGGTAATCTCTAAGCCCTTGGAATATCTTGCCTGACACAAGTGTTTCTGTCTACCTGGGGACCTTGTGCCACACCAAATAGTCTATGCTAACAATGTGATTTCATCAGGGGTGGGTGGGATGATGAGCCTTGGGTCACTCAGTATCATCTCAACCTCTGGAGAGGCTGGAGGCTAAGGCCAGCCGCATGAGTAGTAATCATGTCTAAGTGACTGAACCGCAATAAAAACTGCATACCAAGACTCAGGTAGGCTTTCCTAATTGGCAAGACTCTGTGCATACTGTCACACATCATTGCAGAAGAAGTGAACACTGTACAGTTCCACAGAGGACAATGGGAAGCTCTGACTGGAACTCTCTTAGACCCTGCCCTGTACACCTCTTCCCTTGGCTGATTTTAAACTCTACTCTTTAGCTATAATAAATCATAACCTTACTGAGTAAACTTTCAGTGAGCTCTGAGAGTCCTGGCAAATTATTGAATCTAAGGTGGTCTTGGGACCCACAAAATTGCAAGTCGTGTCAGAAGTAAAGGTGGTCTTGGAGACCTCCAACCTTGAAGTTGGTGTCAAAGTGAAGGAGGTATTAGGGATTCTCGAACTTACAGCTGGTGTCAGAATTGAGAGCTGTCTTAGAAGAGCTGTAATGCACCCATTTAAATTCATCACCAAGATAAGCAAAATCCCTAAGAATGTTCAAATTACCAATGGTGGTAGTGAGGATGGGGTATTGATGATTTCTTTTTTTTTTGAGACCGAGTTTCGCTCTTGTTGCCCAGGCTGGAGTGCAATGACGCGGTCTTGGCTCACCACAACCTCCGCCTCCCGGGTTCAAGCGATTCTCCTGCCTCAGCCTCCCAAGTAGCTGGGATTACAGGCATGCACCACCATGCCGAGCTAATTTTTTTTGTATTTTTAGTAGAGACAGGGTTCTTCCACGTTGGTCAGGCTGATCTCGAACTCCCGACCTCAGGTGATCTGCCCACCTCGGCCTCCCAAAGTGTTGGGATTACAGGCGTGAGCCACCACATCCAGCTGATGAATGTTAAGAATAAAGATAGGACTGGGTGTGGTGGCTCATGCCTGTAATCCCAATACTTTGGAAGGCCGAGTCAGGCGGACAACTTGAGGTCAGGAGTTCAAGCCCAGCCTGGCCAACATGGTAAAACCCCGTCTCTACTAAAAATACAAAACTTAGCCAGGTGTGGTGGCGCACATCTGTAATCCCAGCTACCCGGGAGGCTGAGGCAAGAGAATCACTTGAACCCGGGAGGCAGAGGTTACAATGAGCCAAGACCACGCCAATGCACTCCAGCCTGGGCTACAGAGCAAGACTCTTGTCTCCCTGCACCAAAAAAAAAGAATAAAGATAAACAAATCTACCAGAATGGTAAAAATTAGACTGAACTATAGCAATGAGGATAAAGGGCAATGGAACTCTAACATGCCATTGGTGGGAATGTAAAATGGTACAACCACTTGGGGAAAAGTCTGGTCTTACATAATTAAACTTACATTTATTTTGATATAACAATTCCAATACTAGTTATATACCAAGAAAAATGAAAACGTGTCCACAAAAACACTTTTACAAAAATATTTATACCATCTTTAGTCATAAATAGCCAAAAACAGTCCAGTTGTCCATCAATGGGATCATGGATAAACAGTAACATATTTATTCTTAAATGGAGTAAAGCTCAGTAACAAAAACAAATGAACAAGATGACCACTTCATTTTTGCTACGATACTTGACCCCTGTTATTTTATAAATGACACTGCTTAAATATACCTCATATTAGTATATAAAAATATTTATAGCATGGGCAGCAAACTTGTGTAAGGGAACTAGTGCTTTTATTATCAGCAAATTGATAATTGTTTAATAAAGAAATATCTTAATTTTGTTCTGGAATACAGTGGCTGTTTGTAAAGGTATTATTACAGTAAATACTGCAATAGCACTAAAATGATGACCTGAGAATACAAACAAAAATATTTTTTAACGAGGCAAGCGGAACGAACAACTGAAGCTATGTTGTAAGTCTGGCAGAAAGCAAATTATTTGGCTCCTAATAAAAAATATTAATTCTCTAACATCCATTGAATATCTTCTGGATTTCAGGAATTCTACTAAATATGCAATGAGAATATAAAGATGAATGAAACACAGACCCTGCTCTCAAGGGATTCATTTGAATACAGTATAAACAGATGATGCCAAGGCCCACAAATGCTATAGTCATAGAATGAAAATTAGAAGTGTTCTTATTTCTTATTAATTAGGTGACCTTGAGCGAGTTAACTTTCCTGACTGTGCTTCAGTTTCCTATCAATAAAATAAGAATAAAAAGAAAACCTACCTCATAGGTATTATGAGGATTAATTAAGTACATATTTATAAAGGACTTGGGATAAACTTGGCACACAGCAAATGTATTAAAGTATTTGCTAAATAAGTGACAATATCACATTCCACAGCTTATAAATATGAAATCTAATTCAGTTTTAACATTTTCAGTAAATGAATGTGCAAAACACTAACGAAAAATACATCTTAACTACTTCTCATCTTAAATAACAAAGTCAGACTCTCCCCTCTCCTCCAGTCAGAAATCACCCAAAAGAAACAAAGAGAGTAAGAAACATAACTGGAAATATGATCTCCAATAAAACTAGGAAACATATGTATGGACATATAAGGGAATGATATGCTATAAGGAGAGACAACTTGGAATAAGAGGAGAAAGGTAAGGCATAAGGCTCCAAAACTCAAAGCGGGAGTACCTTTGTACAAGCATACTTCCTGAGGTAGTAAACTTAAATTCTGCATTTGCAACAACAAAAGCAGGGAACATGGGCTGGCAGAGGAAGCTTTCCTGTTCATAGTTTGAAGAAGTAGAGGAGACAGAACTAAATAAGGAATCACACAAACAAGCCACGCTGGCAGAAACTGAGTTGCTGGTGTGGCAAAAAGATAGTGAGAGAGCCTACACTATGAACAGCCCTGCAGCAGCAATCTTCACTGACTGGCTGAGGATTAAAAAAAAAAAAAGTTATGCACAAAACCTGCTCACAAACAAAATTGCTGTAAATTTGAAAGACACAACCCTGAGCTACCAACATCTAATATCCTAAAGTGCTATAGAAAAAAACAAAAAACAAAACAAAACAAAAAAACCTTCTCATTCAAAAATAAACCACCATAAAGGAAGAAGGAACGAGGTATCTAAACAGACGTAAAATTTTTAAGAGAAGAAGAAACAGAACAGGAAAAACATGGTAGCAGAAGGACACCCATGAGCAAAAAAATGCTGTCATGAAAGAGATAATATGTAACCAAATATTTAAAATGAATTTTTAAACTTCTTGTATTTAAAAAAGAAAGCAGGCAGGGAACAGTGGCTCACGTCTGTAATCCCAGCACTTAGGGAGGCCAAGGCAGGTGGATCACTTGAGGTCAGGAGTTCGAGACCAGCCTGGCCAACATGTTGAAACCCTGCCTCTACAAAAAAAAAAAAAAAAAAAAAAAATTAGCCAGATGTGGTGGCGGGCGCCTGTAATTCCAGCTACCGGTAAGGCTGAGGCAGGAGAATCACCTGAACACAGGAGGCAGAGGTTGCAGTGAGCCGAGATTGTGCTGCTGCACTCCAGCCTGGGTGGCAGAGCAAAGGAAAGGAAAGGAAAGGAAAGGACAGGACAGGATGAAAGAAAGCATATACCACTTCCAGATAGAATTATAGAATGTCAAACACAAGAGAATAGCAATGGTAAAAAGGTGCATCCTTGTGTTCTTCCTGAACTTATAGGGAAAGTGTTCAGTCTTTCACCACTGAGTACGATGTTACTGTGAGCTTGTCATATGTGCCCTTTAACATGTTAAGGACGTTTCCATGTTTCCCCAGCCTAGACCGTGTCACTACACTCTGGCTTGGGGGACAGCATGAGACCTTGTCTCAAAACAAAAAAAAAAAAGGAAATTTCCTTCCATTCCTAGTTTTCTGAGTCTTTTTATCATGAAAGAGTGTTAAATTATGTGAAATGCTTTTTCTGCCTCTACTGAGATAATCATGTGGTTCTGTCCTTCCTCTTACTAATGTGATGTATTTCATTGATGGATTTTTTTTTTTTTTTTTTTTTTTTTTTTTGATGAGACAGGGTCTCACTCTGGTCATCCAAGCTGGAGTATAGTGGCACAATCTCAGCTCACTGCAGCCTCGACCTCCCAGGCTCAAGCAATCCTCCCACCTCAGCCTCCCAAATAGCTAGAACTACAGGTATGCACCACCAGGCCTGGCTGATTTTTGTATTTTTTCGTAGAGATGGGGTTTCACCATGCTGCCCAGGCTGGTCTTAAACTTCTGAGCTCAAGCTATCCACCTGCCTCAACCTCCCAAGTGGCTCCCTGGGATTGCAGGCGTGTAATCCCACTTGGTCGTGGTGGATAATCCTTTTAATGATTTGCTGTTGGATTCAGTTTCCTAGGTTTGTTTGTTTGGTTTATTTTATTTATTTATTTTTTTTTTTTGCATCTCTCTTCACAAGAAATAGTAGTCTATAGTTTTCTTCTGGTATCTGTTTGATTTTTGTATAAGGGTAAAGACGGCCTCAGAATATGTTAGAAACATTCCCTTTTCTTCTGTTTTTTTGGAATAGTTTTAGTAGGATTGGTGTTAATTCATCATTAACTGTTTGGTAGAATTCACTAGTGGAACCGTCTAGTCCTATTATTTCTTGTGAGGTGTTCTTTTTTTTTTTTTTTTTTCTAATTACTGATTCAATCCCTTCACTTGTTATTGAGAATTTCTATTTTTTTCTGTAATCAGTTTTAGTAATTTGTGTGTTTCTAAGATTTATCTATTTCACCTGAATTATCTAATTTTTGAAGAATTATTATTCATGTTATCATAATCCTTTTAGTTTCTGTAAGGTAGTAGTATCCCCACTGTATTTTCTGTTTGTACATATTTACTCTGTCTATCTATTTTAGAGACAGAGTCTTGCTATGTTATCCCAGTTGGGCTTAAACTCCTGGGCTCAAGCGATCCTCCTGCCTCGGCCTCCAACTGGCTAGGACTAGACTTGCATAGCCCATGGTGCCCAGCTCTTCTTCTAATCTAAGGTTTGCCAATAAGTTATCTTTTCAAAGTACCAACTTTAGTTTCATTGATTCTCTTCATCATTTTTCTATTCTATATCATTTTTCTCTGATCTAACCTTTATTATTTTTCCTTTTGGGTTTAGCATGCTCTTTTCCTAATTCTTAGGGTATAAAGCTAGGTTGTTAACTTGAAATCTTTCTTCTTTTTTAACACAGGCATTTACAACTGTTAAGTTTTCCCTGAATACTAGTTTCACAGCGTAAGTTTTGGTATTGTATATTTTTGTTCTCATTTGTCTCAAAGTATTTTCTAATCTCCCTAGTGACTTCTTTGATCTACTCGTTGTTTAAGAATATGTTTAATTTCTACATATTTGCATATTTTCTGTCCCCTTCTATTAATTGATTTCTAGCTTCATTCCTCTATGGGTAAAGAAAATACTTTATATGATTTTGATCTTTTAAAATTAACTGATAATTGCTTATAATCTAACATATGATCTATCCTGGAAAATGTTTTATGTGTACTTGAGAAAAATATACACTCTACTTCATTGGGTGGAGTGTTCTATATACACCTGTTGGGTCTAGTTTGTTTACAGTATGGTTAGTTGGAATAGAATTGATAGTCCAGGAAAAAAAAAACAAACATCTATGATCAGCTGATTTTCAACAAGGGTGCCAAGAGCACTAAACTGAGAAAGAATAGTCTCTTCAACAAATGGTGCCAAGACAAGATTTCTACATACAAAAAATGAAAGTGGATCCCTATCTCATTTCAAATATAAAATTTAAAATGGCTCAAAGACCTAAATGTAACAGCTAAAACTATAAAACTCTTAAAGGAAAACACAGGGGCAATTCTTCATGACCTTGGATTTTGCAATGCATTCCTAGATGGGAAACCAAAAGCACAAACAACGAAGAAAAAACAGGTAAAATGAACTTCATCAAAATTTAAATCCAGGTGCCAGTGGCTCATCCCTATAATCTCAACACTTTGGGAGACTGAAGCAGGAGGATCACCTGAGCTCAGGAGTTCAAAGCCAGCCTGGCCCACATAGTAAGACACCATCTCTACAAAATAAAAAAATTAATTAGTCGGAGGTAGTGGTACATGCCTATTGTCCCAGCTACTCAGGAGGCTGAGGTAGAAGAATCACCGAGCCCAGGCGTTCCAGGTTGCAGTAAGCTATGACTGTGCCACTGCACTCCAGCCTCAGCAATGGAGCAAGACCCTGCTTCCAAAAATAAACACACAATGAGGTACTACTTCCTACCCACTAGGATGGCTGTAAAACAACACAAAACAAAACAAAAACAGAAAATAATAAGCATTGGCCAGGATGTGAAGAAATTAGAACCCTCATGCATTGCTGGTGAGAACATAAAATTATGTACCTGCTACAGAAAACAGCTTGGCAGTTCCTCAAAAAGTTAAACACTGAATTACTACATGACACAATTCCACCCCAAGGTATATACTCGAGAGAAAACAAATGCTAAACAAAAATTGGCACACAAATGTTCATAACAGCATTACTCATAACAGTCAAGAAGTGGGAAAAAAACAAAACCAAATGTCCATCAACTGATGAATGGATAAATAAAATGTGGTATATACATACAACCGAGTATTATCCAGTCACAAATGCAGTAAAACACTGATACCGCCCAGGCACCCCTGAGCAGTCAGGCGTTAGGCTTAGCGGCGCTCACCACCCTGGTTCTTCTGCACCCTCGGTCTGGTTGGGGCTGTCAAGCCGGACCAAAAAGGCTGTTTCCCCGTGGTTTCCAGAGAGTGACTGCTCCAGCGGGGCTGTGGCTAGAAAGAGTGCGAAGGGAAGCCAGGAGAGGCGGCACCACCATTTTCTTCCCACCTCACCTTCCTTCACTGGCCTCTCGGTCACTCCGAGGGGACTTTCGGCACTTGCCTCTGCCCGTCCCTATCCCCCACTAATGAGGCCTTTCCCGAGCTCTAAGTTTCCCCAGAAGATGTGCCGTTTGTCATAGAAGCACTCACAGCATTTAAGTGCTAATCTTCAACCGCTGCCTTCCCTGACGCACCCCGGAAGGCGTGTTCTTGGCTTGACACTTCTCAGCCCTTCCGCTTCCTACAGTGGCTGTGACACCCCGCTAATCCTCACTGGAAACATGTGCTGCCCCCACCACTCTTCTCACTCCAGCTCTCTTTGTGAACACACCCTCTGTTTCAGAATCCCACCTCCTTGTCACCAAAATGTACCAAGGACCATTCCTCTTCGCGTCCCTTCCTCCCTTCTCAAGAAAACCCTTCTCCTATTAACAACAACAATTAACAGAGTGCCTTAAAAGGAAGGCACTGACCTAAGCGCTTTACATGCTTTTGTTGTTGTTGTTGTTGTTGTTGTTGTTGTTGTTGTTGTTGTTTTGAGATGGAGTTTCACTCTTGTTGCCCAGGCTGGAGTGCAATGGTGCAATCTCGGTTCACCGCAACCTCCACCTCCTGGGTTCAAGCGATTCTCCCGCCTCAGCCTCCCAAGTAGCTGGGATTACAGGCATGCGCCACCACGCCTGGCTAATTTTGTGTTTTTAGTAGAGATGGGGTTTCTCCATGTTGGTCAGGCTGGTCTGGAACTCTCGACCTCAGGTGATCCGCCCACCTTAGCCTCCCAAAGTGGTGGGATTACAGGTGTGAGCCACCGTGATCGGCCTACATACATTTTATCTAATCTTCCTATGACAGTCCTTAGGTAGGCAGAAATGAAAAAACTGAGGCACAGAAACGCAGCTTGGATGTGGTAATGTTGAAATTCGAATCTATTGGGTAGCTGACTCTAAATCTGGTGCTATTATCATTCGTTTCTCTTTCCCAAATACTGGGCATTCCTTTTTTTAGATGCTTCTACGTGGGATTTTTTTTTTTTTCCTTAATGCTGTTTAGAGGTCCTTCTTGAGAAATTTGGCTTCTGTCTGACAACCCTTTTCTCAGAGCTCTCCTCACACAGACCCTTGTTTTTTACCAAGTGTCTAAGCTCTGAGCTTAATATTTTGCATGCCCAAAATGTGCTTATGCTTCCTTTAAAAAGTACCTCTAAACCAGTACCCACTAACCAGTCCTCTTCCTCTACCTCAATATGATGCTCATTATCATTATCACTGTTCCCAGCAAACATCTGAGATAATTGGGGTTTCAAAGAACCCTGAGGTTTAGTTCCGACCTGAAGGAGAAACATGACATTTATTCATAAAAAGGCCACATAAAATAGCAGATAAATGCCATCTCAGTTGCACAGAAAATAGATTGCATAAGAGCAACTTTGGGCAAATCAGATAAGTGCTAGATTTGTTTATTCATCTGTAGAATGTTAAGGTTAGGCTACATCACTAAAACATTGTAAATCTAAGTTCAGAGAAAGGAGTGATAACTCTGTACTGAGGTGGGAACTACTGAGGGAGGTAAAGGCTGTACTCTTGTTGTTATTGTTGTTGTTGTTGTTGCTGTTTTAGAGACAGGGTCTCACTCTGTCACCTAGGCTGGAGTGCAGTGGTATGATCATGGCTCACTGCAGTCTCCATCTCCTGGGCTCAAGATCCTCCCACCTCAGCCTCCCGAGTAGCTGGGGCTACAGATGCACATACCATGCCCAGCTAATTTTTGTATTTTTTGTAGAGACAGGATCTTACTATGTTGCCCAGGGTAGTCTGGAACTCCTGACTTCAAACGATCCTCCCACTTTGGCCTCCCAAAGTGCTGGGATTATAGGTGTGAGCCACTGCACCCCCCGCCCCCGAAAAAAACACAACACAACAAAGCAAAACAAAAATAAAAACACTGATACCTATTCCAACATAGATGAACCTCAAAAGCACTATACTAAGTAGAAGAAGCCAGTCACCAAAGGCCAATGTATTAGCAGGGTTCTCCAGAAAAACAGAATATATTGTGTCTATGTATGAAAACAGATTTGCTTTCAAGGAATTGGCTCACAAGATTATGAAGGCTAGCAAGTCCAAAATCTGCAGGGTAGGCCAGAAGCTGCAGACCCAGATAAAATCCAATGCTACAATTGAAGTTTGAAGGCCATCAGGCTGAAGACCATATTTTTAAATATGAACAAATGATTTGAATTGGCACTTCATTAAAAACTTATCCAAATAATTGGTAACAGTGAAAAGATGCTTAACATCACTACTCATCAGGGAAATGCAAATTAAAATGAGATACCACTGAACACCCACTAGAATGACTAAAGTTAAGAAAATTAACAATTCCAAGTGCTGATAAGGATTTGGTACAACTAAAATGCTCATACACTGTTGGGAGGAATGCTAAATAATATAGATAGACTCTGGGGAAATTTTTGGCAGTTTCTTTTAAATTTAACACACATTTGTCAAAGAACCCTGCAATTACACTCCTAAGTACTTATCCAAGAGAAATAAAAACATATGTCCACAGAAGGACCCATACACAAATGTGTACAAAATGTGTACAGCAGCATTATTTATAATAGCCAAAAACTGAAAGCAATGAAACGAAACATCCATCAACTGATGAATGAATAAACAAATTGCAGTTGTACTCTGCCATGGTTTGAATGTCTCCTCTAAAACTCATGTTGAAGTTTAATTGCCATTATAACAGTATTACAAGCTGAGACTTTTAAGAGATGATTAGGCCATGAGGGCTCTGCCCTCATAGGGGTGAGATTAATGCCATTATAAAAGGGTGAGTTCAGCCCCCTTCTCTCTCTTTTTGCCCTTCTACCTTTCTGCCATGTGATAATGCATCAAGAGCTTCCTCACCAGATGCTGGTGCCTTGATTTTGGACTTCCCAGCCTCCAGAACTATAAGCCAATAAATTTCTGTTCTTTATAAATTATCCAGTCTCAGGTATTCTGTTATAGCAGCACAAAGTGGACTAAGACATACTCTTATTAAGAAAAACTATTTAGCAATAAAAAAGAAAACTAAATATTAATATACACAACATGGATGAATCTCAAAAACATTACACTAAAAAAGCAAATTACACTATTAAGTAGAAAATGTCAAACATAAGTGTATCTACTGTATGATTCCATTTATATGAAATTCTAGGAAACACAACTATAATCACAAAAAGTAAATCAGCAGTTATTTGAGGCTGAAGCATCAAAGGGCACAAGAAACCTTTTTAGGATGATGGAAATGTTCTATATATTGAGTGTAGTAGTGTTTAGTCAACTACATATAATTACTAAAATGTATCAAACTCTGTACACTTAAGGTAGATGGATTTTATTGTATGCAAATTGTCTCAGTAAGATTAAGAAAAAATAAAACATAATAAAAGTTGTAAATCCCAAATTACAAGTATTAATATTAACCTTTTAAGTACTACTTCAGAACCCGCAAAACACTGAAATAAAAAAAATTACTTCATTGTTTCTGAAAACTTAACCTGCTTCCATTTTTATAAGATTTAATTAGACTTAGTTTAGGTATCCTCTCTTTCAGAAATCATTACCTGAATCCCTAGGGTGAACCAAATATCTGCCGCCTTCTGTACTCCCAAAGCACATATCTGTCTTATTGCTAACTATATTACATTGAATATATCTACAATTGTGTCTGTCTTTCTCAAACAAGTCTGTAGCCCCAAGCATTAGCTTTATGCCAACACACAGTTCAATTAAACTAAAATGAACCTATGTAAAACCTACACATAAAATACAGATATTATTACTGCCAAGTGAAAAAATATGTACTTTCAAGAAAAAAGAAATGCAAAAAAAGAAAAGAGGATTATCAATCAGCATTCTTCATGTCATTTTAAATTTATGTAAATTTTTCTAGATATTCATTAAATCTAATTATAGCAAGCCACATTAACTTGATGTGGTATTCTTCTAAAAGTCCCATGAACCAAGCAAACTCTCCTCCAGAGAAGTTTTGTAACAGCCTTTAAATTTTTTAAAAGCACTCCTGTATCCTTTTCTTTTGCAATGTCTGAAACAAGGTGCCTAACGTCCTAATAAATATGCCTGGTGCAAATACTAATACAAAAATACAAATAAATGTTTTCTGTTATTAAACCCTTTAAACAGCTCCCAAGTACCTGAATGTCAGCCATCCCCATTGTGCACAGAACTCATCTTAAATGCAGGCTATCATATAGTTGCTGGCGGCTAACAGTGTAATTCCAGTCCAGCTCACTTGGCCTGCCACTTGGCATTAGTGAGAAACACTATGTACACTGCAACTGGTATAATTAAATAGCACATATAGTATCATTTACTTTGCTTCTCCTAAACAGAAAAGATGGTACAAACTTTACTTATTTATTTATGGAGACAGAGTCTCACTCTGTTGCCCAGGCTGGAGCGCAGTGGTGCGATCTCAGCTCACTGCAACCTCTGCCTCCCAGGTTCAAGCACTTCTCTTGCCTCAGCCTCCTCCAGAGTAGCTGGGATTACAGACGCACACCACCATGCCTGGCTAATTTTTGGATTTTCAGTAGAGATGGGGTTTCACCATGTTGGCCAGGGTGGTCTCAAACTCTTGACCTCAAGTGATCCAGCCTCCCAAAGTGTTGGGATTACAGGAGTGAGCCACCACACCTGGCCAAAACTTTACTTACTTATTTATTTTTGAGACAGACTCTCGCTCTGTCACCCAGGCTGGAGTGCAGTACCGCAATCTCATCTCACTGCAACCTTCACCTCCCGGGTTCAAGCCATTCTCCTGCCTCAGCCTCCCAAGTAGCTGGGACCACAGGCACGTGCCACCGCACCCGGCTAATTTTTGTATTTTTAGTAGAGACGGGGTTTCACCACCAGGCCAGGCTGGTCTCAAACTCCTGACCTCAGTGATCCGGCCTCCCAAAGTGCTGGGATTACAGGCCTGAGTCACCGTGCCTGGCCAACTTTACTAATTGAAAGCAAGAGAGCTATAGTACCAAATGGTGAAAATCTATATTTTACAATATAGTTTTACACGTTTAAATGAATGCATTTATTTCAAAGCAGCCTATCAACAGACCAAGCCACAGAGGCTGTCATGTAAAAACAATAATAATCCCTGCTAGTAAAGTACTTCAAGTTTTTCAAAGTCCTTTCCCATCTTATCCTACCTGACTTGACAATAACTCTATAAGGTAACCAGAATAGGTTATTCCCATTCCATAAATGAGGAAAGTACAAATCAGGGCAATTAAAAGACACACATAAAATTGCTACTAAGTAGCTCTGGTTAGGTGGGGGGAAGACTTAGGAAAAGAACCTAGTATCAATTTCATCTAAGACTCTTTCCACAATAATGTGCTATAAAAGGTGGTGATAAAAATGAAGCCAAAGATAAAGAGAATAAGGACAATGAAACAGGATAATAATCATTTACATTAGCTCCATGCTTTATCACACCTTCCCTTCCACTGTCTACAGTACACCCTCTATATAAGACACCACCATGCCCCAGAATCTACCAGGCTCTTTATTTGGTAACATTACTTTCCTAGGGAAGAACTCCAAAAGAAAGATAACTTGGGAAGTGAAAAGGGAATAGAGAAGAAATCATAAGATCTAAATCTTTCTAATCCTAACATTGGATAAGTATCTTTACTACTCTAAGCCTCAATTTTTACATCTACAAAATATACTTACTAGGCAGTTCTGAAGATTAAGTAAAATAAATGGATATAAAAGTCCTTTGAAAAACATAAAGAACTCAATAAATATTTATTATTAGGCTACAAATATGTGGTACAAAAACTCACAATAGGTGTCTTACATAATTGTGTTAATAAATTCAAATTATACTAATTATTTTTAAGTTTTACATAATCATACAAAAAATGAGATTTTAAAATATTTGAATAAATGGTCTATGGCAGAATTAACCATAATATTTGAATCTATTAAGTCTGAATGAAGAAAAAGCATTGTATTTCAGGTCTCTAATAAATCTGACAAAGTATCTGGTAAATAAGATACCTATAGAAGATACCTGGCAGAAGCAAGGCCTCTATCTTCACAGGTCTGTATACAAGCTAATATTTGCATCCAAGGATTTCCAGAATTATTCAGAATCATAAAATCAGAGAACTGGGATGAACTTTAGAAATTATGTGGAGAACATCTGTGGTTCACAGAAAAAGTAACTGAGGCCAAAAGTAAATAATTAATTTTACAAAATCTTGAAATTTCCCTTATTGGACCTCGGAGGAGTTGAGGGGAGAAACATAAAAGGAGGACTGCTTTGGCCAAGGAGTTCGAGACCAGCCTGGGAACATAGTGAGAACCCATCTCTACAAAAAGCACATGAATTAGCTGGACATGGTGACATAAACCTATATCCCCAGCATTCGGGAGGCTAAGGCAGGAGGATTGCTTGAGCCCATGAAGTCAAGGCTGCAGTGAGCTGTGATGGCACCACTACACTCCACCCTGGGTGACAGAATGAGACTCTGTCTCCAAAAAAAAAAAAAAAAGAAAAAGAAAAAAGAAACAAGAATTTCCTCCAGTTAGGCTCTTAAATCAGTATTCTGCTTGTTAAAGAACCCTGAAGTGCAAACTGTTACAGGAAGTGAAAGAATCCCTGCAACAGGTCTGAATACTACAACTTTAAGCAAAACAGTAGATAAGAATTTAACATTGTTGCAGGGTCATGAAACTTATTGATAAATAAATACAGTAACATAACATTTCCATAAAAAATGGACCACATATACAAGTGGGGTCCCCAAAAATTAGAATACCATATTTATGCTGTGTTTTTTCTACGTTCAGAATCACAAAAACTTACCATTGTATCACAATTGCTTAAAGTATTCAGTACAGTAACATGCTGGACAGGTTTGTAGCCTAGGAACAACAGACCAGAGCCTCCATGTGCAGTAGGCTACGCACTCTAAGTTTGTGTAAGTACATTCTATGATGTTGATACAAGGATGAAATTACCTAATGATGCATTTCTCAGAATATATCCCTGACATTAAGCAACACATACCTGTATTGTGGAAAATTAAAACTCTACCACCAGATATCCTGGACTCGACTTTTTAAAGCCCACTTCACATCTCTATTATTTTTTGTTAGAAAAGCTATATATATATATATATTTTTAAATGGAGTCTCACTCTGTCACCAGGCTGCAGTGCAGTGGCGCAATATCGGCTCACTGCAACCTCCGCCTCCTGGGTTTCTTGATTCTCAAGACTCTCCGCAATTCTTGAGCCTCAGCCTTCTGAGTAGCTGGGATTACAGGCATGCGCCACCATACCCAGCTAAGTTTTGTATTTTTAGTAGAGACAGGGTTTCACCATGTTGGCCAGGATAGTCGATCTGACCTTGTGATCTGCCCAGCTCGGCCTCCCAAAGTGCTGAGATTACAGGCATGAGCTACCACACCTGGCCATTTTTTTTATTTTTAATTTTTGTAGGTATACAGCAGGTGTATATATAGATGAGGACATGAGATATTTTGATACAGGCATGCAATGCGTAATAATCACATTAGAGTAAATGGGGTATCCATCGCCTCAAGCATTTACGCTTTGTGTTACAAACAATCCAATTGTCACCCTGTTGTGCTATCAAATACTACTTCTTATTCTAATTGTTTATACCCATTAACCATCCTCACTTCCCACAAACACACACCCTCACTACCCTTCCCAGCCTCCAGTAAACTTCCTTCTACTCTCGAGTTCCATGAGTTCAAATGTTTTCATTTTTAGCTCCTACAAATAAATGACAACGTGCAAATTTATCTTTTCTGTGTCTGGCTTATTACACTAACATAATGATCTCCAGTTCCATCCATGTTGTTGCAAAGGACAGAATCTCATTCTTTTTTATGGCTGAATAGTACTCCACTGTGTGTATGTACCATGTTTTCTTTATCCATTTATCTGCTGATGGACACTCAGGTTGCTTCCAAATCTTGGCTACTATGAACAGTACTGCAATCGACATGGGTATCTTTTGGATATATACCCAGCACTGTGATTGATGGATTGTATGGCAAGTGTATCTTTAGTTTTCTGAGTGAACTCCAAATTATTCTCCATAGTTGTTGTACTAATTTACATTCCCACCAACACTGTCTGAGGGTCCCCTTTTCTCCACATCCTTGCCGGTGTTTGTTACTGTCTGTCTTTTGGATAAACGCCATTTGAACTGGGGTAATATCTCATTGTAGTTTTGATATGCATTTCTCTGATGATCAATGATGTTGCACCTGTTCAAATGCCTGTTTGTCAATGACTTCTTTTGAAAAATGTCCACTCAGATCTTTTGCCCATTTCTTAATCAGATTATTAGATCTTTTCCTATGAAGTTGTTTAAGCTCATTACATATTCTAGTTACTAATCCCTGGTAAGATAAAGAGTTTGCAAACACTTTCTCCCATTCTGTGGGTTATCTCTTCACTTTGTTGATTGTTTCCTTTGCTGTACATAAGCTTTTTCACTTCATGTAATCCTATTTGTTCACTTTTGCTAGGTTGCCTGTGCTTGTGTAGTATTACTCAAGAAATCTTTGCCCAGTCCAATGCCATGAAGAGGTTACCTAATGTTTTCTTTTAGCAGTTTCATAGATTGAGATTTTAGATTTAAGTTTTTTTTTTTGTTTGTTTTTTGTTTTTGAGACGGAGTCTCGCTCTGTCGCCCAGGCCGGACTGCGGACTGCAGTGGCGCAATCTCGGCTCACTGCAAGCTCCGCTTCCCGGGTTCACGCCATTCTCCTGCCTCAGCCTCCCGAGTAGCTGGGACTACAGGCGCCCGCCACCGCGCCCGGCTAATTTTTTTTTGTATTTTTAGTAGAGACGGGGTTTCACCTTGTTAGCCAGGATGGTCTCGATCTCCTGACCTCATGATCCACCCGCTTCGGCCTCCCAAAGTGCTGGGATTACAGGCGTGAGCCACCGCGCCCAGCCTAGATTTAAGTTTTTAACACAATTTGATTTGGTTTTTATATATGGCAAGAGACATGGGTCTGGTTTCATTCTTCTGCATACGGATATTCAGTTTTTCCAGCACCATTTATTGAAGAGACTGTCCTTTCCTCAATGTATGTTCTTTGCACCTTTGTCGAAAATGAGTTCACTGTAGATGTATGGATTTGCTTTTGGGTTCTCTATTCTGTTCCATTGACCTGTGTGTCTGTTTTTATGCCAGTACCATGCTGTTTTGTAGTATAATTTGAAGTCAGGTAATGTGATTCCTCCAATTTTGTTATTTTTGCTCAGGATAGCTTTGGCTAGCTATTCTGGGTCTTTTGTGGTTCCATATATATTTTAGAATTGCTTTTTCTATTTCTGTGAAGAATGTCATTGGTATTTTGATAGGGATTGCATTGAATCTGTAGATTGCTATAGAAACTATGGACATTTTAACAATATTGATTCTCCCAATCCATGAACATGGAATATCTTTCCATTTGTTTGTGTCCTCTTCAATTTCTTTCATCAATGTTTTATAGTTTTCATTGCAGAGATCTTTCACTTCATCAGTTAATTCATAGGCATTTTATTTGTAGCTACTGTAAATGAGATTACTTTCTCAATTTCTTTTTCAGATTGTTCACTGTTGGCATACAGAAATCTTACTGATTTCTGTATGCTAATTTCATATCCTGCAAATTTACTGAATTTAATGGTTTTTTAGTGGGGTCTTTATGTTTCCCCAAATATAAGATCAAATCATCTGCAAACAAGCATAATTTGACTTTTTCCCTTTCCACTTTGGATGCTCTTTCTTTCTCTTGTCTGACTGCTCTTGCTAGGACTTCCAGTAATACACTGAGTAACAGTAGTGACAGTGGGCATCCTTGCCATGTTCCAGATCTTAGAGGAAAGGCTTTCAGTCTTCCCCATTCAGTGTGATACTAGCTGTGGGTCTGTCTTAAATGGCTTTTATTGTGTTGAGGTATGTTCCTTCTATACCCAGTTTATTGAGTTTTTATCATGAAGGAATATTAAATTTTATTAAATGCTTTTTGAGCATCAATTGAAATGATCATATGGTTTTTCATTCTTGATACGATGTATCATACTGACTGATTTGCATATGTTGAACCATCCTTGCATCCCTGGGATATATCTCATTTGATCATGATCAATTTTCCTTTAATGTATTATTGAGTTCAGTTTGCTAGTATTTTGTGGAGGATTTTTGCATCAGTATTCATCAGGAATACTGGTCTGTAGTTTTCTTCTTTTTTTTTTTGATGTGTCTTTGGTCTTTGGTATCAGGGTACTGCTGGCCTCACAGAATGAGTTTAGGAATATTCCCTCCTCCTCTATTTTTCAGAATAGTTTGACAGCAGTGGTATCAGTTCTTCTTTAAGTGTTTGGTGGAATTCTGCAGCAAAGCCATTAGGTCTTGGACTTGGCTTTGCTAGGCGATATTTTATTACGGCTTCAATCCTGTTATTTGTTATTGCTCTGTTCAGGTTTTGGATTTCTTCAAGGTTCAATCTTGATAAGTTGTATGTGTCTATGAATTATGCATTCCTTCTAGATTTTTCAATTTATTGGTATATAGTTGTTCATAGTACCCATGAATAATCTTTTTAATTTTTTCAGTATTAGCTGTAATGTCTCCTTTTTCATCTTTGATTTTGAGTCTTTTCTATTTTTTCCTAAGTCTATCTAATGTTTGTTGATTATCTTTTCACAAAACCAACTTTTCATTTTGTTGGTCTTTTGTATTGTTTTCTTCATTTCAATTTATTTCTGCTCCGATCTTTATTATTTCTTTTATTCTACTAATTGTGGGTTTGGTTTGCTCTTGCTTTGTCAGCTGCATAAGGTACATCATTAGGTTATCTAGCTGAAGATTTTTTTTTCTTGTTTGATGTAGGTACTTATAGCTATGAACTTCCCACTTCGTACTGCTGTCGTTGTATCTCATGGGTTGTTGGTATGTCATGTTTCCATTATCATTTGTTTTAATAAATTTTTCAATTTCCTCCTTAATTTCTTCATTAACCCACTAGTCATTGTGGAGCACATTGTTTAATTTCCATGTGGTTATATAGTTTCCAAAATTATTCTTGTTATTGATTTCTAGTTTTATTCCATTGTGATCAGAGAAGATACATGCTATTATTTCAGGGGTTTTTTTTAATGTTTTAAGACTTGCTTTGTCACCTGACATATGGTCTATGCTTGAGAATGATCCATGTGCTGAGGAAAGGAATGTGTATTCTGGAGCCACTGGATGAAATGTTCTGTAACTACCAGGTCCATTCGGTCTATAGTACAGATTAAGAGTGATGTTTCTTCGCTGATTTTCTGTTTGGAAGATCCTATCTCTCTTTTTAGCTCTAATATTTGCTTTACATATCTGGGTGCTCCAGTATTGGGTACATATATATTTACAACTGTTATATCTTCTTGCTAAATTGACCTCTTTATCATTATACAATGACCTTCTTTGTCTCTTCTAAAAGTTTTTGTCTGATATATGCATAGCTACTCCTGTTCTTTTTTGGCTTCCATTAGCATGGAATATCTTTCTCCATCCTTTTTTTTTTTTTCAGTCTATGTGTGTCTTTATAGGTGAAGTGTGTTTCCTGTAGGCAACAGGTCACTGGATCTTGTTTTTTTCAATCCAGTCAGCCACTCTATGTCTTTTGATTGAAGAGTTTAATCCATTTACATTCAATGTTGTTACTGATAAAGACTTACTCCTGTTATTTTATTTTTGGGTGTGTGGTCATCTCTTCCTTCTTTCCTTCCTTCCTGTCTTCCTTTTAGTGAAGGTGATTTTCTCTGGTGGGGTGTTTTAATTTCTTGCTTTTTATTTTTTGTGTATCTGTTATATGATTTTTGATTTGAGGTTACCACAAGGCTTGCAAATACTACCATAAAACCCAATTATTTTAAACTGATGACAACACTGATTGCATAAACAAACAAGCAAAAAGAAAACTAATAAAAACCTACACTTTTAACTTTGTCCCCCTATTTTTAACTTTTGGTTGTTACTATTTATATCATATTATACTGGATATGTCTTTAAAAGCTGTTGTAGTTAATATTTTTAATTTGTTCATCTTTTAGTCTTTCTACTTAAGAATAACTTATACATCACAATTACAGTGTTATAAAATTGTTTTTCTGTGTACTTACTATTACCAGTGAGTTTTGTACCTTTAGATAATTTCTTATTGCCCATTAATGTCCTTTTCTTTCTGATTAAAGAACTCCCTTTAGCATTTCTTATAGGACAGGTCTGGTGTTGATGAAATTCCCCAGCTTTTGTTTGTCTGGAAAAGCCTTTATTTTTCCTTAATGTTTGAAGGATATTTTCACCAGACATACCACTCTAGGGTAAAAGATTTCCCCTTTGGCACTTTAAACATGTCATGTCACTCTTTCCTGGTCTGTAAGGTTTCCACAGAAAAGTCTGCTGCTGGACATATTGGAGCTCCATTATGTGTTTTTGTTTCTTTTCTCTTGCTGCTTTTAGGATCTGTTCTTTATCCTTGACATTTGGGAGTTTCATTATTAAATGCCTTAAGGTAGTCTTCTTTGGGCTGAATCTGCTTGGTGTTCTATATGCTTCTTATACTTGAATACTGATAGCTTTCCCTAGGTTTGGGAAGTTCTCTGTTGTTATCCCCGTGAATAAACTTTCTACTCTGATCTCTCTCCCTGCCTCCTCTTTAAGGTCAATAACTCTTAGATTTGCCTTTTTGTTGTTGGTGGTGGTGTTGGTGTTGTTGAGACGGTGTCTCGCTCTGTCGCCCAGGCTGGAGTGCAGTGGCATGATCTCAGCTCACTACAACCTCTGCCTCCCAAGTTCAAGCAATTCTCCTGCCTCAGCCTCCTGAGTAGCTGGGGTTACAGGCATACACTATCATGCCTGGCTAACATTTATTTATTTACTTATTTAGTATTTTTAGTAGAGATGGGGTTTCACCATGTTAGCCAAGCTCGTCTTGAACTCCTGACCTCAAATAATCCACCCACCTCGGCCTCCCAAAATGCTGGGATTACAGGCATGAGCCACTGCCCTCGGCCAGATATGCCCTTTTGCAGCTACTTTCTAGATCTGGTAGGCGTGCTTCATTTTTATTCTTTTTTCTTCTGTCTTCTCTGTGCATTTCCAAAGAGTTTATCTTCAAGCTCACTAATTCTTTATTCTGCTTGATAAATTCTGCTGTTAAGAAATTATGATGCATTATTCAACTCCAGAATTTCTGCTTGATTTTTTGTAAGTATTTCAATCTCTTTGCTAAGCTTATCTGATAGAATTCTGAAGTCCTTCTCTGTGTTATCTCGAATTTCTTAGAGTTTCCTCAAAATAGCTATTTCGAATTATCTGTCTGAAAGGTCACATAGCTCTGTTTCTCCAGGACTGTTCCCTGGTACCTTAGTTTGGTTGATCATCATGCTTCCCAAGATGGTCTTTTTTTTTTTTTTTTTTTTTTTTTTTTTTTCTGAGACAAGGTCTCACTCTGTCACCTAGATTGGAGTGCAGTGATGTGATCTTGGCTCACTGCAACCTCTGCATCCTGGGCTTAAGTGATCCTCCCACCTCAGCCTCCTGAGTAGCTGGGACTACAAGCATGTGCCACCACGCCCAGCTAGTTTCTCTATTTTTAGTAGAAACGGGGTTTCGCCATGTTGCCAAGACTTGGCCTTGATGCTTGTGGATATTTGTCGGTGTCCAGGCATTGAAGAGTTTGGTATTTATTGTAGTCGTCATAGTCTGGGCTTGTTTGTACCCGTCCTTCTTGGGAAAGTTTTCCAGGCATTTGAAGAAACACCCATTTGTACCCATCCTTCTTGGGAAAGTTTGTCAGGTATCTGAAGAAACTTGGGTGTTGTAATCTAAGCCACATCTGCATTAGGGGGCACCCCAAGCCCAGTAATGCTATGTTTCTTGAAAACTTGTAGTGGTACTGCCTTAGTGGTCTTGGTTAAGATCCAGAAGAATTCTCTATATTACTAGGCAGAGATTCTTGTTCTCTTTCCTTACTTTCTCACAACACTTGGTCTCTTTGCTCAAGGGCCTAGGGCTCTACAATCAGCAGGTGATAAAGCAAGCTGGGCCTCTGTCCTTCCCTTTAGGGTGGCAATTTCCCCCATACCCCAGGCAGGTCCAGAGATGCCAGTAGCCAGGTACTGGAGTCAAAAACCTTTGAAATCTACTTGATGCTCTATTCTACTGCAGCTAAGCTGGCACTCAAACTATAAGACAAAAGTCCTTCCTATTCTTCCCTTCTCTTTCCACAAGCAGAAGAGCTTCTCCCCAAGGTCATCACCACCCCAGAACCACAGAGGGTACTGCAAGGCTACTGCCAATGTTCACTTCAGGCTCAAGTGCTCTTCAGTCATCTTGTGGTGAATTCTTCCAGACCTGGGACTAACCCTTCAGCGCAGTAGGCTCCCATCTGGCCCAGGGCAGGTCCAGAAACGCTGTCCAAGGGCCAAATCCTGGAATCAGAGGCCCCAAGAGCCTGCTTGGTGCTCTACCCAACTGTGGCCAAGCTGATACCTGAGGTGCAAAACTAAATCTCCTTCACTTTTCCCTCCCCTTTTCTCAAGCAGGAGTTTCTCACTGTAGCCACCATAGCTGGAAATATGCTGGGTCTCACCTGAAGCCAGCACATCACAGAAGCTCACCCAAGACCCACAGCGTACTAACTAGGTATTGCTGCTGGTTCCTCAGGGCCCAAGGGCACTTTAGTCAGCAGGTAAAGAATGCCACCAGGACTGGATCCTTCTCTTCAAGGCAGGAGTTTCCCTTCTGGCCCAGGGTGTGTCTACATATGTCATCCAGAAGCTAGGGCCTGATGACTCCGCCCAGTGCCCTATCCTCCAGTGGTTGAGCTGGTATCCAAGATGTAAGATAAAAGTCCTCTTTACTCTTACCTCTCCTCTTCTCAAGCGGAAGGAGGGGGTCTTTTTTGAAGCTACAAGCTGTGCGCCCAAAACTGAGGGAGGGGTGGCACAAGTACTCCCTCGGACGCCATGGCTGGTGTCTCACTAGGTCATGTGCCCCACCATGTTCACTGGCTCTGAGCCCAGCTCAGCACAAAGACTTGCCTAAGAATTGGAGTCCTAGTGTCTTAGACTGCCTTTCAAGTTTATGTAGGGCCTACAGCAATTTAGCCTGCAGTGGCAAGGCGTGCTGAAATTCAAGTTCCAACAACTGGGCTGGGAGATTCCCCTCTGACTATGGCTGGCCTAAATGCTCCCTCCATGAGTGGTCATTGGCTAAGTTTAGCCCAGTTTTGCTTTCCCCTTCGACAGAACAGCACTGAGTTCAATGGAGGGTCTCAATCACAGCACTCTCCCTCCCTGACATGCAGAATCTCCACACCATGCAGCCAGTGCCAGGGTATGGAAGAGGGGTGGCGTTGGCAATTCAAGACTCTCTTTCCTACCTTCTTCAGTGCCTCTTTTGTATTTTTAGCAGAGATGGGGTTTCACTGTGTTAGCTAGGATAGTCTCGTTCTCCTGACGTTTGGCCTCCCAAAGTGCTGTGAGCCACTGCGCCCGCCCTATCTCACTGTTTTTAAATGAAAACAATCTTATATATCTTTTCCAACTCTATACTTTCGTGTCGTTTTCATGTCTTCTGGCACTGGAGGGTGCATGCATCAAGGTTCTTCAGAGAAACAGAGTGAATAGGGAAGAGAGAAAACACGAGAGAGAAGGCAGATAGCTAGACACAGACAGACATAAAGATATTTATTTTAAGAAATTGGTTCATGCAATTGTAGGAGCTGACAAGTCCAAAATCTGTAGGGCAGGCCATCAGGCTGCCAAACTGAGATAGGAGTTGATGCTGCAGTCTTGAGGCAAAATTTCTTCTTCTTCCAGATACCTCAGTTTTGTTCCTAAGGCCTTTCAACTAATTGTGAGACATATCCACATTATTGAGGGTAGCCTCCTTTACTTAAAGTCAACTGACTGTAGATGTTACCAACATCCACAAAATGCCTTCATGGCAACATGTAGATTAACATTTGATTAAATAGCTGGGTACTACAGCATAAGCAAGTTGATACATAAAAGTAACCATCACAGGGGCACAACTGTGTTATCCACGAGTTTAATGAGAAGACTCTTAAAACATCACCACTAAATATGATGACTGCAGATTTTTAAATAAATATCCTTCTTTTCAGATTGAAGACTTTCCTTTCTATTTCTAGTTTGCTAATAAGAGTTTTTATTCTGATTGGATACTGAATCTTTACTGAGATGATCTTATGGTTCTACTCCTTCAATCTGTTAATGTTAGATTTTCTAATATTAAATTGTCCTTGAAGTTTTTATAAAAACCCAATTTCATTATTACTTAATTTTCTTATATACCACTAGATTCTATTTAGTAAATTTTTGTTGACGATATTTTTACTTATGCTCCTAAGGCAGACTGGCATATAATTTGATTGCTTGTACTGTCCTGTTAGATTGTGGCATCACAGTTATACAAGATTAATAAAATGAGCTGGGTGTTTTTCTCATTCTGTGAAACATTCCATAAAATAAGTATTATCTGACTTGATAAAACTTAATTGCAAAAATGTCTTTTCTGGGCCTAGTGCATTATCAAAAGTCATAATTCCTTCTTTCGTTTTTGTTTTTTTTTCTTTGAGATGGGGTCCCACTACTCTGCCACCCATGCTGGAGTGCAGTTGTGTGGTCATAACTCACTAAAGCCTTTAAATCCTGGGCACAAGCTCCCGCGTCAGCCTCCCAAGTAGCGGGGACTACAGGCATACACCACCATGCCCAGCTAATTGCTTTTTATTTTTATTAGGGACAGGATCTCGCCATGTTGCCCAGGCTAGTCTCGAACTCCTGGCCTCAAGCAATCTCCCAACTTGGCCTCTCAAAGTGCACGGATTACAGGCATGAGCCACAGCGCCTGGCCCATATCTCTTTTTTTAGTTATGAACTCAAATTGTTTCATGGTCAATTCAAGTTCCTCTTTATTCTTCGGTAAGAGTAATTATATTTTTTCATGTAAAACCTTTCCATTTTTCCCCAAAAAAAATCACTATTGTTATATCTCTGTTTCATTTTTAGCATATTGATTTTTATTACTCCTTTTTCCTGAGTTTTCTGTATCATATTGGTCTTTTCAAAAAACTAGCTGTTGGCCTATTGATTATACGTATTTTTGTTTTCCATTCATCTTTCTACTTATCAATAACAGAAGCTGGTATTTATAAGCTGGTACTTATAACAAATACATTCTACATGTACTAACATATTAACTTATTCAATCTTCACAAACCTATGAATTTGATTCTATTATTATCTTCATTTTGTAGATAAGGAAGCTAAGAAGACACAGACGGGTTAAGTAACCAAGTTTGGACAAGCAGGAAGTGGAGAACTAAGAATTCACAATCAGGCAATCTGGTTCAAGAGTCCACACTCTTAAATACTACATAATAATGCATGATTTATATTTTATTATTTTTCCATCCTATTAGGCTTTTAGGCATATTTTGGGTTTTTTCCTAATTTATTGAGATGAACCCACTACCTTTCAATCTGTCCTATTTTCTAACAAATTCATTAAGAGCTATAAATTTCCTTTTGAATCATACCCTACAAGTTTGTTTATATAGGGCATTCATTTTCATTGTGTGGTATTTAGTAATTCTCATTATAATTTCTACTTTAACTCAGTTAGTAGTGGTTTTGTTTGTTTTTAGTTTGCAAGCACAAGTAGGGGAATGGGAAGAAAGCTTCAACAGATTATTGCAAAATTTTTCAATCACATTGTAAAGAATTTTACAGCTAACATCCATATAGCCGCCATTAGATTCTGCCACAAAATTCTATTAGACTTGCTTTATCACATATCTATCCATTTATCCATCTCCCTAGCCATTAATTAATCCACCTTATTTTTGGTGTCTTTAAAGCAAATTGTAGACAATAATACTCTTCCCTCTAAATATTTCAGCATGCTTAGTGTTAACCAGCATCCAATATTTGCTTATCTTTTTATGTAAAACTACTTAAAATCATATGCACACATATTATATATACATTTTCTGAGTTTTGACAAATGTACATACCTATGAAACCCAAATCCCTATCAAGACATAGAATGGGGCCAGGCCCAGTGGCTCACACCTGTAATCCCAGCACTTTGGGAGGCCAAGGTGGGCAGATCACTGGAGGTCACGCATTCCCGAGACCAGCCTGGCCAACATGGTAACACCCCATCTCTACTAAAAATATAAAAATTAGTAGGGTATGGTGGCAGGTGCATATAATCCCAGCAACTTGGGAGGCTGAGGCAGGAAAATTGCTTGGACTCAGCAGGCAGAGACTGCGGTGAGCCGAGACTGTGCCACTGCACTCCAGCCTGGGTGACAGAGCAAGACTCCATCTCAAAAAAACAAAAACAAAAACAAAGGACACAGAATGGCACTATCATCCCAAAAAGTTTCCTCATGCCCCATCTTAGTCAATTCCTACCCTTAAACACCAGAGGAAACCACTGTACTGACTTCTCCACCACCACAAATTAGTTCTGCCTGTTTTAGAACTTTTCAGTATATAATTCTGGAGTATAGTATACAGTATATATTCTTGTATCTGAATTCTTTCACTAAGAATGTTTCTGAGATTCACCCACATTGATGTGTGTATCCATAATTCACTCATTTTTATTGCTGAATGGTATATTTGGAGGTTTTTCTTTTTGGTGTAAGGAAGAGGATGTTTATCTCTTCATTACTGATTTCTATTTTCATTGCATGTGATCAGAGAATATGATGATACTATAATGATGATGGCAAACACTAACTGAGCCCTTACCACGTGTAATGCATTGTTCTGAATGCCAGCCCTCACAACTCTGAGAGACCACTATTACCATTTCTGTTTTACAGATGAGAAAATTGAAGCACATAAGTAACTTACCCAAGGTCATACAACTAGGGGAAAACCACATTTGGTTCCTGAGCCCTCTCTTAGACACATACTACACAACATGTATGATATCAATTCCACAGAATTATTTGAGACTCTTTTTATGGGCTAATAAATAAATAATTAATTTTTGTTTGAAAAGAATGCATATTCTCTAAAGGCCAGGCGCGGTGACTCACGTCTGTAATCCTACCACTTTGGGAGGCCAAGGCAGATGGATAGCTCAAGCTTGGGAGTTCGGGGCTATCCTGGGCAACATGATGAGATCCTGTCTCTACATAAAATACAAAAATTAGCCAGGCATAGTGGCACATGCCTGTAGTCCCAGCTACTCGGGAGACTGAAGAGGGAAGATTGCTTTGAGTCTGGGAGGCAGAGGTTGTAGTGAGCCAAGATCATGCCATTGCATTCCAGCCTGCACAACAGAGCGAGACTCTGCCTCAAAAAAAAAAAAAAGAATGCATATTCTCTAATATGGGATATAGAATTCTGTATTATGTAACTAGTGTATTAATCATTAAATTCAAATCTATATACTTTAAAATTTTTATGTGCTTAATATATCCACTTCAGAGAGGTGTGTTAAAATCTCCTACTATGATGACAGATTTGTTTTTTAATACATATGGGGTCTCACTCTGTCACCTAAACTGGAAGGCAGTGGCACAATTATAGCTCACTATAACCTCAACCTCCTGGGTGCAGCCTCCCAAGTAGCTGGGACTACAGGCACATGCCACCATACCTGGCTAATTTTTTTTATTTTTTTGTAGAGATGGGATTTCACTGTGTTGCCCAGGTTGGTCTCACTCCTGGCTTCAAGTGATCCTCCCACCTTGGCCTCCCAAAGTGCTGGGATTACAGGTGTAAACTAGCATACCTGGCCTAGACAGCCATTTAAAGAGTATACAATATTTGACCCATCAATTCTACTTCTAGAAATTTATCCTTATTTATCCTAAAAATTAGTACCATAAATATACAAGGATGTAAATAAGAACACTGTATTAGTCTGCTTTCATGCTGCTGATAAAGACATACCTAAGACTGGGCAATTTACAAAAGAAAGAAGTTTAATTGGACTTACAGTTCCACATGGCTGGGGAAGCCTCACAATCATGGCGAGGAGGAGCAAGTCCCCTCTTACATGGATGGCAGAAGGCAAAGAGGGAATGAGGAAGATGCAAAAGCAGAAACCCCTGATAAAACCATCAGATCTCATGAGACTTATTCACTACCACCAAGAACAGCACGGTGGAAACCACCCCCATGATTCAATTATCTCCCACCAGCTCCCTCCCACAACACGTGGGAATTATGGGAATTCAGGATGAGATTTGGGTGGGGACACAGACCCAGGCCACATCTGACACTTGTTTACATCCTTGTATATTTATTGAACTATGGAAGATTACATATTATAATGTAGCATATGGTCTTTATGTAAACAAAGGAAAATAAAACTTGACTTTTAAGAACAATGTACATTTTAAAAGTCTATTAAGTATTAATTGGCCAACAATGTCTCATTTGGTAGCAAACATTTCTTCAGTAAGTGTATACCAGGCTCAGAAACATATGAAGATAGGCCAGGAGCAGTGGCTCACACCCGTAATCCTGGCACTTTGGGAAACCAAGGCAGGTGGATCACCTGAGGTCAGGGGTTCGAGACCAGCCTGACCAACATGGTGAAACCCCGTCTCTACTAAAAATACAAAATTAGCCGGGCGTGGTGGTGCATGCCTATAATCCCAGCTACTCAGGAGGCTGAGGCTGGAGAATCATTTCATCTTGGAAGGCGGAGGCTGCAGTGAGCTGAGATCATGCCACTGCACTCCAGCCTGGGCAACAACAGCAAAATTGTGTCTAAAAAAATAATAATAATAAAACAAAAATTAAAAAAAGAAACATATGAAGATAAAAGACAGTCTTGCTCCGAAAAAGCTCACAGTCTGGAGGTGAAGATATACCAAAAAAAAAAAAAAAATAGATGATTAACATATAATGTGATGAATGCTCTAACAGCACTGGATGTTATGGGAACACACAGGCAGAGTCAAAAACATAGGCTCCCCACGAAATCTAATCTGGCACCCCTCAAGTCAATATTTTTGTTATTGTTCAACGTTTGTTTAGACAAGAGGCAGAGAGCTACTAGTTGCAGAGCTTACACCTCTTCTCTTTCTCAGCAATTTAGCTCTGTCTCCAAACTTGCATATCCTATAAAAATGTATTCCTAATTTACTCAACTTCCTTAAAAAGCAATTAAGCATACCCTTTGGGGTCTCACTCTCTCTCTTATACACATACACATACACACACACACACACACGCATGCACGCACACACACACCTCCCAAGAAGATTATTTGCTTCTGCTTATTCCTCTCATACTTATCCCAGAAGGAGCTCTGGTAAATGCAATTTTATCCCCATCTCATATTTCAAATACTGTTTTGTTACACCCTAGTAAACCAGATAGTCCATTATTCCCACTCTACACAGATGAAGGACACTTAAAAAGGAAAAAGAGAAGGGAGGATACCAGAAAAGGCCTCATAAAGCATTATAAATATATAACTTTAAAAGAATAAAAAATTAAAAGTTGTGATCTTAGACAAATTAGTAAATCCTTCTGTGCTTAAGTTCCCTCACCTATACAAATAATGATATCTGCCTCTTGGGTTGCTAAGATTTAAATGAAATAATAGATGTTTAACATTTTATAAACAGAAAATCAACCTGTAAAGCTTAAGACAATAAAGTCTTAACAAAGAATCAGTAATTGTTAAGGGCCAAAAAAAAAAAAAGTCTACATCCTTAGATATTGTAAGGTAAGGTAAGTAAACAATAAAAATGCCACTGTAAACAATAGCTATAATTTATAACAGTGGTCCACAAACTTTAATATATATGAGAATCACCTAAAAGTGATTATTAAAACATGGATTGCTGGGCTCCACTCTCAGAGTTCCTGATGCAGGAGATTAGGGATAAGCCTACAAAACTGCATTTTTAACAAGTTCCAGATGGTGTTGATACCACTGGTCTAGGAAATACACTTGGAAAACCACACAGTTATAATTATGATAGTACTTAACCTGAAAAGTACTTAGGATATAATGTTTCATTAAAAAATTGAACACAAAATGCTATCTACAATATGACTGCAACTATGTAAAAACACACATAATCAATATAGACAAACATAAAGCAAAACCAAGTAAGAAACAGTTATCTGTTTAGGATAGTGGGGTTTTCTCCTTTAGGTTTTCTTTAATACCAGAGTTTTTTGTTGTTGTTGCTAACTTAAAAGGCAAAAAAAAAAAATGTAGCTCAAAGCCAAATCAATAAGAAAGTGATTCAAATTTTATGTTTTCATCAAAGAAAAATAATGACGCTGATAATAACTGACTCCAACCTCTTACAAGTACAAAAACTTCCCCGTATTAGAGACTCAGACTACCAGAAGAAACATCAAGACATAGACTCTGCTGCAGCTGAATGCACCCTGATAGCCCCAGAGAAAACCACCCCACCAGGAAAGCAGGTATACAGGCATCCCCTCAGTGGCAGACTGCACTATCCTGCACAAAGGTAACACCACTTAACCATCTTCTTTCTTGATCTGCTCTTCAGAACACAGGAATGGCTACTTGTAAGAAATGGCCTGAAGTAGAGATGCATGGCTAAGGAATAGAGACTTAAATTTCCTTTGTTAAATCAAATAGGCAAAAGTAGAAAACTAGTGTTAATGAGGGAAAAAGAAGGGGACAGTTTATTAAGAGAATTAATACAGTCCAATGAAGGCATGGCAAGATTTAGGATATATATTACTCAGATGCCTTGGAGATGGTACTTATTAGACACTTAGAAAAAAAGTCTCTATTGGACTCTGTGAAATTCATAAAGAATGAATTTGCCATCCCAAAGTGGATTATATTTTTCAAAAGAGCACAAACAATAGCTTTATAGTGTGGCTGTTCTACTACATTTACAAAGAATCTACAAGATATGCAGATTAAGTAAATGTCATTTAGTCTCATTGCTGAATGTTTTCATACTCTACAACGCAGTTACATTTAGAGTACACATAGTTTATCTTAATCATTGAACATTTATACAACTGTAAGGAACCTCATCCTTCCTTGTCCCATCAAAAAAAACCACAAAATAATTAATTTTAAAAGATACATAGGTGAAGGATAAATCTGTAATTAATTAACATGAACTATATATACATTAAAGAAGGGAGAAAAACACTTTATAAACAAGCCAAACCGCCACTCTCTTTATCTATCATCTATTGGGGTACACAATAAAATAAATGTGTTAAATCACCAATTATTTCACTGACATTTTTGACCTATGACAAATTCAATGTTGACTATCCAATTGATAATTTTATACATCTTGGAATTCCACCTCTCCTGCAGTATCTCCTAGCCAAGCCAGTATTTCCTGGAATCCCTGAGGTCAGGAAAAGTATCTGAAATGCATATCAAACAATGCATATTAAACGGTGGTAACTCCTGGAAAAGTAGCGCTCATCCTTAATTACAAATGAGAATCATATGCTATGGCTTTTTATATATGCGCAGGCCTCTCCCAAAATCTACCAACGCAGAATCTTAGGAATAGGGCCTAGGCATCTGTAATGTAAAGTGCACAGGTGACTCTTGCTTTTATAATGCGTTCTTGGCATCTATATTTGAATAAGCTATGTTTAATTCTGGGAATTCAAAATATTTCAAAGACAATGTCATCACACTATAATGGCAATATTCAGGAATTTGAATAAACTATACGATCTTCTTAATTGCATAACCATCCCCCTCCACCACTTCAAAACATCACAGAGGCTGGAGAGTATATCACCTCTCAGACTGATCAAATGCAGTCTAAACAGAGCTGCCTTTTCTCTAGTTACAGGTGCTGGCCAACTGACTCTTACTTAAAAGGGAATCTTTAAACTTCTTTGCCTTTCAGCCCTTGATCCACTATAAATCAAAACAAGGTGGTCAAACTGAGTTACCTGAAAAGAGATAATCTTATCATAAAATTAAAGTTTAAATTTGTCATGAACAGGCCTTAATATTGTATAAGGTGTAAGAAAGGGATCCAGTTTCAGCTTTCTGCATATGGCAACCCAAATGTCCATCAATGATAGACTGGATTAAGAAAATGTGGCACATACACACCATGGAATACTATGCAGCCATAAAAAAGGATGCGTTCACGTCCTTTGTAGGGACATGGATGAAGCTGGAAACCATCACTCTGAGCAAACTATTGCAAGGACAGAAAACCAAACACCGCATGTTCTCACTCATGGATGGGAATTGAACAATGAGAACACCTGGACACAGGATGGGGAACATCACACACCAGGGCCTATTGTGGGATGGGGGGACGGGGAAGGGATAACATTAGGAGACATACCTAATGTAAATGACGAGTTAATGGGTGCAGCACACTAATATGGCACATGTATACATATATAACAAACCTGCACATTGTGCACATGTACCCTAGAACTTAAAGTATAATAATAATAATTTTAAAAAAAGAAGAGAGAGAATGGGGCAGAAAAAAAATATTTGAAGAAATAATGGGCCAGGCGCAGTGGCTCACACCTGTAATCCCAGCACTTTGGGAGGCCAAGGTAGGTGGATCACCAGAGGTCAGGAGTTCGAGACCAGCCTGGCCAACATGGTGAAACCCCGCCTCTACTGAAAATACAAAAATTAGCTGGGCATGATGGCGTGTGCCTCTAATCCCAGCTACTCAGGAGGCTGAGGCAGGAGAATCACTTGAACCAAGGGGGCGGAGGTTGCAGTGAGCTGAGATTACGCCACTGCACTCCAGCCTGGGCAACAGAGTGAGACTCTGTCTCAAAAAAAAAAAAAGGAAACAATGGCCAGAAGTTTCCCAGGTTTCATGAAAAGCATCAACCATTGAATGATGAACCCCAAACAAGATAATTACAGACACTATACTAGTCACATTACACTCAAACTGTAGGAAACCAAAGATAAAGAGAAAAAAGCTATTAGAGCAAGGGAAAGCACATTCCATAGATGTGAACAAGTCTATAAGTAAGAGCTAACTTCTCATCAGAAATAATGAAAGCCAGAAGACACTGGAGTGACCAACTCAGAATTCTATATCCAGCAAAAATATCTTCCCAAAGTGAGGGTGAAATAAAGACATTTTCAGACATATGAAAGCTAAGAGAAGTGTCAAAAGCTGCAGAATTGCACCAGAAATGCTGAAGGAAGTTCCTTAAGCTGAAAGAAAATGATAACAGATGGAAACTCAAACCTGTATGTTGGTTTCAGGAAGGAAAGAAGAGTCAGGATTAGTAAATATAAGACTTTTTTCCTTCTCTTAATCTTTTTAAAAGATACCTGTTTAAAGAAAACTAACATTATATTACGAGGTTTATAAGCAGCACAAAGTCTGGGATGGAATAACTGTAATTAGACCATTGTAAGGTCGTATGTGGAATGGTACAATATTAACTCTAAGTAGACAGTGATAAATTAAGAATGCATGGTGTAGATCGAGTGTGGTGGCTCATGCCTATAATCCCAGCACTTTGGGAGGCCAAAGAAGGGGGACTGCTTGAGCTCCACAGTTCAATGATGCCTGGGAGACATAGTAAGACCCTGTCTCTACTAAGAATTTAAAAAATTAGCCAGGCATAGTGGCACACATCTGTAGTCTGAGCTACTCAGGAGGCTGAGGCAAGAGGACTGTTTGAGCTCAAGGGGTTAAGGCTGCAGTGAGCCATGACCGCACCACTATAACCTAGCCCAGACAACAGAGACCCTGTCTCAAGACAAAAAAAAACACAATGTCATATCTTAGAATGACCACTTTAAAAACAGAGGAATAGCTAACAAATGCAAAAAGAAAAAGAAAAAAGAAAGAAAGAAAATGGAATACTAACAATTTCAATTGATTCAATGTAACTAAGAAAAACTATTATATAAAACACTTCTTTTAGTAAAACAGAGCAAACCATTCTTCCATGGAGAGAGCTGGCTAATGCAAAACTACATTTCACAACAGAAACAATGTTTTAATTGATGGCTATGATATAAAACCTTTGGATAAAGGCAGCTAAAATGAAATTTGACATTAGGCAAGACTCTATCTAATATGTTTGCTTGTTTCAAGACAAAAGAATTCCACGGCCAGGTGCGGTGGCTCACACCTGTAATCCCAGCACTTTGGGAGGCCGAGGTGGGCGGATCACAAGGTCAGAAGTTCGAGACCAGGCTGGCCAACATGGTGAAATCCCATCTCTACTAAAAATACAAAAATTAGCCAGGCATAGTCATGGGTACCAGTAATCCCAGCTACTTGGGAGGCTGAGGCAGGAGAATCGCTTGAACCTGGGAGGCAGAGGTTGCAGTGAGCTGAGATCACGCCACTGCACTCCAGCCTGGGCAACAGGGCAAGATTCCATCTTAAAAAAAAAAAAAAAAAAAAAAAAAAAAAAATTCCACAATACAGAAAGAAAGGAATACAGTAGTACATAAAGCTTGTTTTCCCAACTTTGTGCTACAACCAACTGGAAACCAATCACTTTATGAAGAAAAGTTTGTAAATCAAGTATTCTTAATACTTGTACATATTAGAAATAAATTTTAAAGTCTATTAATAATGAAAATAGCTTCACTAAAAACTAATTAAAAGCCAAAAATGGCATTTTAGCATCAACTAATACGAACTTTTATAATATCTGTTAAATATCTGTTATGCTTAACAGACATGCAATAAAATGTTTACCAATATTACTGAATCATTAAATTTTAGTTTTGAGCATAATATTCACATAGTTTAAAATTCAAAATACACAAAAAAGAACATACAATAAAAAGCTTAGACTGGGTGCAGTGGCTCACGTCTGTAATCCCAGCACTTTGGGAGGCCAAGGCAGGTGGATCACTTGAGGTCAGAAGTCCAAGACCAGCCTGACCAACATGGCAAAACCCTATCTTTATGAAAAATAAAAAAATTTGCCGAGCATCGTGTTGCACACCTGTAATCCTAGCTACTCAGGAGGCCAAGGCACAAGAATTGCTGGAACACGGGAGGCAGAGGTTGCAGTGAGCCGAGATTGCACCACTGTGCTCCAGCCTGGGATGGAATAAGACTCTGTCTCAAAAGCAAACAACAA
Source organism: Homo sapiens (assembly GCF_000001405.40). Lineage (NCBI taxonomy): Eukaryota > Metazoa > Chordata > Mammalia > Primates > Hominidae > Homo > Homo sapiens. The sequence goes on from NC_000011.10 coordinate 73,127,051, forward strand.
AAAGAGTCTCTGTCCCTTGCTCCCATCCTCCAATCACCAGTAAGAGGAAAAACAATTATCACTAAAATACAATCAGGAGACATATATAATATATACTCCAACTTGTTTCTGTGGAACCACAGACATGGTAACACTTTTCATAACACCAGAAATAACATTTTCTTATTAAATTGGGATTATTTCCAAGCTCACAAAACAGAAAACATCTGGATGACAAAGGATTCCCACATGAATGCCAAAAAGATCAAATGGAATGTTAAAACAAAGCACGATCAAGGAATATTGAAAGGACCTAACAAAATGAAATTAACAAAAATACCAGCTAAGGTTCCATAAATTACTCCCGATCAACACTGACAGAACATCTGCAGCAGTGGGACAAAGGACAGGGTTACAAGTTTCTGTGCCTAGATCCCTAATTAGTTACTGAAAAGCCAAGAACACGAGCCAGACTTACAAAACTAACCCCTGCTTATGCATCAGATCACCCCTGAAGACTGATACCAACAACATAGAATGGCATCTGTGGGGCTCAAATGAACATCTGGAGAATTTACAAAGAAAACCATCAACTTACAGGCCTCCTCAGATAAACAGCTTCAGACTTGATACTCTCAAGAGTAAATTGCCAATCATCAATTATTAAGGGGCAAATTATTCAGCTAAGGGTGATTAAAACTCTTTATATGGCCTTCCCTCCTTTAAATTTAGGCACTTCACTAATGCCTTCACCTGAGAAGTAAAAAGAAGTTCACAGCTGGGTGCAGTGGCTCAAGCTGTAATCCCAACACTTTGGGTTGGGGGGCGGGGGTGGGAATCACCTGAGGTCAAGGTCAAGAGTTTGAGACCAGCCTGGCCAACATAGTGAAGCACCGTCTCTACTAAAAATACAAAAAATTAGCCAGGCGTTGTGAGATCACACCACTGTACTCCAGCCTGGGCAACAGAATAAGACCATCTCAAAAAAAAAAAAAAAAAAGGTTCACTGAGAACACAATTGCCTGCGGGCCCTTTGACCACCATTTCTCCAAATTATCAGAAGACTGAAGTGGTAAGATTGGGAGGAGAATCCTAAGAGGCCAAAATACAAAAACCTACTCCTAACCTGACATACTTAATTCAAAAGGAATTGGGAAGAGGGAATACAAATAATTTCTATGGAGTCTCTAATTACCAGTCAGCTTGGGACAACTGGAGTTCCAGTGATAGCCCTCATAATCTAACTCCAATGCATTTTTTAATACTTTTATGGGAACCTCTAGGAGTAAACTGGAAATGGGTCCCTGCAGCAAATCAGGCAAAACAATAATGTGGCAAAAGCTACATTACTGCCACCACTACCTTTTTTGTTTGTTGGCAAGGACCTACCTCCAAGAAGATCACATTTCCAGCCTCCTCTGCAGCTAGGCATGTTCAAGCATATGACGCAAACACAGATAATGAAATATAAGGGAAAGTCTGTTGAGTTAATTTCTGGTAAAAAATTTCTTCCCTGGTGGAACAAAAGAAAAAAGGAAGGAAACAGAGATGGGGGAAGGAGGGAGAAAGGTAGGAAAAATTTGCATAAGGAGAAATTGTCCTGCTCTCCTCTTCTTCCACCTGAAGTTGTTATATGAAAATATAGTACTTGGAGTTGCAGAAACTATCCAGCAATCACGAGGAGAATCATTACCAACATACAGAAAGATGGAAGGTACCTAGGACTACTAACCGTGGTGAAAGATTCTGTAGCATCACTGGAGCAGTTTATCTTTGAGATTAATTTCACGTTTCAACCCACAGGTTACTCTTTAAAGAATAAGTCAGGCTATAATTTCTTTTTATTTTTATTTTCTTTTTGAGACAGAGTCTCGCTCTGTTGCCCAGGCTGGAGTGTAGTGGTGTGATCTCAGCTCACTGCAACCTCCATCTCCCGGGTTCAAGCGATTCTCCTGCCTTAGCCTCCCCAGTAGCTGGGACTACAGGCATGTGCCACCGTGCCTGGCTAATTTTTTGTATTTTTAGTAGAGACGAGATTTCACCATGTTAGCCAGGATGGTCTCGATCTCCTGACTTCTTGATCTGCCCACCTCGGCCTCCCAAAGTGCTGGGATTACAGGCATGAGCCACCGCGCCTGGCCAGAGACTCTAATTTCTAAATTGATGTTCTCAATTACAAAACAAATTACAGCTGGGCGCCATAATTTGTGAACTAGAATTGATACCCAGGTTGCATGTCTCTAAACCAGGGGTCCCCAACCCCCAGGCCACGGACCACTAACGGTCTGTGGCCTGTTAGGAACTGGGACACACAACAGGAGGTGAGTGGCGGGCAAGCAGGCCAAGCTTCGTCCATACTTACAGCCGCCCCCGCATTGCTCACATTGCCACCTGAGCTCCGCCTCCTGTCAGATCAGCAGCAGCATTAGATTCTCATGGCACGAACCCTATTGTGAACTGCACATGCAAGGGATCTAGGTTGCATGCTCCTCATGAGAATCTAATGCCTGATGATCTGTCACTGTCTCCCACCAACCCCAGATGGGACCGTCCAGTTGCAGAAAAACAAGCTCAGCCTCCCACTGATTCTACAGTATACTGGGTTGCATAATTGTTTTCATTATATATTACAATGTAACAATAATAGGAATAAAGTGCACAATAAATGTAATGCACTTGAATCATCCCAAAACCATCCCCCTGACCCCACCCGCAGTCCATGGGAAAACTGTCTTCCAGGAAACTGGTCCCTGGTGCCAAAAAGGGTTGGGGACCACTGCTGTAAACTAGCACTTGTTCCGATATATCACACCTATGCTACCACACAGATTACCTTCATAATCTTTTTTTTTTTTTTTTTTTTGAGACAGAGTCTCGCTCTGTCGCCCAGGCTGGAGTGCAGTGGTGTGATCTCAGCTCACTCACTGCAAGCTCTGCCTCCCGGGTTCACGTCATTCTCCTGCCTTAGCCCCCACCGAGTAGCTGGGACTCCAGGCACCCGCCACCACGCCCAGCTAATTTTTTTTAGTAGAGACGGGGTTTCACCATGTTAGCCAGGATGGTCTCAATCTCCTGATCTCGTGATCCGCCCGCCTTGGCCTCCCAAAGTGCTGGGATTACAGGTGTGAGCCACCGCGCCTGGCCCATAATCTCTTATATTTATATACCTGGGTGTGGCTAAAAAGACCAGGGGAAGGTAAAGTATACATAAAAATTATTCAATACTTTTTTCTTAGAGATAGGGTCTTGCTAAGTTGCCCAGGCTGGAGTGTAGTGGCTACTCACAAGTACTATCATAGCTCACTGTGGGCTCAAGCAGATCCTCTTGCCTTAGCAAGGACTACAGGCACGTGCTATGGTGCCAGACTAACACTTCTATTCTTAACCCTAGAGATAAGTAACTTTCATTATTAGTCCTTAGTTTAATACCATCAAGTTCAGGAGAGTATCCTCTATTCATGTCTATGAATCATAAACTATCTTCACCTGCCTTGGGCTGCAATGGCTGTCCCATTCAGAAAAGAATCTTTAAATTTTAGGAGCAGGTAAAGATTTCTGAATAATGGCTTAGGAGCTAATAAACCAAGAGTCACCAATAGGAAGAGGTATTACCAAAACCCTAATTCTTTCAATTTCAAGTACACAGTGGTCTGTGACAAAAAAAGTTTAATTAAACAGACCCTCTCAAACTATATTTCCTTCTCTGCCTAGTTAGCATCTCCTTTTTCTCCCCAACATAACTGACCATAATATGGAAGTATATATTTACATTTAAATTTTATTTAGTCATTCGAAGTTGCATGTTACCTTTTATTAATTATAAAATCAGGTAATCTTTTTTTCCCTCTCTTAAAGAAATGTTATTTAAGTGTAGCCCTACTTGATCTTTTTTTCTTGCAGCTCTCAGTTTTTCAAAAATTCTCCCTCTCAAGATTTACAACATTTTAAGTTCTAATTTGAAAGAATACTAATTGAGAAGCAACTATGATTGTTGAATGAATTTTTAAATACCTGAGTCCAGTACCTGATCTGCTACTTCCAGTTTTCATCACATCTAAAACATCACTGAGGGCTGGGCATGGTGGTTCACGCCTGTAATCCCAGCACTTTGGGAGCTTGAGGCAGGCAGATCACTTGAGACCAGGAGTTGGAGACCAGCCCTAACCAAATAACGAAATCCCATCTCTATAAAAACTACAAAAATTAGGCCGGGCGCAGTGGTTCACGCCTGTAATCCCAGCACTGTGGGAGGCCGAGGCAGGTGGATCACAAGGTCAGGAGATCGAGACCATCCTGGCTAACACGGTGAAACCCCCTCTCTACTAAAAGTACAAAAAAAAAAAAAAAAAATTAGCCAGGCATGGTGGCGGGCACCTGTAGTCCCACCTACTCAGGAGGCTGAGGCAGGAGAATGGCGTGAAACCAGAAGGCGGACCTTGCAGTGAGCCAAGATAGCGCCACTGCACTCCAGCCTGGGTGACAGAGTGAGACTTCGTCTCAAAAAAAATAAAAATTACTACAAAAATTATCTGGGCATGGTGGCATACAGCTGTAATCCCAGCTACTCGGGAGGCTGAGGCACAAGGATCGCTTGAGTCTGGAAGGCAGAGGTTGCAGTAAGCCAAGATCGCACCACTGCACTCCGGTCTAGGCAACAAACCAAGACTATGTCTCAAAAAAAAAAAAAAATTAAAAAATTTAAAAAATAAGAACACCATTAACTGCAAGACACATTATTTTATATTCTGCTAAGAAAAAAATGCTGCCAATTAACACAATACCGTTACTTAGAATTTTCATTTATACTTATTAAAAGAGTTCTTTTAAACTTATTTAGTCAGAGTTTAGCATATGCATAATAAAAAAAGATAAATGAAATAAACTGGTGCATAAATGGGTCACATTCAGAGTCGAACTCTTCTCATTTTTTTGAATCAGTCACTGACATCCATATATTTCCACAAATTACCATCCTCCATGCTATCAAAAGCCCAGGTGATCCAACATTTGTATTCCAACCATTGTCTCTGGGATTTTCTTACAAGATTGCTGATACCCATCCCGCAAGTTCTATGCATGAAGAGGCAATGACAACTGCATCACAGCCTAAAAGAGCCATAAGATGCATCTTGATTTCAGAAATGTAAGAATGTAAAACAATGTGCTTCTTATAATTCATGAAACACGATAACTTCCTTTTGTACCTTGAATAAGACAACATTCTTCCTGGACTTCAATTTTCCACTAATAACAGTAGCTACCAATGCTAAATACCTACCATTCTTGGCATTTCACCTGTCTCATTTTACTTTCACAGAAAAGCAAAAAGGTCAATATTAATCTTGTTTCACACATACAAAATACTGAAGCTCAGAAAAGCTAAGCCACTTGTCCAAGATTACCCAGCTAATAAGCAGCAGAGCTGGGTTTCAATCTACGGCCTACCTTCAAAGCTCTTGTTTCCATTACCAGTGGTTCTCAAAATTAAGTGCACATAAAAAACTCAGGTGAAGACAGGCACTGTGACTCATGCCTGTAATCCCAGCACTTTGGCAGGCTGAGTCAGGTGGATTGCTTGAGCCCAGGAGTTTGAGACCAGCCTGGACAACATGGCAAAACCCCATCTCTACAAAAAAATACAAAAATTAGCTGGGCATGGTGGTGTGCAACTGTAGTCCTAGCTACTCCGGAGGCTGGGGTGAGAGGATTGCTTGATCCCAGAAGGTGGAGATTGCAGTGAGCCATGACCATGCCCCCTGCACTCCAGTCTGGGTGACAGAATGAAACGGTAACAGAAAAAAAAAAAAAAAAAACCTCAGGTGATTCTTCCATAGAATGGGAAAAAAATACTGCATATATTTGCAAATCATATATGTTATAAAGAACTCTTAAAATTCAATAAAAATGATTTTTTAAATGGGCAAAGTACTTGAATAGACATTTCTTCAAAGAAGATATACAAATGGCCAATAAGCACATGAAAAAATGCTCACCATCATAAGTTGTTAGAAAAATGCACGTCAAAGCCACTTACAATATCACTTCACATCCACTAGAATGCCTATAATCAAAAAGACAGACAATAACATGCACTGGCCATGACGTGGAGAAATAGGACCCATCATGTATTATTGCTGGTGGGAATATAAAATGGAGCAGCTATTTTGGAAAACAGTTTGAAAGTTCCTCAAAAAGTTAAACATAGAGTTACCATATGACCCAGACATTCCATTTTTAGGTATATATCCAAAAGAAAAACATATATCCATACAAAAACTTATACATGAAATGTTCATAGCAGCATTATTAATAATAGTAAAAAGTAGAAACAACCCATATCTCTGTCAACTGATGAAGGGATTAATAAAATGTGGCATATCCATACAATGGGGTATTATTTGGCAATAAAAAGGAATGAAGTAATGATACTACAACCTGATGAATCTTGAAAACATTACACCAGGCTGGGCGCAGTGGCTCATGCCTGTAATCCCAGCACTTTGGCAGGCCAAGGCAGGTGGATCACTTGAGGTCAGGAGATGGCCAAACCCCATCTCTACTAAACATCACTGAGGCTTTGAGATGGCAAAACCCCATCTCTACTAAAAATTGAAAAATTAGCTGGGTACGGTGGCGGGCACCTATAATCCCAGCTACTCAGGAGGCTGAGGCAGAATTGCATGAACCCAGGAGGCGGAGGTTACAACGAGCCGGCATCGCGCCACTGCACTCCAGTATGGGTGACACAGAGAAACTCCGTCTCAAAAAAAAAAAAAAAAAAAAAAAGTAACCATTATGCCAAAAGAAACCAGTCGCAAGATTCCACTTCTATAGAGACAGAAAGTAGATAAGTGGTTGCTTAAGGCTGGAGAGGGTTATGGGGAGCGACTGCTAATGGGTACCAAGTTTCTTTTAGGGGTAACTAAAACATTTTAAATTGGCGTGACGATTGTACAATCCTATAAAAAAAAAGTTGAATGGTACACTTTAAATGGGATACGTAATCATATATGATATACAGTCACATCATGTAACTTACATGATATGTACATTGTATATAAATAAAGCCTTAAAAAAAAAAACTCTAGACCAGATTAGATTACCTCTAAGATCTCTTTCTAGATACAACAGTCTCTGAGACACTGAAAAAAAGTCTCAGCACCATGCACAGTGGCTCATGCCTGTAACCCCAACACTTTGGGAGGTCAAGGTGGGAGGATCACTTGAGCCCAGGAGTTCGAGACCAGCTGGGGCAACATAGTGAAACCCTCTCTCTACAAAAAATACAAAATTAGCCAGGCATGGTGGTGCATGCCTGTGGTCCCAGCTACTCAGGAGGCTGAGGTAGAAGGATCACTTAAGTCTGAGAGGTTGAGGCTGCAGTGAGCCATGATCACACCACTGTGCTCCAGCTTGGGTGACAGGGCGAGACCCTGTCTCAAAAAAAAAAAGTCTCAGAACATCCATAAACAGACCTTGGAATCCAATCTCCCATGACTCCTGGGAATCTACAGTTCAGAGAAAGTAACATACAGTACAGTAATTCCTCACTTGAGGTCTCTAGACCACCAGGTGTCTGCAAAGGCAGGACAGGTGCTTCTTGAGCCAGTTTCAATTCTTCAGAACATCTATAAGAAATCACATATTCAGCCTTCTCTGGGATAAAGTTTTTTAAGTGTCTTTGACTTTGGTGAAACTCACGTTAACGGTTTGAAAATAGTGATTTGGAGCTGATCGACAGCTCAATGTATCAAAAAATAAGAAAACAAATTATTCCCTGATAATATACTGTTTTCTGGGGGGGAGTTTGTTTTTTGGTTTTTGGTTTTTTTTGAGACAGAGTCTAGCTCTGTCACTCAGGCTGGAGTGCTGTGGCACTATCTCAGCTCACTGCAACCTCCACCTCCCAGGTTCAAGTGATTCTCCTGCCTCAGCCTCCCAAGTAGCTAGAGTAGCTAGGATTATAGGTGTGCGCCACCATGCACACCTAATTTTTGTATTTTTAGTAGAGACAGGGTTTCACCATGTTGGCCAGGCTGGTCTCGAACTCCTGACCTCAAGTGATCCACCCGCCTTGGCCTCCCAAAGTGCTGGGATCACAGGCATAAGCCACCGCACCCAGCCTCCTGATAATATATTATACTTTTTGATAGGCAAAATATTTTTTACAACTGGACTCATGATGAGTTCCTTGGTTAAAAGCTTGGGAAACACAGATACAGGGGAGAGTACAGTAGTATGGAAATCAGGACAAATAGCTTAGAGTCTTCAACAATATAATTCACTTCATTTCACTGTGCCTCAGTTCCCACTTTCATCTATAAAATGAACAAACATGATAATATCCACCTGACTAAAATTCAATAATTTTTCCATATTATAGACCTCCTTAAACTGTCCTCTAAGAAGGTAGTTCTTTAAATTCTGGGTCACTGCAAAAAATTTTTCTTAACTAACTCTACTCAACATAGCACAGGATAAACAATCCTAAGAAGAAAAGTACACAGACTCTAGTATGTAGAAACTTATTGTAAGTGGTCTTAAAAAGCAAAGAGAAAAAAATATAATAATAAACTAAAAAGAAAGTAGACTCTACTTGTCTACTGCTGATAGCAAAAGTCAACAGGAAACACATCAGTATAAAACCTCCACAAAGCATGGAATGTCCCTGATTAACAACAAATTAGTTGTCTTTTCATCTCAAACTTCACTCCCAAATACTAGCTTCCAAATGCCATTCGCAGAACAAATGAACTGAAAAAGGGGAGGAGAACAAAGGAGAAAAACTGTATCATAATTGGTCTCCTCCCCTCGAAATTCCAAAAGATAAGAACTGGGGATTAAGGGGTGCGTTGCAGCAGTAGTGGCTCATTTCTGTAATCCCAGCACTTTGGGAGGCTGAGTGGGAGAATCACTTGAGCCCAGGAGTTCAAGACGAGCCTGGGCAACAAACAAACCCTGTCTCTACAAAATCTTTAAAATAAGCCAGGCATGGTGGCACGTGCCTATAGTCCTAGGTACTTGGGAGGCTGAGGCAGAAGGATCACCTGAACCCAGGAGGACAAGGACACAGTGAGCTAAGATCACACCACTGCATTCCAGCCTGGGCAACAGAGCAAGACTCTTGTCTCTTAAGAAAAAAAAAAAAAGAAAGAAAAAAGAAGGGACGTAATGGGGAAGAACTAGACAAAATTTAGCATAAAATTCTATTTACAGTCTAATGTGCTGTAGATTTTTTTTTAACTTTTTTCAATGATATAAAAACTTTTGACATTTTCTCAAGCTGGGCACAGTGGCCTGACGGTAGGACTGCTTGAACCCAAAGTTCAAGACCAGCCTGAGTAACATGGTAAGACCCCATGTCTACAAAAAACACAAAAATTAGCCGCGCACCTGGAGTCTCAGCTACCATGGAGGATGAGATGGGAGGATCGCTTGAGCCCGAGAGGAGAGGTTGCAGTAAGCAGAGATCACACCACTGCATTCCAGCCTGGGCAACAGAGTGAGACTGCCTCAAATTTAATAATAATAAAAAAAATTATCTACTACTAATTTCTTTAAGAACACAAAGCTATTTGTACTTTTCTAAGTGAATTCATACTAACTTAAATTGAGCATAAAGTTGGCAGGGGGCACTGGTGAGAAGGAGCACTAGTCTCAAAAGAGGAAAAGCAAGTAAGATCCTTTACAACTTAATTCATATAAAAACCCAAGTTCGGGCCAGGCGCAGTGGCTCATGCCTGTAATCCTAGCACTTTGGGAGGCCGAGGCGGGTGGATCACTTGAGGTCAGGAGTTCAAAAGCAGCCTGGCCAACATGGTGAAACCCAGTCTCTACTAACAATACAAAAAAATTAGCCGGGCGTGGTGGCAGGTGTGGTGGCAGCTACTAGGGAGGCTGAGGCAGGTGAACTGCTTGTACCCAGGAGGCGGAGGTTGCAGTAAGCTGAGATTGCACCACTGCACTCCAGCCTAGCCAACAGAGCGAGACTTTGTCTCAAAAACAAACAAAAAAACATCCAAGTTCAGAGATTTCCAGTGAATTTTTAAAAAATCATTCCACTTACTAGGGCAGACAAGAGAAGCCAGATCACCTCCTTCCTCAGGCAACTGAAGTTATCATGAATACCAAGAGGAGGCAAGTTTCAACTTTTTCAATATTGTCTTTGAAAAAAAAAAGCAAATCAGAAACCTAAACTCTTGTTTTAGTAGGTAATACGGTATCCTATTTACAACTCTATGGGAATGAAAGGATTCATTCCATTAAGTTAATATAGATAGAAGAACACACTAACTCCTTTAAAAAAAACCTGTTAATCCTTGGAGCACCAACAATCTCTGTCTTTACATATTATATACTCTACAACAAACAAGATAGTGTAATTAAAGTGATCACGTGAACCAAAGTATATAACACAAGCTCAACAGAGGCCCCTATAGCTCCCCTACAGAGTGTATACAGTATCTCACCCAAGAAAAAATAAGATACATTTAAATATAGCCAGTTACATTCGACAACAAGGGTATAAAGATACAAAAATGAATAATAGCCCATAACTTCAAAGACTTCATCTGAGGGAGGATGCCAGAACCATGTGCAAAATCAAAATCCTTTGAGATCACAGAGAACAAAGAACTTGCAGTTATTGGTAATCAAGAATTTGTCAGGTGAAAAAGTGGGAGGAAGGGTACCAACAGGCAAAGACAACAGCATACACAGGGGCATGAATGTAGAGTGCACAGTTAGACAACCTGACGTCCCGAGTGACCAGAGCAGGGGGAAGAAAGAGGAAGGATGCATGGGCATGAAACGGTAGTAACTAAGCCAGGAAAGGAAGCTTGCAGCTGGGTTGCAGAGAACCATATATACTATGACAAAGTGTTTGACCTTTATCCAGAAGGCCACAGAGGAGTGATCTATAATAATGTTTTTAGAAAGCTAACTGGTGGTAATGTGGAAGACATATTTAAAAGAAGAGATGGGAGATGGAAGATATAAGGACACTACTGCAATAATTAGGATACTAGTATATTGCAAGCAAAATGTGATGGATCAGCAATAATACAAACTAAGCAACAGCAACAGGAGCAACAGACTATATCAACTTAGCTTAGATGTGTGCCACATCTCATATGTATTGTCATTTGATCAATACAACCTTGGGCAACAGAGGCCATTATTGCCCCATTTTACAAATAAGAAAAATTAAGTTTATAAAGATTAATTCATTTTCTACAAGTCAGCACAGATATCAGGACACAAACTCAGGACTGTCTGACTGCAGTGTCCATATTCTTGACCATAAGCTCCTGCACCAAGCTACAGACAACAGGGGAAAAATGGAGACAAAACGCAATCAAGAAGTCTTTAGAAGACACAACCAACAGAAATTATTACAACTACTGACCACCCATACCCCACACGGGATCTTCACTTACACACTAATTCTGCCTTCCTGAACTGCTTCTGAAAATGTATTACTTTCTTCATCTAGATATTTCTTAGTTTGCTTAATAAGTTAAAAAAACCTTACATTTTTAACCATGTCAAGAGTTTCAGATATCTTGCACAGGAATTTTTTTTTTTTTTTTTTTTTTGAGACAGGGTCTCACTCTGTTGCCCAGGCTGGAGAGCAGTGGTGCCATCTCGGCTCACTGCAACCTCCGCCTACTAGGTTCAAGCAATTCTCTGCCTCAGCCTCCTGAGTAGCTAGGACTACAGGCGCACGCCACCATGCCTGGTTAATTTTTGTATTTTTAGTAGAGACAGGGTTTTATCATGTTGGCCAGGCTGGTCTCGAACTCCTGACCTCAGGTGATCTGCCTGCCTCAGCCTGCCAAAGTGCTGGGATTACAGGTGTCAGTGACTGCGCACGGCCTCGCATAGGAATTTTTAAGTCTAAATATTTTCTTATGGCTATGATAAGGGAAGGAAGACAAATACAGAATTAAAATTGTAATTTTCAGTCAGAAAACAACAATCTTGATATATCCAGGTTGGATGAGAATAGATTTATATGCCTTAGTCATAAACCCTGAAGACAGGTATACAGCAGAAATGCTTATAGTGCCTAAATATAGGAGAGGAAAAAAGGAAATTCTTGAAACTAAAATCTTTGGGCTATAAACAGCAATCCAAACACATAATTTTATCATTAACACCAGAGTTAATATTTTTCATGAAACCAACACGAAGTTAGTGTACCACCAGAAAACTAGGTAACTGATGAGGCTTACAGACCCAATTCCAATTTGATAAATGTATTATACAAGGGAAATAAGAATTGCAGCCACTCTTGCTTCACCATGCAAATCATCTTCCATTCTTGACGAAAATCTTTGTTGAACTGTCAGTCTGTATTACAAGATTGTTAAATAAGTGGTATTTCTTTCATTAAAATAAGTCATCCATCCCTCTAGTAAGAAAGATACTGATTTTCACAATATTAGCAAGATGTCTTAGCTATTCAAAGTTAACTTGATTATGAATATGAGTAACCTCAATAATAAAATAAAATATGATAAACACACTTCTCACTAAATTTGGCACTCAAAAACAAAGTTGTATTTGTCATGTTCTAACCCAGTGAGAGCATATAACCATCTGGGGTTGACTGGCTCACCCCCAGATATTAACCATTAACCACAAGTGTTGGTTTAAAAATCTAACTGTGTAAAACCGTTAAGGTCAATAAAATGATTGTTACAATTCCGTGGAAAGATTATTTAAACAAGAATCTTTAATTATTATAATTTGACTAGTAAGACTTTTAAGGTCCTTGTTTTTTCTGAATACTATGTGTGCATTATAGGTCCCCCACTGAAGGAAAAAGTTTGTATTGTGTTAGTTCCAGTTCTAATTTCCAGCTGAGTCAAAGTTCTAACAGCCTTAAAGCAGGAAATCCAAAAGGAAATTCCATCATCAGTTCCTGGGGCTTGGTAACTCAAAGGTTCTTTGAAACAGACAAACAGAAGTCCTTGAACTATTTACTATAGCCTTACCTCATATCTTCAAGCAAATCACATTCTGCTTGATGTTTGGCTTGAAGTTTTGTCATCTGCTCAACTTGAATGTTTTTCAGTTCTTGTGTAACTTTCACCTAAAATATACCATATATTTATGAAGGTCTTTTTACAAATTTAACCCAAAAAAATTGCTTCAGGAAAATACATCTGTCAGAATATGTCTCTTGCTCGCCTCTCCCCTGAAGGCCATAAATCCAATATTCGCCATCTAGTTTTATTTATTGAAGATACTTATTTAATGAAAAATTAAAGCCAAATAGCCTGAACAGAGGTTAAATGAAAATACACGACTATAAATATTACAAACTAAAGACGTGCAAAATAAACTGCCAGTCATTCCATTTCATGCACAAGCTCAATCCACGTCTAGGTCTTCCTACAGTTTTAAAAGAGCCTGTCTTCTATTTCTAAAAAAGATTCAAAGACATTAACCACCAGGAGAGGTGAGCAGAGTGTGGATGGGGGCTGGGAGCCTAAGAGTGCCTGATACCCAATGACCAATATTTACACAATCATGATAATATGCCTGAATCGACTACATAAATTACTCCATAATGGCTGCGAAAAAGCACACTGTCTCAGAATGATGCCCTCGACTTGCTGACAGCGCATCAAATCACAATCTCTTTCTCACAAAGGAGAAAGCAAAAGTGACCTTCCAGCATATGCAGTGCTTTTAAACTACCCCGGGAAGCCGATCCCCGTGGAGGCTCCACTTCAAACAGCGGAGAACAGCAAATGCCTGCTGGCCAGAGAGCCTCGCCCGCCAGGCCGGGGCCCCAGGGTTCGAAGTTAACGGTCAGTCTGGAATCTCGGCCTCAGCAGTGGGACCACCCGGAGGGGTGGGGGTACATGTTCGAAAGAAAAGGACTCACTTAAATGGAGAAACCCGGATTAGGAAAGAGAGAAAGCAGCGGCAGCAGACACGGGTGAGTTAGGCGTTAGGCAAATGTTTGCCCACGAGGGGAGGACAGAACGGCCTCATCCACCCAGTGCCCAGAGTAGACATTCAGTATCCATCTGTAGGATTAAAAAGACAAGGACACAGCCTCGGCCCCTGGGAAAGCTGGGGAAGGGCGCAGCGGGGAGACTGATGACAAGCCGGGTGCATCCGTCACTCCCACCCTGGTCATCCAACCCCGGATCGCAGTGCACACCCCACGCACCTCCCGGGCCCGGTCCTCGCTTTTCTGAAGACAGCACGACAGCCTCCTCGCCCCTCAGCCGGGGACGAGGCAGGACCCGTCAATCCTTAATTTGTTTTCCCTTGGGGTGGGGAGGCGGTGACTATTCCAACTTCTTTTCGGCCGCCCCGTGGGAAAAGCAGGCCAAACCCTAAGGCTAGGCTAGAAACAAATCCCCCGCAAATTTGCAAACGGGCGGGGCTGGCGACAAGCGGCTGGAGGGCTCAAAGCTGGTGCAGACTAAACAATCACACACGCACAAGGCTCTGCAAAGCTGCAGGGGCGTCCCCGCCTCCCCCTCGGTGCAGCCCCGAGAATGCACTTTGCAGCGGGCAGCATTGCCATGCGCGCGCACACACACAAATGCACACCCGAAACTCTTGTGAAATGTCTGGGGGTCTCCTGCGTTAGAGGACGGACGAGCCCCGGCGGCCCCTCTGTCGGAAAGGCAACTCACACGCGCGCCCCCCACCTGGAGCCGGCGGCAAGTCGGTGACAAGCCCAAGACGAGGGCGGTCACGGCCCCTTGCGGGAGGGGGAAGGGGCGCAGCGGTCGCCCCAGCCGCGTTCCGCGTACGCATCTCTCCGAACCCCAAAGCCCCCCAGCTGCGCCCTTACCTTCCTCGGCGGCGGCTGCATGATGCTGAAGGGACATCAATCCTCCCCGACGGCAGCGTTAGCAAGGACCAGGAGGAGGAGGAGGGCCGGAGAGGAGGGGACGGCCCAGCGAGCGCGCGCGTGTGTGAAAGGAGCGCTTAAGAAGCAAGACTTGCCCCGGAGGGAGCAGGCCAGCGGGCGGCAGGCGGACCCCAGCCAGAGAGCGAGTGTGAGGAGACGAGGGAGGAGCACCGGGAAGGCTTGGGGCCCGGGCGGCCCGGGCGGCCCGGGGGTGTGTGAGGAAGGAGGCGGAGACGGCGAGGGGGCGGGGGCCCCAGGAGCAGGGGCGCGAGGGTCTCAGCCGGCCGGGCGGCGGGTTAGCCGCAGCCGCGTTGTCCGCGCTCCCGGTCGGCCGCCTGCGCCGCCGCTCCCGGCGGACGCAGCGGCCCCCACCCCACCCACTCAGGCGGCCCGGCCCTCGCTGGGCCTAACGCCCCCGCCCGCCCGGGAGGAGGAAGGTGGCGCCGCTCTCCCCGCTAGGGCTCCACCACTCAGGCCGCGGGAATTTCCGGCCTCGCCGCGCGGCGCAGCGCCCCGCTCCGGATGCTGAGGGAACCGCTCTGTCCAGAGCGGGGTTCGAGGGGCCGGTCCGGGCTGCCAGGAGGGAGCTAGGCCACGGCACGGGGCTTCGTACCGCGGCAGGGGAAGGGGGAAGCTAACGGATTGGTCGGTGGGTGGGAGGTGTAGAAACGCCAGCGCCACGCGAAAATCCCCCCTTTCTCTCCGAGAGTGGCACGTTCCAGACGCCTCCTGCCCTCCCTCCCCCACGCTGGGAGCCAGCCGGGGGCTTCCCGCGCGCTTTCCCGCCAGCTCGCCCCGGCGCGCGCGTCTCCGCTCGGGGGCGCGCACGTGGGCGGGAGAGGGCTCCGCGCCGACGCACGCGCACAGGCCGCCCCCGCCTCCTGCCTGCCTTTGCGTGTGTGTGTGTGTGTGTGTGTGTGTGTGTGTGTGTGTGTGTGTGTGTGTGTGTGTGTGTCGGGGGGCGCGGGGGACGACGCTCGCAGGGAAACGTTTGCAGTGGGGAGGGGGGCGCAGCATGCCTGTGGGATACGAGAATTCCGGCGTTTTCTTCCTCTCAGCCCCTCAACACCCTACTCTCCCTACCAGCTAGATGTGCGCGAGAGAGGCGAGCAAGGACAAGTCGCTTTGCGGCTGGCCGCAGGTGCCAGGCCATTGCGATTGTAGGGCGGAAAGGCAGTTGCTCTGCAAAGGAAACGGCGGCACTCTACTGCAGGGCATTCAAGTCAAACATCACTGACTCCGCTGAGAGGGAGCCAAGAGAACGTTAAGGCCGAGGCCCCCGTTTCACAGACGGGGAGGCAAGTGCCCATAGAGGGAAGCCTTTCTAAAGGTTACACAGCAGGACTAGAATCTGCGTCAGGAAGTGTTCTATGGGTTATTTTAAAAAAGAAACAGGTGCAGGATAATAAGCACGAGGAAAAGTAGAAGAGGCAGGAGAGGCCATAGAGGAAGCCCTTGTCTGGGAGTCAGGATCTCTGGGTGCCAGTCCACTTTGCCTGCTCCTTAACAGGCTAGGTGAGCTCGGCTTCCTTATCTGCCAGTGAGGGTGCTTATCTAAGCAGTGCACCCCACCACCACACATGAACCTTCCTGCTCTGTTCAGACCATCTACGGGGGAGTTTATCGACCTCCCTTGGGGTCCTCAGAAGAGGAATACCTCTTCCCCATGCCCAGGGAGGTTTTTTTTTTTTTTTTGAGTCACGGGGCTGTGTGGAGGCTGAGCTGGATTACTCCACCGTTTTTTCAGAAGTTGAGATCCCAGACAGCTGTTCTCAGAAGTGCAGTCAGGCCTAAGAGGAAGGTGAATGAGGCCTGGATAGACGAGTAACTTCCCAGATGACCACATGACCAGAAATTGAAAAGGTGGAACTTCAACCCAGGTTGTTTACATTGAGTTAGACTAGATTCTTGTACAGAAAAGTGACAGAGCTGTGTTTTGAATAAGATTAATCTAGAGCTGTGTATGAACTAGGAGACTAGTCTTGCTTTTTCTGGCTTCAAAAGTTAGCCCTTCACCAGAATCCTTAATCAAATCAGGGAAGGCCTGGGGCAAGGGGACAGGTGGATGGAGGCCCAGGGCCCTGACAGCTGCGGGGTGGCAGCTAGAGCCCAGGCCATAGGTAGCGTAGGCTGGGCTCCAGTCTCAGCTCCACCACCAATTTATTGTGAAGCGTTGAGCTAGTCAATTCACTTATTTCAGCCTTGTTTCCTCACTTGTAAAATGGAGGTATAATGCTAGCCTCATAGGCTTACTGTATTAAATAGAATTTCTCCTACCACAGGGCCTGGCATGTAGTGCTTAATAAGTGCTTATTGAGGCCAGGCGCGGTGGCTCACGCCTGTAATCCCAGCACTTTGGGAGGCCGAGGTGGCCAGATCACAAGGTCAAGAGATCGAGGCCATCCTGGCTAACACGGTGAAACCCCGTCTCTACTAAAAATACAAAAAATTAGCCAGACGTGATGGCGGGTGCCTGTAGTCCCAGCTACTCAGGAGGCTGAGGCAGGAGAATAGCGTGAACCCGGGAGGTGGAGCTTGCAGTGAGCAGAGATGGCACCACTGCACTCCAGCCTGGGGGACAGAACGAAACTCCGTCTCAAAAAAAAATAAAAAATAAAAAATAAAATAAGTGCTTATTGATTCATCATTCATTCAAAAAATACTTGCTAAAGTCCTGCTTTGTTCCAAGCCTGTGCCAGGCACTGGGGTTCTAGAGATGAGCAAGATAGAATCAGCCTTCGCCAAGACTGAGTTCCAGACCAACCATTCCTTGAATGACACTGGGCTAGTGGAAGAGGAGTAACACAGTACTTGGCCCGGATGCAGTGTCATGCACATAACAAGTGCTTAACAAAGATTTGCTGAATCCTAGTCTTGGGTGCAACTGGTCTGGCCCAGAGATTATCCTCCCTTCACCTCTCTTCTTAGGAAGTGAGCACTGGGGTATAATGGTGCTGGATGTTGGGAGACATGGGATCCAGCCTCTACCATGGATCTAGTGGGTCTTCTCTGGGCCTTGGTGCTGGCCTGCAGAATAAGATAAGTGAGTGAGCCTAGAACTTAGGAGGCTCTTCACAGAAGAAGTCAGACCCTGGGGATTTCGTTTATGCATATAGGAGGGCATCCTCTACCTGATTTGCCACCGTTCTGAAGCCAGGAGTGGCACTGACTTTCTGGAATGATTTCCTTTGGAAGTGTTATAAAGAGCTAAGGGCAATACCAGATGGGCTTACCTACTAACTCCTATTTCAAAACTGTGATTTAAAAAAATTGTTTTAATACTTACCAAGTGTCTCTTCCAAACCCTAAACTTTCATATTACTTTTCCAAGCTAATCTTTACCCATGAGATAGTATTCGTTTCTTCATTTTTACTGATGGAGAACTGGAGGCTCAGTGGGGATAAGTGACTTGCCCTGACATGATAGACTTCAGACCATAACCCAGTTGTCCGATGAGGAATGTTCGTGTATGAAGAATGTTCAAAGGAATTGGGAGAGTTCCTAACGCAGGAAAATAAGCAGACCCAGGAGGATACAATCCATTATGTTCCAGACTCTAGGGGACCAGGGAAGGGATTTCTGTGACTTATGTAAGCCTGACTTGAAATGTACCATTTTGAACAGGGTTGGGGACTTCCAGAGCCTTGCTCCTGCAATGCAGGCAAGCGCTGTGTTGCCAGTAGCATTGCTTGAGATTCTTTGGGGAAATGGTGCAGAGCAGCAGGCACTATGGCCCCAGAGACAAAACTGGGACAGGTGTTAGCTGCATCTCAGGAAGGAACTTTTCCAGGCAGAGCTACCCCTGGAAGGAGTGAGCTCCCTGTCCCTGGGGCTGTGCAAACAGGTTCTGGCTCCCTTCCATCAAGGAGACCACAGATGGGATCTCACTCTGAAAAGAAATTAATAACAGCTGCCATTTATTTTGCCTCTTCCATGTTCCAGACATTAAAATAGGCGTGTTATTTACATTGTTTCCAACATTCACAACAACTCCTCATAATACATATAACCCCATTGCACAGGCTGCAGCTCAGAAGTGAAATGACCTACCCAAGGTCACACAGCTAGTGAAGGAAAGGGAGGGCTGGCCCCTGGCTCTGAAGCTGTGCTCTCCCTCCAGCATGCTGCAGTGCAGTCTCCCATTTCATTAGGAATATGATTCTAAGGTTAAGTCAGAGCTAGGATCAAAAACTGGCCTGGAGCAGGTATATGAATGGGTATCAGAAGATCAGCTGTTCTGATATTCCAGGGCTCCTGGGAAAACTGGCAGGGAGACAAAGTATACAGCGGCCCTTTAGCATGGCCAGAACATGAGTAGCACACTACTCCCCATCCAGAGCACGCACCTAGGACAGTTTGACTTCGTCAAAGGCTCTCTTCAGAGAAAGTAGCTGCCAGTCCCCCTGCCCACACTGCACCAAAGCATCCCTGACCGTTCCTGCAGTTGGGGTCCATCAGCTCTCTCTACTCTGTCTTCCTCTGTGTCATTATCCCCCACCTGCATTGACACAGACTGCTCAGGAATACTTGTTAGCACGTCTGGATGCCAGCTATTCCCTGCCTGGGCCCCACCAAGTCCAGCTGGGGATGCTGCGGCAGACAGTGTGGTCTATGGACCCCATCCCCATTCATCTCCTTCCTACCCCTAGTCACCTTTCCCTACCCATGCCTTTGCTCCCTGAGCTAATTCCCTCAACACCAGCCTCCTGCCAGCCTGATGTGAGAGTGTGCCAGTCTCTTCCACTATCAGCTCTCAGGACAGAATCCCAGCACAGGTAAATGAGACTTCAAGATTGGTGGCCACCAGAAGAGAGCAGGGGCTCTCCTTAAGACACATAGTGAGTTTGTTCAAGGCACTAGGCCTTGAATTCCATAGTATCACTCAACAAGCCCTTATCCTGGGCTTAGTCATAAGCAGGTCTCTGAGGTGAGGAGCTGCCCACCAGGAGCTCCCAATCTCAATACAGAGACCAAGGTCACAGCAGTGAAACATGCAGGGCCAGGAGGGTCATAGGGACCCAGATCCTACCAGGTGGTAGCAGAGATCTAAGGCCAGAGGCAAGTCCCTAAGAAGCAGGCACTGGGACCAGGAATTATCTTGTCAAGTGTTGCCCCTACCAGGGAATATTACAACTTTGGGTGGCAGGGGTGGGGGTGTACGGT
The DNA here is from genome assembly GCF_000001405.40 of Homo sapiens. NCBI lineage: Eukaryota > Metazoa > Chordata > Mammalia > Primates > Hominidae > Homo > Homo sapiens. The sequence goes on from NC_000011.10 coordinate 73,147,081, forward strand.
AAATGAGCAGTCAGTCCCAGGGCTATGGTAGGAGCTGATAGGCACATGGTTTTAACATTACAAGGCAGGAAACCACGGTGCTAATTCTATCTCTGCCAGGTACTCACTGAGTGTGACCTCTAGCGCATCACTGTCCTCTCAACCTTGGTTTCTACATCTATAAAATAGGAATAATAAATTCCATCCTGTCTTCCTCTTGGAGGGCTGTGCAGGTTAAATGAAATAACAGGTAAATGGTCTGCAAGGGCTGAGGAGCCACATAAACAAGTAACTGCTGATCCTAGGACACATCAGGGAAGGTTGAGTGACCACCTGTATTGAACGCTGATCAGCACCTTCCGCCATGAGCTGCACTGTGATTAGGCACCAATGAGTAAAATACTTTTGGTGGAGGGATGAGGTTACAGGGGTCTGAGGTCAAGCAAACCTGGGTTAGATGTCTATTTCTCCTCTGCCAAGCTTAGAGTTTTTGATCAAGTCTTGAAACCTCTTTTCAGCCAGGTTTCCTTGTCTATAAAGGAGAGATAATGGCTCTTTGCAGGGTTGCAGTGGGAATCAAATGGGAATGTTTATGTAAAGTGCCTGCAACTGTGCTGGCCCACAAGTGTGTTTCCTTTGTTGAGTTTTCCTTCAGTTTCCCGTCATTTTGTTATGGCTTTATTTGTAAGTTAAAAAATAAACCACAAAAAGAGGAATTTCCATGGGGGAGATTGAGCCCCACTAGAATCTTAGTTCTGCTCCTTACTCATTGTGAGGACCTGGAAAGTCCCTGCCTCTCCCTTAGCCCGGGTTTTCTCATCTGTAACACCAGGGGTTCCACCAGGGAGTTTCTCCAGAGCCTAGCCTGGGAGGTATGGGATGCTACCAAGTCTGTGAGCCCCTTTCAGGGAAAGGACCCTTCAGGCTGAGCTGGGTAAGGAGGGCCAGGCAGGGATCAGGGGAGAGAGAGGAGAGTTGTGGGAGAGGGACAGCAGGATGCAGAGGTGGCAGTTCTGTCACCACCATGGGCTGGCCTGTGAAGGGAGCAGGCCCTGTTCAGGATGCCTGCCTGCCTGTTTTCCCACAGCCTGCTGAGTTAATGCCAAAACAAAATACACTTGCTTGCTCCCTGCCCGAGGGCAGCAGGCCAAAATAAGTGTCCTGGAGGGCTGGCAGACACCCTGGCATCCCGCCTGTCCTCCGTGGGCATCCGCCCTTCCCCTGTCTGCGGCACCACCCTCAGCCAAAGCTGGCCTAGGGTGTGGAGAGGAGCCTCCCCAGGGTCTGCACTCCTCCTCCCATTTGCAGCCTTCGTAAGTGGACACTTCCAACCCCTACACCTGCCTGTCCTCCCAGTCCAGCCTTGGCCCGAGATGTGATCTAATTCTCACTATGCTGCTGTGGGCAGAGCACATGGCATCAGAATGCTAGGAGCTGCTGTCGGGCGCCATGGGAGGGAATTCCCCAACTCAGGAAAGCTCTTCCAGCGGAAAGGAGCAGGTGGCGAGCCTCCCTGAAGAGACAGACACTGCCAACGCTACAGGCAGAGCCAATCGTGGGGTAAGAAGTGTCAAATCTACCACCCCCGGCCTTCTGTCTGATGCTTGTCTACACTGTGTACATTAATAATAATAGCTCATGCTTTATAATAGTTACTATGTGGCAGACAGCCTTCCAAGCACTTCGCATAAAAAACTAATGTAATTCTCACAACTCTGAGGTAGGTACTATTACTAGCCTCATTTTACAGATGAGGCATTCACAGGTTAGGTATGCCTATGGTCATGCAGCCAGTGGCAAACTGAGATGTATACCCAATTAACCAGGCTACAGGGTCTGTGCTGTTAACTGCTAAACTAATCTGCCACCAAAAAATGATATCCCCCATAAAACCCAGGTCCAAACTTGGAACATGACAAGATGCTTGCCTTAGGACCTTACAATCCAATCATCTTTCCAACTTGCCTAAGCTGAGAATCACCAGGGGGTGCTTGTTTAAAATACATAGTCCTCTGTCCCTAGCCTCCAGCCCCACTCTGAGGATTCACTGAATTTGAAGTGGGAGGAGAGGCAGTGCCTGACATGTGGAAATCGCACCATAAATGCCTGTTAAATGAATGAATGCTTCTGACTTCTCTGAGCCTCTGCTCATCTCTAAAATAGAGTTACAGCTCCCTACCCTCCCCCATTTCCAAGTGTGGCTGTGGGTTAAGCCAGTGTATGTGTCTGCTCCAGCTTTGCTGGGTGTGGGAAATTGTTTATAAGCATACCCGGCTGGCTCCTAATAATAGCTGTAATAATAATAGCTGACATTTCTTGAATGCTTAGGGGGTACCAGGCACAGCTCTGAGGGCTTTGACTGTGTTAACCCATTAATTCTCACAACACTCAATGGTCTTGATTGCAAGAATGGAGCTAAGTCACTTGCCTGAGATCACACAATTAGTAAGAGGTAGGCTATTTGAACACAGATGGTCCTGCCCCAGTGTCTAGAGGTTAACCGCTCCATCACAATTACCAGAGTCACCCAGACCTTCCTCATGGGAACTGGGCTGCCACCATTTAATTGAGCAAATGATTTCTGTACCTGTAGTATTCTAGGAGGGGAGAATGAAAAGTTGAATTAACAGGTACCCTCAATCTAGACGGAGAGGCAAGATATAGAATTCCCTAATGATTGTTTGAGTCTGAGTAATTCCAAAGCACAAAATCAAAGTGCTGTGGTTGTTCTAAGTGGGGGAAGACTGCCTCTGTCTAAAGGAGGGGCCCACGAGGGCTGCATTGGAAGTAGGCCTTGATGCATGGGAGGCAGGCACTCCCTGCGGAGGGACAGAGAGAGCGAAAACCACAAGCTGAATGGGCCTGAGCCACGTTTGGAAACATGGCTCTATCCATATTTCTCTTGGATAGAGAATCCTGTGAAATGAGGTAGATGGTGTAGCCTTGGGTGGCCCTCTTGAATGTCTGCTCACAATTTCCTCCTTCCTTCCTTCCTTCCCTCCCTCCCTCCCTCCCTTCCTTCCTTCCTTCCTTCCTTCCTTCCTTCTGTCTTACTTTCCTGTTTGTTTGATTGAGATGGGGTCTTGCTCTCTCACCCAGGCTGGAGTGCAGTTGTGCAATCACAGTTTGCTTGCAGCCTTGACCCCCTGGGCTCAATCAGTCCTCCCACCGCAGCCTGCTGAGTAACTGGGACTTCAGGTATATGCCACCATGCCTAGCTAATTTTGTTGTAGTTGTTTTTTGTAGAGACAAGGTTTTGCCACATTGCCCAGGCTGGTCTCGAATGCCTGGGCTCAAGCAATTCGCCCAGCTTGACCTCCCAAAGTGCTGGGATTACAGGTGTGAGCCACCGCACCTGGCTCTGCTCCCAATTTTAAAAAGCAGTAGTCCTTTATGGTTTTATCACACTCCACAAATATTGGCTATCTCACTCATCCTATCAATGTCCCCATCCCCGTAGACTTCTGGGAGGAGATCTTGTTTGTGGCACCCAACAGGCACACTAGATGGATGGATTTCAAGGTCTGTAGACCCAGAGGTTTAACAGTAGTGGAACATTAAGTGTGGGCAGCCAGGTCATGGAATACAAGGCCCAGTCAGCAACCTAAGGGAGGATGTGCCCAAGGGCCTGCACAGGCCTGTCCTTTGCTCATATTCAGCCTATAACCTCACCTGCTGTGCTGAGCCTGTGACCGGGGGAGGTTTGTGAGTGAGTGGTCCATAAGGAGAAGATGGGGTGTGTCTGAAAGACAAGATACCCTGGGCTTGGTCACACTAACTCCAGTACCTTTCCTGTCTGCACACTGGGCACTCAGCTTCCAAGTAGATGTGCACTTAGAAGCTGCACATCTCAAACAAACAAACAGGCACATCAGCTTCCAAGCAAGCCTGCTAATAGGCTATTTTGACCATGCACCCACTGCTCAAGACCCTTTTATGGCTGCCCACTGCCCTCCAAATTTAGCCCAAGCTTTTTAACCTGACATTCAAGGTCCTTCACTGTGTGACTCCAGCCAGCCTACATAACCTCATCTCTCAGTCCTACCATTTTAGGTACCCTTTGTTCCAAAGACACAGCATATATGTACACACACACAAACACACACACAACTTTTCCAGCAACTCATCAGGCTCTTTAGCAACTTCATGCATCTGAACATGCTATTCCCTCTGCTTTTAACACCCTTCTCTCTTTTCTCTACAGGGTCAGCTTAGGGTCTTGGTTAAGAGCTTGAGTCAAGTTCCAATTCAGACTGACCAGTTGGACCTTTGGCCCTGCTGCTCTCTAGCTGTGTGGCCTTAACTCCATAATCTGGATGCTGTGTACCTCTCCAACATGAGCTCACAGCATCTCCCCTCCACCGTGTTCTACTATGTTCTGCCCTGGGCCTGTTTACCCTTGGCACAGCTCTGACTCTCTCTGGGCCTGTGTCACTATATATGTTGGGATAATTCGGTACCCTTGAGGCCCACGTGCCTCTGTCACTCTGTATATTGGGATAATTCTGTACCCTTGAGGCCCACATGCCTCTGTCACTCTCTAGTCTGTCACTATCAAGACCAGAACATGCTTTCTAGATGGTACCGGAATTACTCTGAAAGTAAAGCTTCACCTGTTCTCTCTGGGACAGCTGGAAAAACCTCCAAACCAGCACCGATCACAGAGAAGTGACTGCATCAAGGCCAGAGGCATCTTCCAGATATTCCATCTGGGTGAGAATCTTTCAGCCATATCTGGAGACCGTTAGTCTCCATTTGCACCCACACCCACACCCTGCACTGTGCCCTGGGAGGCAGACCTCTGTGGGCTCCCTCATGAGGCCTTCTTGCCAACTGGCTTCCACTTCGGTCTGGACATGATTCCTGACCCCTTTGAGTGCTGGGCCGTAAGACTTTTCCACTGTTGCCAGCCTCTGGGTGGGTGCCTCAACGTCCTTTTTTTTGTTCTCTTACCCTGCCAACACCTCAGTACAGTAGTCCCCTCATTAAAGTCTCTTCATCTGAACCATTAGGGGTGAATTGCTTCCTGCTGGTCCCCAAATACCTGACCCTGCACCTGGAGATGATTGATCTGAATGGGCAGATCCAGGTGGAGGGTCAGGTATTTGGGGACCAGCAGGAAGGAATTCACCCCTCGTGGTTCATAACCCCTACAAAAAATAAAAAATTAGCCAAGCGTGGCAGCACATGCCTGTGGCCCCAGCTACTCACAAGGCTAAGGTGAGAGGATCATTTTAGCCCAGGAGCTCCAGGCTGCAGTGAGCTGTGATGGTGCCCCTGCACTCCAGCTTGGGCAATGAGGCAAGACTCTGTCTCAAAAAAACAAACAAACGAACAAATGAAAAAAACAGACACAATCATGTCAAGATTTGCCCCAGAACAAAGAACTCATCAGCGCAGCCCATGAACAGCCCCTCCCCAAGTTCATGCTTTGGGCCAGGCATACTCAATGCTAGCTTCTCTGGGCACATGAGGGTCTGATTCTGACTTATCAAGAGCTCTTGTGGGCAGAGCCCAATGAGACAGGGGCACCTGCAGCTGCAGTGAGGTGACAGTGAAGTAACAGTGACTAGTTTGGTGAACCAACACTACAGAATAAAACAGGCCTCAAGGCAAAACATGGTCAGACCACTGCTCAGGCAGCATGAGCAGTGCAGGTTGGTGTAGGAGAAGCCAAGGAACTTGAGCTGCTCGGGGCAGCCTCGCTGGAGGGCCTACAGGACCTGGATAGGAACCATGGGATGCTAGAAAGGGTGGGATGGAACACTGGGAGGGGTGGGGAGTAGGGAAGGAATATCTCAGGAGAAAGAGTTAAGGCCTAGCAGAAGGAAGTGGGATCTCTGAGGGCAGGAACAAGAGGCAGGGGCTTGGTCAGGCATAGCCCCTTACCCTGCCCCGTCCTGGAACAGGTCTCCAGCCTGAGGACAGGCCCCTAGCATCCCCCACAAGCCATCCCCCTCCTTCAACTGGAAGTCACCCCAACCCTTTCACTTCCCTTGCTTACGGCACCTGCCCAGACCACAGCCACAGCTGGGCTCAGGTTTCAATTCTTGTTTCCTCCACACCTATGTAGTCTCTTGAAAAGTTTCTATTTCTTGACAGGGGCTAGGCCTGACACCTGACACCCTCAATCCTCTGCCACTGCCTCTTTACAGTTGTTTCTGCCTGGCCCCAGCCCTGTACTTTGGTCCTCTGCCCTCCTAGCAGCCCGAGCAAGACTGCTAATAGGCTATTTTGACCATGCATCCGTGGCTTAAGACCCTTTTATGGCTGCCCACTGCCCTCCAAACACATTCAAGGCCCTTCACTGTGTGATTCCAGCCAGACTATGAAACCTCATCTCTCAGTCCTCCCATTTTAGGTACTCTTTGTTCCTAACATACCGCACATACATACACACGCACAAACACACACAGACAACTTTTCCAGCAACTCATCAGGCTCTTTTTAGCAACATCACACATCTGAATATGCTGTTCCCTCAGCTTTTAACACCCTTCTCCCTTTCTGTACTTGATAAACTCATATTTGCCCTTTAAACCCCAGCTCAAAACCTCTGCTTCTGTGAAGTCTTCCTCCTTCTCCTAAGTCAGAATTAATCTCCCCTCCTCTGGGTCTCCATAACTTTGTTCAGATCTTGATGACAGCAGCAAGCACAAGCAGACTGGTCTTCCAGACTTCTATTTAGCCATGTCCTCTTCTGAATTCCCCTTCCTTTCAAGACTCTGGCCCCAGGTGGACCACTTAATATCTATATGACCTTGGGCAAGTTGCTTAACCTTCCCTGGATCTCTGGATGAATGCTGAATTAATGCTCTATGTCCACAGCTTTTCGGCACCTATACATGCATTGATAATCACAATTAACCAATGATTCTGTAACTATGTCCTACCAGGCTGTGAGTCCCTTGCCAGCAGGGTAACAATCCAGGTTCCTTGTAACCAAATTGTCTCTGTATCCCCAGTGCCCACCATTCCAGAAACCCTTATTGCACAGGCAAATTTAGCCCAAACTCCATTTTTGCAAATGGAGAAACTGGACCCAAAGAGGCACAGAGATTTGCCTAAGGTCATGAACCAGCTTCAGAGTATTCTCCTTTGCCCTCCCTCCAAATCTTTGGGCCAGCATCTCTCCAAAGACTGTCTCTGGCCTAAGCTAGGGCTCTGGACCAGAGAACAGGCCTGCACCAGGCCCCACTTGTCACTGTCCTGTGGACTCTCAGGGTAGAAACTACCAGATGCCCAGACAGTTTTACTTCCCTCCTGGCTGCAGAGACCATGCTGAGAGCAACTGTCAGACCTCAGACACTTCCGTTTCACCCAGAGCCAGGCTTCCTTTTCATATCTTCCTTAGGCAGCAAGCAGACCTTGGGCCACAGCCTCTGCACCAGACCCTGGAGAGTTTTGTTTCTTCTTGGGGGCTCGGCCCAGACAGCCACAGTAGTGAACTCCCCCTGAGGAGCCTAGCAGGAGGTTCGTGGCAGGAAAGTTTGTGGCAGGAAAGCCTGATAACCCACAAACCCTAGAAATTGGAGTCTTGACTTTGATGACACCTCATCTGATCTGTATGGTTGGGGACAGAAAGGCCTCACATAAGGAAACTCCTGGAGAATCATAAGCCCTCAGAGCCCTTGGTAAAACCTGTTCATTTTACGGATGGGGAGACTGAGGCCCAGAAAGGGATTTGCCCAGAGCAGATATGCAATGGTGTACCCAATGCTGATCTTAAAGGTTTTGATCTGTGGTACCTTTAGTTGCTTTTGCCCATTTTCTTTCTTCTCTTTTCTCTTCTATTTTCTTTTCTTTTCTTTGACGGAGTCTCGCTCTGTCACCCAGCCTGGAGTGTAGGGGTGTGACCTCAGCTTACTGCAACTTCCACCTCCTAGGTTCAAGCAATTCCCCTGCCTCAGCGCCCCGAGTAGCTGGGACGACAGCATGCACAACCACACCTGGATAATTTTTGTATTTTTATTTTATTTATTATGATTTTTTAAGATGGAGTCTCGCCCTGTCACCCAGGCTGTAGTGTAGTGCACGATCTTGGCTCACTGCAACCAAGCAATCCGCCCGCCTTGGCCTCCCATAGTGCTGGGATTACAGGCCTGAGCCTCCGCTCTCGGCCTGTTTTCTTTTTCTATTTCCTTTCTACCAGCCTGGCAGATGCCTCCTCTCTCTGCTGCCTTGGTGAATACCTGCCTGCCTGCAGCAGCAACTTCTCACCCCCAACATTGGCTGCCAATTAACCTTTAAACCTTTTACAACCAGATCACCATGGGCTTCATGCTCAAAGTGTAAAGTGAGAATGTAAAGTATGAGTAAATGGATTCACATCAAGGTTCTGGGGATCATCTTAGGTATCTAAAGGCCTTTTATACTTAGAATATGGTTTCTGCAGCAATTCTTCAACAGAGAGAAAAATCCAGAGATAAAAATGGGGTTCAGGCCAGGCACAGTGGCTCATGCCTGTAATCCCAGCACTTTGGGAGGCCGAGGCAGGTGGATCACCTGAGGTCAGGAGTTCGAGACCAGCCTGGCCAACATGGTGAAACCCCATCTCTACTAAAAATACAAAAAATAGCTGGGCGTGGTGGTGTGTGTCTGTAATCCCAGCTACTCGGGAGGCTGAGGCAGGAGAATCGCTTGAACCTGGGAGGTGGAGGTTGCAGTGAGCCGAGATTGAGCTATTGCACTTCAGCCTGGATGACAAGAGGGAAATTCCATCTCAAAAAAAAAAAAAAAAAAAAAAAGAATGGGGTCCAGGAATATGTTTTCACTGCTCTTTGTCAATCCTCTCTCCAGCTCACATTTCACCCACACACACTTGGAGGGTGCCTCTGGAAGGATGACAACAGCTTGCGCCTCCATTTTTCTCACTTTGGTAATTCATTATCATCCCTAAGGCTGGAAAGGGCATTAAAGTTCAGGCAGTTCAATTCCAAGTTCGATTCAGAAATTATTTCCTCCATCCATTCTTCTGCTCCAAAACCTTGACTAACTCATGCCAGATCTAGTGCTTGGTGCTGTGAGATCCAACAGGGTCTTGCCTTCAGGGAACTCACATCTGAGAAGGGAGACAGGTGTGTAAAGAACACCTACAGTGGAGTGTGTAATGTGGTAGAGGGGAGAGTGATCAGGTTTCTCAGGGAAGGAGATGCTCTCCTGGGATCTTGAAGGATGAATTTACCAAGCAGGGAAATGGGGGAAGGGCTCCAAGCAGCTGTCAATATTCATACCACCAGAACTTGCCCTGTCAGTCAGGCCACTTCTTACTCAGACTCCCAGACTTCTGCACAACCCCTTGCCTTTCTCTCAGGCTTTACTCACCCACTGTGTCTGTCAAAAAACGTTCCCAGGCACTTCATCTGTAAAGGTCCTGTACTGGGTCCTGGAGACTCCTGGCCTTGAGGAGCCCACAGCTTGGTGGGGGATGGATGCATAGAGAGCCAATGACCACATAGTGTGAACATGGGAAGGTCAGAACTGAAGAGCCAGCAACAAATGCTATCTGAGCCATCCTTGGGAGGACAGGGGAGACTTTCTGCAGGAGGTGATATATAACCTGACATCTGAGCTATGGAATCTCCTACATCCTCATAGCACTCCTTTAAGGTAGGCCTTATTATTCCCTTTTAGATATGATAAAACTGAAGCCCAGAAAAGGGCAATGCCTTACCCAAGGTCACATGATTAGTGAGCGAGGTAGGTATGCATTCACCCCTGTGTACCCAGCAGCAGAGGTGGAAGTGGCACTATTGGAAGAGCTGGGCCTCAGGGGCTAGGACCAGAGGTGGAATGTTCAGAAGCACGGAGGGAGGAGCAGAAGCTGAGAACCTGGAGCTGATGGAACCTACAGGTTGTGCCATCTCTCCCAGACATACAGTAGAGCAGAGAAGGGACAGGAATATCCAGCAGGGCATCAGCTTGCAGCTTCATATCAGCAGAGCTGGCTCAGTCCTTAGACACCATCCTATCCAGCCCAGGAGAAACAGGTTTGTCCAGGGCAATTGATGAGGATGCATAGTATCACAGTGGCTGACCCTGGGCTAGATAGAATTCAGAGGCTTTGTCCTCCAGCCCAGTGCTCCACCCATTGCCCCAGCTGCCACTACATTGTTCAATCCAATCTACGTTTACTGATGGTGTGCTCTGGATTGGACACTCTTCCAGGCACCATGGAGACCACAGGGATCCTCCCCTTCACTGCTGTCAGGAGCTTTCAGCTGCATGGAGGAAGTCAGGTTGGGCTCCAAGACCTAGACTCCAAGTAGCATGTGGGAAGTGAGACAGCAGCAGGCATGAACACAGTGCTGGGGAGTGGGGTGAGGAGGACCTTAATGGCACAAGTGCCATGAGCAATCCTTAGACTTCAGATCTCCCATCTGTCCCAAGAAGAGACTGGAGTCAACAATCTCTGAGGTCTGCTAGCCTCTACCCTCCTTTGCCTTGCAAGGATTGGGAGGCAGGGCTGGGTCCAGCTTCTGGTAGGCTAGGGGATGGGAGGCAGAGGAAGTGGCTTGAGCTGCTCGAGCCACCCCCGCCTGCCCACCCCGGGGCTGTCCCATTACCGGCAGGGAAATCACAGACTCAGCGCTCAGACATCTGGGAGGTGCTGGGTGGCCTGGGTATTTTTAGAAGGCCAGAGGCAAACATGCCTGGAATCCTGGGTGTTGCTGAGCCAAAGAAGCTGGGAGGCCAGCAGAGGGTGAACCAGAAGAGGTGGCCTCGGCCCGGGTCCTAACTTCACCAAGGTCAGCTGGACTTGCCTTTCCCCAGAGGCTAGTGTTCAGGCCTATGGTGTGCAAGCTCTGGTTCCCCCAACTTGTCACTCACTTCTGCTTCCTTCTGGGCAGTCAGCTGCAGAGCTGTTACAGGGCCTCAGGGAGAACACTTGATCTCTTGATTCATTCAGCCAGTTCTTTCTGTGCTTTCCGTGGTCCAGGTGAGCTGCTGGGCCCTAAGGATACAGAATAGAAAGGAGGCAACCCTGGAGGGGCTCAGATCTGTTGGGTTGGGGGGGGTGGTGGGAAGATGGGAACACAGACAGTGATAACACCTTGAGATCACTTTGGAAGAAGAAGAAGTATGGGCCTGAGGGAGCTCAGAGGGTCCCCATCTCCCAGGATTGCCACAAGGGCCAGCTGATTATCTATGAACAAAAATGTAAGCTGCCCAGCTAGGGGACCAGCTCTGGGTATAACTAAGTTGTGATTATCAGTCCTTTCTAGAGCCATGCCTTTTCCTTTAGCGTGATTTCTGAAAGATAACATCTCAGAAGTGGAATACAAGGTAAGATTATCTTTTCAGCTGCTGACTTATCAACTACCAGAAAAAAATGCCCAGTTTGCACTGACAGCTCTGTCCCTGTCTCCTTCTCCCCATCCTATCCCTTCCAATCCCTCCAGGCAAATCCACACTATCATATTACAGATAAAGACTCAAGGTCCAGAGGGGCAGGTCCAGCCCAGGTCGGCTCTGAGCTATCCGCGACCTGCAGATTCCCAGATGGTTGAAACCACAGGAAGGACGCTCCCAGGCCTGCCTATCAGAGGAAGAGGGCTAGGGCATGGAGTGGGCAGAGGGCAGGAGTCCAGCCCCACACTGGGCCCCATCACAATTGACACTGTAGCTTAAACCCGATCTGTCCCACTCACTCCCCAGGATTGACTGGCCTTTCAGCCCAGGATTTCTCAAACTGGGCTCTTCAGTTTCATGAGTTTCCAGCCTTATTCATGGATGTCTGCAGATATGCTACCTGAATTTTTTAAGTTTTGTACGTTCACTTTAATGATAATCTAAACACATTCATATGAAAATATTCTGGCTTGACTGGAATGCACAGCATCTTATGAAAGAGGCTGCTCTAAGCGTCAGTGTCCATATCCGGATTTATCAGCAGACTAGTTCCAAAGAATCTAAGGGAACCACATTTAACATCAATGCAGTGTCTCAAGCTGACTTAATCAAGTTTGAGACTCATTGCTCTAGCTAAAATGCTTATTTCCTTCCTGTAAGATCCTGGGTAGAGAAAGAAGGATCTCAGTTGGGATCAGAGGCCTGGGTTCTAATTTTGTCTCTGCTTCTAACTCACTGAATAGCCACAGACAATTCCCTATCTGTGTCTTGTTCTAGATCTCAGTGTATTCATTTGTAAAATGGGAAGTTTGAGTTAGACTATCCCTATGGTCCCTTTGGGCTCTCACATGCCAGGATTCCAAATTGTGATTGAGCTGCCCTCTCACAGCCACCCCTGCCCACCCCACACCCCCACACCATCCCCACTGAGGCCCAGTGCTGCCGGGGGCTCCTGGGTTGAAAAGTAGAGCCTCCAGGAGGGCGGGTGTCAGGCAGATGTAAAGGGGGTGGCCTGAGTGGGATTGAAGGTCATCAGGAAGAAAGCCACCAGGCCAAAGAGAGTACTTACACCCAGCCAGGCTGTCAGCTGAGACCTACCTCCCCAGGCCAGGAGGGCTCCTCCCAGGATAGTGGGGGATCAGGGAACCCACCCCTCACCTGTGTGGGATTCTCCTCTAAGATTCACTGTCAGCCATCCACCCTCCTACCCCATAGCGCTGCCAGGAACCTAGAGCAACCTTCTCCTATAACCCCCTCCCCCATTCCAGCTCACACTGGGGTCTCAGGGAACAGGGCCCCCAGTCAATGCCAGAACAACCCCACTGACTAGACCTTCCTCAGCTCCCATCCTTTGGGCCTGCCTAACTCCTATAGATTACCTAGAATTCAGATTAGGAGTTCCCTCTGTCAGGAAGCTCTCCCAGATCCCCCATTCCAGGCAGGCTCAGGACCTTTATCCAACCTGCCATCTGTACTATCCTCTGTCCCTGCACTGATCCATCTTAACTGTTTTCTGTTGATCTCTCCCTCCTGGCTCCCAGCTGCCTTTGTTAATTCAGACATTGTGGACATGACATCTTTCTCGCTTTGCTGGGAAATGATTTGAAGCTCTGTCCCTTGGCCAAGAAATTCTAGACCTGGAAAAGCACCTGGAGTAGTAGGAAGTTTTCTCCTGACCTCAGGGCTCAGACATGCCTGCCCTCCAAGTCGATGCTCAGCAGCACCGGGGGCAGGCTTTTCCTGCAAAGGACAGTTTGCTGAACAGATAAACTAATCTGGGCACCCTACATCCAGGCCTATCAGTTTGTCCTATCTTGTCGTTCTCTACCCTACGGAGTCTTGTGGGGACACAGGCCAGAGGAGTGATGTCACATGGGAGGACAGGGCAGGATGGGAGGGAGGAATGGGACTAAGGAAATGCTTGGGGAGTAGGTGGGGTGTCCCCATCACATCTAGGTGGAGGTGGCTATGTCTTCATCTGGGTGTGAGACCATCCTAGCTCTCAGTATCCTGGTCCCCACCCTAGCCCAGTTGAGGAGCCTTCAGAGGCCAGAGGTCATATGTCATCACCTCCCAGAGAAACCCTGCCTAGCCCCAAAGTTGTCTGTTCCCAGCATACCAGCCCAGGAGAGAGAGAGCATGGGGCAGTGAGTCACCAAAGTATATGACTTTGGGCATATCACACTCCCGTCTGTACGATGAAGAGGTGGACTCTGTAAACACTAAGGGCTCGTCTGGTCAGGACAGTCTGTAGGCAGATGAAGTGGAAGAGACTGCTCCTGTGTGCAGGTGCTGGCTGGGTGCTCCCGTGTCTCTCGTCCCATCTAACTGCTCGGCCAAGGAGGGAGAAAGCTCCATGGAAAGCTTTGCCTCTGCTTGAGGCAGAGAAAGGTGGCATGGGCATTGTGTGTATGTGATAAAAATATACGCGGAATATAAAAATTACAATTTTAACTATTTTAGATGTACAATGATGTACAATGCAGTGTCATTAAGTACATACACAATGTTGTGCTCCACTATCCATTTCCAAAGCTTTTTTTTTTGAGACGGAGTCTTGCTCAGTTGCACAGGCTGGAGTGCAATGGCATGATGGCTCACTGCAACCTCCGCCTCCCAGGTTCAAGCAATTCTTCTGCCTCAGCCTCCTGAGTAGCTGGAATTACAGGCACCCGCCATCATGCCCCTCTAATTTTTTTGTATTTTTGTAGAGATGGGTTTCACCATGTTGGTCAAGCTGGTCTTGAACTCCTGACTTCAGGTGATCTGCCCTCCTCAGCCTCCCAAAGTGGTGGGATTACAGGTGTAAGCCACTGCGCCCAGCCCATTTCCAAAGCTTTTCATCATCCCAAACAGAAACTCTGTAATTATTAAACATTAACTCCCCATTCCCCTTCCTCCTACCCCTGATAATCCTCTTATTCTGCTTTTGGTCTATGAATTTGCCTTTTCTAGGTACCTCATATAAGTGGGATCATACAATACTTGTTTTTTGTGTGTATCTGGCTTCTTTCATAATGTTTTCAGGATTCATCCATGTTGTACATGTGTCAGTACTGCATTCCTTTTTAAAAGTTGAATAATATTTCACCTTATGGGTATACATTTTGTTTAGCCATTCATCTGTTGATGGACAATTGGGTTATTTCCACTTTTTGGCTATTGAGAATAATCCTGCTGTGAACATTGGTATATAAGTATCTGCTTAAGTCTCTGCTTTCCATTTTGGGGGATATAGACCTAGAAGGGAAATTGCTGGATCAACTTGGTAGCTCAATGTTTCACTTCTAAAGGAACCAACAAACTGTTTTCCACAGTGGTTACACCATTTTACATTTCTATGAGCAGTGCACTAGGGTTCCAATTTTCCTACATCCTTGCAAACACTTGTAATTTTCCTTTTAACAAAAAGTTATATCCATCATAATGGGTGTGAAGTGGTATCTCATTGTGGTTGGCCTGGAGATTTTTTTTCAAAAAACATATTTGACCAGGTGCAGTGGTTCGTGCCTGTAATCCCAATGCTTTGGGAGTCCAAGGCAGAGGATTGCTTTAGCTCAGGAGTTCGAGACCAGCCTAAGCAGACTCCTGTCTATACAACAACAACAACAAAATAATTTAAGAAAAAATTAGCCAGGCACAGTGGTGCACATTTGTAGTTCCAGCTTCTTGGGAGGCTGAGGATCACTTGAGCCCAGAAGTTCAAAGCTGTAGTAAGCTATGATTACACCACTACACTCCAGCCTGGATGACAGAGCAAGACCCTGTCTCTAAATAAAAAACAAAGCAAAACAAAACAAAACAAAAACCGTATTTTAGCTGCAGGGTTCTTTAATCAGAGGAAAAGTTACCCAAAGACTGCATGAAGGCTTTGGTGAGGAGTTGATAGTGGTTAACTGGAGGCAAGAAGGGCAGGTAAGGTCGCATGGGGCTGATAACTATGCACGTGCGTGTGCGTGCATGCGTGTATGTGTATTGAGGGGGTGCTCGTGTGTAGAGGGCACTTTCTCTTGGTCTCCCTCTCCCTGACTTGCCCCACACAGAGGTCTTTTCTGAGGAACCCAGTGGCATAGTATAAAAGTCCCTGACTAATGGTCACTGAAGTCACTTCCTTTCTGGGATACTTACCGGGAGGAGGCCATGTGTAACAGGGGCAGGAAGCTTCTCTATTTCGTCGTTAGGGGAGGACTTAGCAAGTCACCTTGGAGGAGGCCCTCTCTGTTCTGTCCACCACTTGAGTTTATCAGATGTAAGTAGCACCTGGGAGACAAAACAGGACCTTTTGTGGCCCAACAAAGGCTGCCTCTCCTAACATCAAATGGGATGCAGAGCTGAAGAAAAAGGCAACATATTTGGGAGGAGTGAGACGTTGACAAAGGAGCCCCAGGGCACAAATGGAAGAAGGTCCAGTCACTTTCCTTGTGAGGTTCAAAGTTATCTGGCTGCTAAGATGACCATCCCCAGTGAGCCCCACTTGTTGGAAGGAAAGAACCCCTGAGCCCCCAGTGGTGTAGGAAGGAGCCTTGGACTGGTGGCCAGGCTTAACTCTGGGGCTGAGGACCTAGAAGCCCCTCTGGACCTTCCTCCTGGTGAAACTTGCTGGAGCTCAGGAGTGTGAATGAAAGCTTGGATTTGGGGGTCATGTGTTCACAGCTGCTGGGACTCTGAACAGTAAGATGGAGCAAGACTGGGACTCAAGAGTGCCTTTGTTGGAAAGGAGCTAGTGTAGTCCCTGTGGGTTTTGAGCACTCCTGTGACATGGGGGAAGGCCTCCAGAGGGCCAGATTGAACTTCCTGCTGATAAAATCTTGTGGAGCTCAAGCAATTAATGGGGAAAAAATTTGGCCATAGTTTTTACCTTAAGCTGGTGGAGGGACCACACAAGTTACATGCAGTTCTCAAGTTATTTGGTTCTCTAGTTCCAGAGGTGGGGCAGGATGAGGGGGACCAGGAAAGTATATTATTCCTTTTTGCACCCAAGCCAGCTCAAGACAACCCTGGGGAATGGGAGGGAAAGTCTCTGGGCCTCTTTCCTTACTTAGGTTTCCTTCGTGGGTCCCCTTCAAGAGCCGCTCCTCATCTTCAGGATTCCACCATGGCCCCTTGCCTATGTCTACAGCCCATGATAGTACTCAAGTACTCAGGCTATTTCCTGTTCACTGTCCCTACAAAGCTTATCCAGCCTGGGTCCAGGTTCCTCTGTTCCCCATTAGGAGCACTGAGCTCAGCTAATAGACCAAATTGACCGAAGGAGCTGGTGACAACAGTTGGTTAATCCAGCCACTAAGGGCTTCACATGCATCCCTTCCCTGACTCCATTCACATTTCACCAAGGATCACAGTTACTCCAAAGGCACAACAATCTGAGCAAAAGGTTGCTGGAATGTGCTGCTTCAACAGCCTTTCAGCTCTGTTGTGCAAAGAAGGTGTAATTCTACTGGTGGAATTTTAGGCACTTTGAAAGAATGTTTGGGATATAGTTTCTTGCAAATAGGCAACCTTTGCTCACCCACAGAGAAGACAGCATTTTCTGCCTACACATGAGGGAGCCTACGTGAGGCCCAGCTCCAGTTGTGACCTTCAGTTCCACTCCCTAGGCCAAGATGCTAAATTCAGATCACCCATTAGTTCAGAAGCAGGTTAGACCAGTCACCATAAGCATGTGCCTGGGCAACCAATCTTGTTTATGCAAAAGGAGTCTTTAGTCTGCAATGTTTTGCACACCCAGCACACAAATGAAAACAGTTCTTGACTACACTTGGAAGGAAAAGAAAGAAAAGCAGGATAAAGGGCAAGATAAGAGAAGATAGCAAGTGCCAAGGAACTGAATCCTATCAGCCACCAAACCTTCATTTAAGCAGCCTGCTCATCTATGACCTACATTTATGAATTCTTTCTTGCAACCAACCAATCAACCTTCATTCAACTAATCAATGAATGAACCAGTCTTCATTCAGTCAAGCATTCTGTATTTATTAGGACTACTAATTTCATTCATTCATTCACTTTCTCTAACAAATCAACCTTCATTCAACCAGCAAATAATAAGTAGCTATTCACTCTTCATTTATTCAACTAAGTATTCCAAATAGCAAAGCTCAGGGCTGCAAGAGACCTCAAAGACCTCAAAGTTCAACCCACTGCAACCTTATAGGAATTCTGTCCATTACAACCTTGCCAAAATACACAGCTCATTACCTTCAAAGGTTGCCTGGTCTGTTATGGAGCAGCTCTGACTGTGAGAAAAATATTTTAAAAGCTGAAATGGAGTCTGCCCTCCTTGTAACATCCATACCTGGTTCTGATACTTCCTTCCAGGCCACCCGGAATAGCTCAGCTTCTGTGCTTGGAGACCTTGTCTGCAGGCAAAGGTGGAGATTATGTCCTCTGTGGCCCCTTCTCTCCCTCCCCTGTCCCTGTGAGTGATGTTCCCTTGTTGTTCCAGTCTCTCTTCTCTGGTCAGGAAGGTACCACTCAATCCAGGGCTTTCTCCTGG
Organism: Homo sapiens; assembly: GCF_000001405.40. Classification (NCBI taxonomy): domain Eukaryota; kingdom Metazoa; phylum Chordata; class Mammalia; order Primates; family Hominidae; genus Homo; species Homo sapiens. The sequence continues at coordinate 73,164,908 of NC_000011.10, forward strand.
TTTGGGATTTGGAATGGGAGCCCACATTCTAAGTGTAATGTGGCAAGGGGACAGTCACCCCCAGTTCTGAATGGACTAAGCTCCAGAGTGTTTGTCATGACAGCCATTTTGCTCAAGGGCTCTCCCCTCACCCTGTTCCACAACCCTCCACCTCCCTTATCTACAGCTGAACGCCTCAGAGCAGCTAAGCTATGGACTTGCTGGAGATTTCAGAGCTGGTTCAACCCAAAAAGCTTGGGGCCCAAACTGGAAGACAGGGATTAAGTTGGGCCAGCCATTCATTCCTCTGAGGAATTTGAACCTGAGATCTGAGGAGGAAGCTAAGCTGTTGGAAACAGGAGATGAGGCAGGAAGACTCAGAAAAGAGGGAGTGGGTAGCTGCCTGAGTCAGTGCAGGCTATGAGAAAGCAGAAGCTGAGCTAGGGCAAGGGACAGGAGGGATCCACTGCATCTGTAGGGTTGTGGGAGCAAGTGACAGCAAAAAATGACCAATTTAAGCAGAAAAATAATGTGTTAAAAGGACTCTGGGTAATTTGCATAAACTGATCTCCAGTTAAGGGGTGATTTAGCAGTGTGGTATATATTTGGTTCTGAAGAATTATAACACACGACAGGAAAAAAATATGTTTCAGAAAATGTAGGTAATTCTGTAAAGTGATGAATATGTTAATTAGCTTGATTGTGGTAAGCATTTCACAATGTATACCTATGTAAAAATATCACATTGTACACCTTGATTATATATACATTTTATTTCTCAATTATACCTCAGTAAAGCTGGAAAAAATATGACTTCAAATTAATATTTTTCCTTCTGGGTACATAATTTAAAAAATTATTTGATATTATAATTATAAATACATACAATATACAAAATTTTACAATATAAAATTATATATTTTATATTGTATATTTATAATTTTTATGTTGTATATTTTATAATTTTTACAATATAAAAATCATTTTATATTGTAATTTGACATCTATGTAATGTACAATGATTTAAAAATCAAGTCATTTTTCTCATATATAACAAAAATTCAGATCTGAAATTATATAATGATACTACCATAATCACAAGAAAATTTACAATTTCCTCCATGCCTTCTAAGGAAAATATACCTAGGTAGGTTGCAGGTTTTTGGTTTGCTGAGAACGAAGTCTTGTTCAGGGTCAGGGTGATGGCCTTTCCTATGCTAGATCACAGCCTTATATATCACGGGTAAGGAAGAGAACCCCAGAGCTAATTGTGCTATAAAAAAAGTAGTGTGGGGAGAGGGCAGGAAAGGTGGAGGTGGGGTTCACTGGTGAGGAGAGGAGCCTGGGGTTGCTTGAGAGGAGAGAGAGTTGCTGTGGACTGTTTGATGTAAAACACTACTCCATCTCTAGACAGGAATCTACAATACAATAACCATTCCTCACTAAGGCCTTGAGGTAAAGATTTACTTTGGGGCAATTCTAAGAGAAATGTTGAGTCTTGCTCTTTGGCGAGGGGTATAAATGGAGGCACACACCTAGGCTGCATTTTAGGATCCTGCCCAAGGGTTTTTTGTTTTTTTTTGTTTTTTTTTTTGAGACAGAGTCTCACTCTGTCACCCAGGCTGGAGTGCAATGGTGCAATCTTGGCTCACTGCAACCTCTGCCTCTGGGGTTCTAGCCATCCTGGTGCTTCAGCCTCCCAAGTATCTGGGATTACAGGCGTGTGCCACCATGCCCAGCTATTTTTTGTATTTTTAGTAGGGACGGGGTTTCACCATGTTGGCCAGGCTGGTCTCGAACTCCTGACCTCAAATGATCCACCTGCCTCAGTCTCCCAAAGTGCTGGGATTATGGGATTATAGGTGTGACCCACCGTGCCCAGCTCCTGCCCAGGTTTTTTGATGGGCCATTCAATTCTCAGCTGAAACTGGGTATTAATCATTACCCTATGTAAAGAACCAAAGGTGAGCCTCCCTCTCCATCACTGCCAAATTACCAGGGCAGGCGATCCAGCTGAAACAGAGATGGTGTTGGAATGTTTCCCCAAAGCCAGGGGGAAGTTATATCTTTGAGGTCAGCATTCTGACCTAAGAATGAATTTTTCAGAAGGTATATTAATCAGGATTCTTTGGGCTGCAAATCATGGAAATTCATCTCTAGTGTGTTAAGGAAATAAAATAAAGCCCAACCATAAAAGGGGAGTTTGGAATTATTGGCTCACATAAATATGAAAACCAGGAGTATGGCTAGCTTCAGGAATGGCTAGATCCAGGCACACAAGTCAAGTCACCAGGAATCTATCTCCATCTCACCACTCTTTCTTCCTCTGTGTTGGCTTCCCTCTCAAGTTACTCTCCCCATGTAGTAGAAAAGTGACTTCCAAGAGTTGCATCTTGACATCATCAGCCCTGCTAGAAAATGTTGACCTTCCCAGTAGTTCTGGGGAAAGTACCAGTCTCATGTAGCTAACTGGATTATTTCCCCAACTCTGGAGTTGGGAATGTGGGGTCCGCCACATAGGAATTCCTTGAACTGAGAGTAGAGATGGGAAAGTCTCTCAAAGGAAATCAAGGTGCTGATAGCAGAAATGAGAGTGGCAAGACAGCAGTCAGTGAAAAATGAGGCCATGTACCCTGTGCAGTGAGCTCAGGGACTGATGTCAAAAAAACCCCAAACTTCCTTATGTGACCCAGGCTGGAAACTGATATTTAATCCAGCCTTGAAGGACACGTGATTTATTAAGAAACCAGTGTCTCCAGGAAGGGGTGAGGTGGACTGAGGCAGATACCCTGGGCTGATTTGGGTCCCCACTCCCTCTCCTTTTGGCCTTAGCTATGGAGACAGGATTTCCTGGAGCTGGACCTGCTGCTGCAGGGCTGGCTACCAGACAAGCACTGAAACCCTAGGTCAAGGCCACATGCTACCAAAACAGAGAGACGTTTGCAGGAATGCAGCCACAGGGATAAAAAGAGGATGCTGAATTGTGATTAAAGCTTCCTGCTGTAATATTACAGGATGGTGGTAGGAGAGAGGGAGAGAAGTGGGAAAAATTAAGAGATTTTAGGTTCTGACAGCAAGAATCAAACACGGATTCAGAGCCACAGATCAATCCCTCAATTCCTGCACAAGAATGACCCGTGCCACTTAAGGAATATGCAGTGAGAAGGGGAGGCCAAGATTCACAGGACGACAGGAAGGAGAAAAGCGCGCCCAATATGCACTAAGATTGAAGAGATGTGTGCTATAAGCCATAAGATGTGCTTGACCACAGCATGGAAAATCTGGTCCTGCTAGAAGAGATATCCGTGGATGTAATTTATAGGGAAACCTCACTGAAAAAAAGCAGAATTCCCTGGAAACTGGATTTCCTATGCTGGATATCTTCCATTCCCTACCCTTTCCCACCCTGCTCTTTACAGGAAGATAACCACTACAGCCTTAATTAACAACAATCTGTGCTTCTGGCTTCAGGTTGGGTTTGGCCAATGGAGAGGCCCAGCTGGAGATGAGAGGAAGGGAGGAGAGGGAGGTCAGGGTATTTATTCCCGCTATTTTTTTTTTTTTTGAAATGGAGTTTTGCTCTTGTTGCCTAGGCTGGAGTGCAATGACATGGTCTTGGCTCACTGTGACCTCTGCCTCCTGGGTTCAAGTGATTCTCCTGCCTCAGCCTCCCAAGTAGCTGGGATTACAGGTGCCTGCCACCACGTCGGCTAATTTTTGTATTTTTAGTAGAGACGGGGTTTCATCATGTTGGCCAGGCTGGTCTCGAACTCCTGACCTCAGGTGATCTGCCCGCCTTGGCCTCTCACTTACTACTGCTTTTTTTCTTGTGACACTCCCTTGGGCTGGCCCTGTCCCTCAACTAGACTCAACTGCCCCTCTCAAAGTGGCAGACTCTCTGTGACTCTTTCTCATTCCAGATTCCAGTAACTGCTCTGTCTTTTTGGCCATTCAGGCCTAAAGGTGATGACAGCTCTGCTGTTCCCCTACACTTAGTAAATAGTCCCTTCATAAATAAAACTACCTTCCATTTTCATCTGTTTTCGTCGGAATCCTGAATGATATTACCCCTGACATTCTCCCCATTAGGTAAGGTGATTTGAAAGGAGGAAGGTGGGGCTGAGCTGGGCAGTCCTCAGAGAATATGAGCGAACCACGGAGTTATGGCTGGAGGAGCCAGTGCTGACTGGGGAGTTGGAGGGAATGCAGACACACCGCTCAGCCTCCTGAATCTGAGACCCTGCAGGACGGGGGTGGGGCAGGCAGGAGGTCAGCACTCACAGAAGGTTCTCGGAGCAAGCCTGAAGCCAGGGGCTAAAGCCCTGGGGATACTCCCTTCCACAGGGAAAGTCTGGTCACCAAGAGGATTGGCACCTGCTGGCACCTCACAGGACCCTGAACATGTGGTCAGATTGAAGGACAAACTAAGGGACGCCAATGACTCAGGAGTTTGAAACTTTCTGGCACACATTTTCATCGTGACCAGGAAGGCCACCCTGTGGCAGATGCCCTCTGAAGAAGCTCAGTAAATGCATCATTGTTTTCCCTTTACAGGAGATGGGGATCTCAGAGCTGAGGCAGGCAGGGGCCAACCTACTGCTGGGAGGATCAAAGATATGGGGACGGGACTTGTCTCTGAAGGCAGGGGAAGTGAGAGAGGGGTCCAGATGGAAAATTCCACGAGTCCCACTAGCCCCTTTGGATGCTGATGCTTCTACATTTCAACCAGCAGTGGTTCCAAATCTCCATGTTTGTCTTCCCTGTCAAAGCTAAATGTGGGGGTGAGGAAGCAACCAAGAGGATGCTTGAAGAGACTGCGGGGTGCCTGCAAGAAGGGGAGGAGCTTCTCCGGGCACGCTCACTGAGCTCGAACCCTGCAGGCTCATCCTGTGCTGCTGTGGAAATAAAGTGTGGCGAGGAAGCAGGGCTGTGGGCAGGGAGGACCTGGCCTGTGTTCCTGTGAGGCTGGGGTCATTTGTGAATATAGATAATGGACCAGAGAGTTCCGAAGGTAGCAGGCCCATGGAGGCACCTGGGTCAGCAGAGCTTGTCAGGACCAGGGTATGGTGGGTTTGGGAGGAAAATAGAGGCACCCCTCTCAGTTCTTCATACTTCCCATGGCTCCATGGGAAAGAGCATGGGGGTTAGAGGAGGGGCAGGAACCAGAGAGCCAGCCGGCAGCCACTGGGCCAAGCAGTGGGCCCCTGGACCTGAAGGAGGGGCTAGGGGACAGACAGATGGCAGGGTAAAAGAAGGCCAGGCTGCCCGTATCTGTGGGAGTCCTGGGCAATGAGGGGGCCAAGGTAGGATTGAATCCCCCAGGAACCATACATATCACCTCTGTGGAGCCCAGCACATCACAGACGCTGCTAAGGGCAGACAGAACCAGAGTAAGGCCAAGAAGCCCTTTCCCCTGCAGAGTGTAGTCAGGCCAGCAGGAGATCTCACCAGACTGCTTCTCCACCCCCAGGTGCTAGTGGCCAGAAAAGAGAGCAGAGTGTGTAACTGGCATGCCATTCCCCATTCCACAGCAAGCCCTTCAAGCACAATTCTAGCCTGGCTGGGGTAGGAGGATTGCCATTAATTGGATAGGAGATTGAAGTTTTAAACTAGACTGATCTGAGTTGTAATAATTGAACAAGACCAATAATTGAACTTCAATTAAATAATTGAAGTTATTTAAAAGAAAAACCTCTATCTATGACGTTTTAAAAAAAGAGGAAAGTGTCAAGAAAAAATAAAAGCAAAAAAGCAGGCAGGCATGGTGGCTCACACCTGTAATCCCAACACTTTGGGAGGCCGAGGTGGGAGGACTGCTTGAGCCCAGAAGTTTGAGACCAGCCTCAGCAACATAGTGAGGCCCCCATCTCTACAAAAATAAAAAATAAAAAATTAGCCAGGTGTAGTGGCATGCACCTGTAGTCCCAGCTACTTGGAAGGCGGAAGTGGGAGGATCACTTGAGCCCAGGAGGTTGAGGCTGCAGTGAGCTATGATAGTGCCACTGTACTCCAGTCTGGGCAACAGAGCAAGACCCTGTCAAAAAAAAAAAAAAAAAAAAAAAAAGGCAGAATTGTTCCATGTGTCTGCCTCAAGTAAAAATTCCTCAACAACCACTTGCAGTAACACAATGGCCACTGCCCTCCCATCTCTACTGGAGTGCCTCCAGGAAGCTGAGAAAAGAGCAACTGAACCAGAGTGCCTGCGAAAGTCCTGAGACTTACTCTGATCGGATCATCTTGGGTCACACGCCATGCCTGACCCAATCACTGTGGCTGAAGGATGGATGCACGGATTGTTCAAGCCTAGGTCATGTTTTCCCCGCTGGAGTTGGCTTCCCTGGAACCGGAGTGATCCCAAAAGAAATGTGAGAACTGCAGGGAAGACAGAAGGAGGATGAATGTGGGGGAAATACTGAATTGAGGATTTACCCCATTCTCTCACATGAGAGCATAAAGTTTCTGCCTCAGGAAGAGAGTGGGACTAAAACTAAAATTTCAGGTGTTCTATAATTCTTAGAATAATAGCCACTGATATACTTAAAGACTGTGTTAAATAAATGGTTCATACAGAGTAACAGGGCAGAATTAAAATCCTCCAGTAAGAAAAGGGAGCGAGGGAGAGAGAGGAGATAGCAGAGAGTCCCTAAAGGGTGTCCAGGGCCTGACGACTGGGTGGGGCATCAAGATGGAAGGAGAACAGGGCTGAGCTGCTTCCGGAGAAAGCACATGTCTGATGGGAATTTTGTGAGGTGAAATTGTGAAAGTGATAGTGAAGGAAGCCACTAAAAAAAGCCTTCTCTTCTATTTCCCATAGGAAGCCATCAGTTAAAAAGTCAGTCTCTTCTGTCACAGACCACAGTGAGGAGACATGATGACTAAATGCAATGTGGTACCCTGAATTGGATCTTGGAACAGAAAGAGGACAAAATGGGTGAAATCCAATTAAAGTGTGGAGTTTAGTTAATACTAATGTACTACTGTTTCTTAGTTGTAACAAACGTAGCATAGTAATTTAAGAGGTTAACTGGGTGAGAGGTATAATTGTATAAGATGACTCAGTCCCCTTTCCCTGGGAGCACTCGGGCTGGGGAGTATGCTGACTGCCATGCACAATGTGGCCATCTAGTCTATGAGAAACAGGGCCCAAGACTGAAGGTCTCCAGAGAAGGCCCCTAGCCTTTGCAACTTTTCTAATCTAAAATTATTTCAGGCCGGGTGTGGTGGCTCACGCCTGTAATCCCAGCACTTTGGGTGGCTGAGACGGGTGGATCACTTGAGGTCAGGAGTTCAAGACCAGCCTGGCCAACATGGTGAAACCCCGTTTCTATGAAAAATACAAAAATTAGCTGGGCATGGTGGCAGGCACCTGTAATCCTAGCTACTCCGGAGGCTGAGGCAAGAGAATCACGTGAACCTGGGAGGTGGAAGTTACAGTGAGCTGAGATCATGCCACTGCACTCCATCCTGGGCGATAGAGCAAGACTCCGTCTCAAATAAATAAATAAATAAATAAATAAATAAATAAATAAATAAATAAATAAAAATAAATTCAAAATAAAGTCTCTTTTTAAAGTCACTTTCTCCCTATCACTTTACAGTGTAGATTCACTTTTACTGCATGAAAGAGCACCACACCTGGGATGTTATATCTATAAATGAACACTCATCTGCCTCTAGGTACCCTGGCATCACTGCTATAGTACAGGGGCAGTGGAAAGAGCCAGTCTCGACTGTAACTTCTCTAGGATCCTGAGAACTGGGGGTGAGTGCCTGTGATAGCCTGTGATGCACTTAGCAGGTGGTGCAGCACATAACAGATCCCCAGTGGAGGTCAGTGGTCTTCAATCCGCCCCTATCTGGACACCTTATAATGTGCCTGCCTCCTCCTCTGGGTCTCCCACATTCCCAGGCTACTCTTCCCTGTGCCTGGGTGGTGAGGTGAGTTGCTCAGCTGCTTAATGGAGCTTTTCTACAGGGCTGAGAACCCCAGCGCTGAGGCTCCTGCATCTTGGTGCAGGTTGGCTGTGCCTTACTACCTGCCATCTGTGTGGACAACTGAGATGACTTTGTGCTGGGTTCTGAGCTGACTCATTTTATTTAATCCTTACATCCACCTGGAAGGGTAGGAATCACTATCTCCATTTTACAGGTGGAGAAACTGAGGCTGCCAAGGCTGGTATTTGCTTTCTGTCAGAGCAACCTCCTGAGACAGATAAGATGAACAGCACCAATAACTCTGGGGCTAGGTGGGCTGATAAGTAGAAAAAACTGGGATTATTGGAGAACTTGGAGAGGAAAGGTCACTTTTGTGTCCCACAGTCAGTGGACTTTGGAGTCAGGAGGGTTTCCGGGGAGAAGGGGATGAAGAAAGCACCCCCAGCAGTAGGAAATAGTGAGAGGCCTCGCACTGAAATGGAACACCTAGAAACCCAGCCGTTCACAGGAAGCCTGTCTAGGTGGCCTGGGGCCCAGGATCCATGCAGAGAGTGGGATGGGACCATAAAACAAGCAAAAGAATCAGGGATTGTTGGGATGCCATGGGCTATTTCCATCCCACTCCATAGGCCCTACTCCCCCTCAGGAGCTGCCCCTAGGCTAATATTAGCATTCCATCCTTCAGAACTAAGGTCTACCCACTCTAAGGCCTCTTTGTTTCTGTTGGAAGGAGGTCCCTTGCTAGGGCCTTTATGGGTCCGTGCTGGGAAGACTCAAAACAGGGCATAGATGGGAGTAGCTTTTATGCATCTATTTTGTGCCAAGCCCTAAATGGGCCCTGGGGCTCAGGATGACCCAGTCCCTTTCCCTAAGTGCATTCAAGCTGGGGAGTATGCTGACCACCATGCATGATGTGGTGACCTAGTCCATTATAAACAGGGTCCAAACTAGTGGTGCCCAGAGGAGACCCCTATCCTCTAGGGATACTCCTTGGCAAGACCTCCCTAGCCTCCTCCCACTGCTTCCTGGTGGGCAGGGCAGCCAACAGCAGTCCCAGTGGGGAGGAGAACTCTGAGTTCCACCCCTGGCTGCCTCTCTAGGAGAATCAGATCCAGGATGGGGCGGGCCCCTGCCAGGTCTGGCAGGGTGAACTGGGCCTTTCCACCCTGGAAGCCCTCTTCCGGCTAGAGGGCAGTATCTGGGCACAGCCCCACAGTGACGCTGCTCACAGGCCTCACTGCCAGTGGGTATGATGTCATGCACCACCCTAGGTGACCTTTGCAGCCCACGTAATGGGTGTGATGCTGTGAACCTGCCATCTGCCAGCTGTCCAGGAGCAGACCAACCCAGGAGGGCCTTATCTCCTGGGCTCGAGCTCAGGACGCCCAAGCGCAGGACTATCTTAATCTTAAGTGCCCTGGAGACCTCTCCATGTATGTGCACTGCACGGAAGTCCTCTGGCCCTCCAGCTCAACCTGCTCCATGCATTTCCACAGAACTTCAAGGAAAGGGAAGCCTCTGTGGTGGTGGGAAGGCAGGCGGTGCACGTTTAGATGTGGGCCATTATGTGGGGACCTTGCTTCAGGCAAGCACTCTTTCTGTTCTTGTGAAATGAGTCAGAAGGGGTCAAGGTGATTCCCTGTCAGAGGAAACCCCACGATTTCAGGAAAGAAAGGCTTAGAGACACTCCGAGGCTGAGTGGGGGATGGAATCACAGTCTCGGATAAGATGTGGAAGGAAAGACCATGAGGTTGGAGACAGAGTGGATTCCGCCCTGGAGAATGTAGAACCTGTGATTGTGCTGTAGGTGCATGGATGGATGGGAGTCCAGAAACAGGGGCCTGACTAGGCCTACCTGACCCCATGAGAAGCACTAGATTCTGGATAATCAGAACCAAAGGGGCTACAGAGCCCACAGCATCCAATCCAGTACACTGATGGGAAAACCAAGGTCTAGAGGAGAAGGGGATATGTTTTAGGTCACCCAGTGTGTCAGGGGTAGGGGTCCTGCCTTCCAGGCCAGATCATTTACCAACCATGTTCAGGTAAGTAAAACCCAGCCAGACAGTACCCTATGTAGGGCTTGTGAAAGGGAAGGGCACCTAGAGAGACTATCTGGTACCCCTGCCTTATTTCTCAGCTAATGAAACAAGCATCAGAGAGGGGCAGGGACTTGCGTTAGGTCACAAAGCCAGGGAGCAAAATCTTCCCAGCAGCCCCAGGTGTCCTGACCCCCGCCCAGTCCAGGACTTCTCACTGCATCACTGTCTCCCAAAAAGAGGAAAGAGCAAGGAGAAGGTTGGGCATGGTGGCTCACACCTGTAATCCCAGCACTTTGGGAGGCTGAGGTGGGCAGATCACCTGAGGTCAGGAGTTCAAGACCAGCCTGGCCAACATGGTGAAAAACCGTCTTTACAAAAATAGAAAAATTAGCCAGGTATGATGGCAGGCGCCTGCAGTCCTAGTTACTCAGGAGACTGAGGAGGGAGAAATGCTTGAACCCGGGAGGCGGAGGTTTCAGTGAGCCGAGATCGAGCCACTGCACTCCAGCCTGGGTGACAGAGCGAGGCTCTGTCTCAAAAAAAAAAAAAAAAAAAAGAAAGGAAGAAAAGAAAGAGCAAGGAGCAAGGAGAAAGGAGCTCACATTTACTGAGCACCTATTATGCACCAGGGCCCTGATGTGACACATCTTCCTTCTAATCCCCACAGCAGCCTTGGAGGCAGATGTTTTTGCTCATGTTTAACAAATCAGAGAAAAAGATTCAGAAGTGCGAAGCAGTTTGCCGAAGGCCGCACAGATGGTAGATGGCAATGCAGGAACTTTGGCCCAGGTCTGCCCACTTCTACAGCCTGCACTCTTGTTCTTACCCAGGCTGGGTTGGGTTTAGGACCCAGGGCTGACAATGCAAGGACATGGTAGGGAGGAGGAAACCAGGAGTAAATTCCAGGCACTGCCCTTGCTCCCAATCTCCCAGTTGTCCCAGTGACAAAAATAAACCGAAGTGACCTTGGACAGCGGAGCCCTGCCTCCCACTGAAAGTTTCTTTTTTTCTCTTTCTCTCTTTCTTTCTTTCTTTTTTTCTCTCTCTCTCTTTCTTCCTTTTTTAAGTCTATTGATCCACACTCAGCAATAAAGCCACACAAAATAAACAGCTGATGGACAAAAAGCATGGCTCCTGGCTTGCTGAGTTTCTCACCTCCAAGTGGTTTCAGGCCTCAGAACCTCAGATTCTCAGATCAATTTAGAAATTTGTAGACTCTCACAGCCCTAACATGAGGGGTGTCCCAGGCTGCTGGTCAGCCCCACCAGTGGAGGAATCCACGACTTCCCAACTGGCTCTTCTGTGGACCTTTGTTCCCCTTTCTTAGGCATGGCTTCAGAGCTGTAGGCCCTGCCCAGGTGGTGTCAGACCCAGAGCAGAGAAGAAGCAGAGCCACTCTCCTCTCAGTTGAATAGGGCAATCTCAAGGCCATGGGGCAGCTCCCTTTGTGCCTCAAGGGAGACTATGGGGATGTCACGAGAGGCTGGTCTTAGCTCAGTGTGCAAAAGGCAGTCTCAGAGCTGAAGGGGCTGCTTCTGGAGACAGGCATGAGGGTGTGAGAGCAGGCTTGGATGAGTCCAGAGGCTTTCTGCCTCTGCTAATGCAGCCAGACATCAAATCTACCTTTGTGCTGGCCACGTCCCACTGCATTCCTTTCATCTAAGACCTCAACCTTTTTTTTTTTGTTCCATCCAAGTGCAAAGTCTTGCATTTCTCTTTTAAATTCCATCTTGTAAATATTAGCTCTTCATCCTAGTACAGTGGCTTTACATGGTGCGGTAGAGTTTATGTGCAGAGCCTTCATGTGCATCATCTCCTTCCATGCTTAGGACAGTTTGCTGGACCTCACAGAGGTGATTGATGCAGCATCCCCCCGGGAGCCGGGTGAAATCACAGACTCCAGCAGCAGCTTCTGAGATGACTGTGAGCATTAGGCCAGCAGGACCCCATTCCCTGAGGAGCAATGAATACAAGCCCATGGAGCCAGAGAAGGGGAAACTGGTGCAGCCCACATGGTGTCTGGAAGGGCTTCCCAAGGGCTGCTT